>NC_000004.12:45004985-45314409 GCF_000001405.40 Homo sapiens | reverse complement strand
TAGCATAGTTCCTGTAAAAAAAAAGTCAGTAATTAAATCTAAGTTATTATGATAAATGTTAAGAGAAATTCAGGAAAAAATGTGCATAGAAAGTGGTCAAGATAATTTTAGCAAATACTGTTGGTATCTTCTCTGCAATAACCCTTGTGATGCATGTACTGTACCTACAACTGTGCTCAAGGCTTTCTCCATTTGTTCTTTTCTGTGTGTGATAATTTTATGGGTATTTTTTGTATATTTTATTTTGCATATTTAAGGTATAATACATATTATATGTTTTATATATATATATACACACACACACACATATATATGGTAACTATAATGGAACAAATTAACACTTCATCATCTCACATAGTTATCCATCTCCAGCTACCCCTTGTAAAGAATGACTGTAATTTACTCATTTGGCAAAAATCCTTAATACAATACACTGCTATTAAACATAGTCCTTGTGTTGTACATTAGAGCTCTAGGTTTGTTCAGTCCACATATCTGCTGCTTTTTATCCTTTGATCTGTACTTTTCCATTTCCTTCCCCAACCCAGACCTTGTTTTATTCTCTGTTTCCACATATTTGAGCACCCTGCCCCCAGCTTTTTTCTTAGGTTCCATATAAAAGTGAGATCATTCATTATTTTTTTTCTTTCTGTGTCTGGCTTATTTCACTTAATAAAATGTCCTCTGTAGGTCCATCTGTGGACATGGCAAATTTGCCTCCTTTTTAAGGCTGAATAATAGTCCTATATATATAAAATGTTTTCTTTATCCATTCATTCATCGATGAACACTTAAGTTGTTTCTATATATTGGCTATTGTGACTAATGCTGCAATGAACTTAAGAGTGCAGATATTTTTATGAGGTAGTGATTTCATTTCCTTAGGGTATATACCAAGAAGAGAGAATGCTGGGTCATATGGTAGTTCTACTTTTAATTTCTTTAGGAACCTCCATGCTGTTATCCACAATGGCTGCATCAACCTACATTCCCATCAATGGTACACAAGGGTTCTGTTTCCTCCATAGTCTTGTATACAGAGTTATCATTAACATTAGTTGTCTCTTGTCTTTTTGATAGTAAGTATCTTAACAGGTGTGAGGTAGTATCTGATAGGAGTTTTGATTTGCATTTTTCTGATGATTAGTGATATTGAACACATTTTCATTTACCTGTTGGCCATTTTTATGTTATCTTCAGATAAATGTCAATTTAAGTCCTTCATCCATTTTTGTTTTGTTTTTGAGGCAGGGTCTCACTCTTTGACCAGACTGGAGTACAGTGGAATGATCACAGCTCACTGCAGCAATGAGCTCTTAGGCTCAAGCAATCTTCCTGCCTCAGCCTTCAGAGTATCAGGGAGTACAGACACACATCATCATACCTGGCTAATTTTTTTTAGTTTTTGTAGAGACAGGGTTTCACTGTGTTTCTCAGGCTGGTCTCAAACTTGTGGGCTCAGGCAATTCTCCCACTTCAGCCTCCTGATGTTCTAGGATTACAGGCATGAGCCACTATGATGCTGTGGCTGTGTAAGACTTTTCTTAGGTCTAGAAGTACTTGTTTTATTACTCTCAGTGCACCACAGTTGGGTGCGTATATATTTAGGATAGTTAGGACATCTTGTTGAATTGAACCCTTTATCATTATTTAATGCCATTCTTCATCCTCTTTTAGTGTTATTGGCTTAAGATCTGTTCCTATGCTGAAGGATAAAAGAGTTTTTCCAACATTGTCTTCTAGAATTGTTATGATATCAGGTCTTCAATTTAAGTATTTGACTCATCTTGGGTTAATTTTTTTTTTACAAGGTGAGAGATGAGGATCCAGTTTCATTCTTCTATGTGACTTGCCAATTATCCCAGGACCATTGGTTGGTTGAATAGGTTGTCCTTTCCCCATTTTATGTTTTTGTTTGCTTAGTCAAAGATCAGTTGGCTGTATTTGGCTTTATTTTTGGATTCTCTAATCTATTCCATTGGTCTACGTGCCTGTTTTTTTTTTTAACCAGTACCATGCTGTTTTGGTAATGATAGCCTTGTAGCATAGTTTGAAGTCAGGTAATGTGATGCCTCCAGATTTGTTCTTTTTGCTTAGTCTTGCTTTGACAATGCAGACTCCTTTTTGGTTCCATATTAATTTTAGGAAATTTTTTCTTCTAGTTCTGTGAAGATTGATGATAGTATTTTGACAGGAATTCCATTGAATTTGTAGATTGCCTTTGTCAGTGTGGTCATTTTCTAACTGTATTGGTTCTAACCTTCCATAAGCTTGGGATGTGTTTCCATTTGTTTGTGTCAACTATGATTTCTTTCAGCAGTGTTCTGTAATTTTCCTTGTAGAGATCTTTCACATCCTTGGTTAGGTATATTCCCAGATTTTTTTTTTTTTTTAGAAAGAGTCTTTCTATGTTGCCCAGGCAGGAGTAGAATGGCATGATCTTGGCTCACAGAAACCTCTACCTCCCAGATTCAAGCAATTCTCCTGCCTCAGACTCCCAAGTAGCTGGGATTACAGGCACACACTACCACGACTGGCTAGTTTTTGTATTTTTAATAGAGACAGGGTTTCATCATGTTGGCCAGGCTGGTCTTGAACTCCTGGCATCAAGTAATCTGCCTGCCTCAGCCTCACAAAGTGCTAGGATTACAGGCATGAGCCACTGTGCCCAGCCCAGATATTTTACTTTTTCTGTAGCTGCTGTAAAAGAGATTGAGTTCTTGATTTGACTCTCAGCTTCATCTGAGTTCCAATGTTGGGTACATATATATTAATACTTGTTATGTCTTCTTGATAAATGAAGCCCTTTATCATTAAATAATTACCTCTTTTGTCTCTTCTGACAGTTTTTGAATTGAGGCATATTTCATCTAATATACATATAGCCATCTCTGCTTCCTTTTGGTTAACATTTGCTTGAAATATCTTCTACCATCCCTTCACTTTCAGTCTACGTATTCTTAAGGCCAAAGTGTGTCTGTAGACAGAATATAGTTGGATCTTATTTTTTTAAATTCATTTTGACACTTCATACATTTTGACTGGAGAATTTAATCTATTTAAATTGATCATAGGGCACAGTCGCAACTCAGACCTTAGGAAATAAGGTACTGCACAGTGTTGACTCTGGACCCGTGGGTAGTGGGACATGGCAATATCCCAGACTGTAAGGTCAGGTGTAGTAGCAGCAAGGAACTGAAAAATGGCAGAGAACAGCTGTTGCTTAGGCTCTGGCTTGCAAAGAGAAGCAGAAAAATAACTCTATCCCCTGGGGAAGGGAGTATCTCAGCAGCTCAGACTCTAGGGGGCTAGTCCAGTTTCAATGAAGGATGGTACTACAGTTATGCAGCCTATAGAAATGAGCATTATTGTCTTAGCTCAGCGAATGCTATTTCCCCAGGACATGGGTTATCATGTCAGGTCAGCTCTGGGATGCACACCTGCTCAGCTAGGCCTAGTAGGCAATGCGCTTCTTGAACTTAGGCCCTGGGGATGTGGCTGCTCTGATGGCCATGGCAACCTTTTCCTAAGAGGCAAAGCTCTGCTTCAACTCAGTCCCTAAGGGATAGAGTACAGCAGTGATTGGAAGGAGTAGATGAAATAGCTCAACAACAGCTTGGCCTCACAGGCAGGGTGTAGTAACATCTTAGCTCCGCTTAGCTTAGCAGGCCACTGGGTAGGGGAGGTTCAGGTGCAACAAAACCTCACAGATAGAAGGTTACCATGGCTACTCCAACAGTTGATCCCATTCCAAGATGGTGCAGTACAATAGCCTTAGGGCTACAGAAGGAGGAGCACGGTGTTGGCTCCTTCTCTGAGGTGAGCAGCTGTGTGGAATTCAGGCAGCTCTCTCAGCTGAGCTTAGTGCTGGTAAGAATTGCAGGAGTTCCCAGTACTGAGAACAAACACGTTGCTGGAAGCTACTGAGGTCCACTTTATAATTTTTTTTTTTTTTTTTTTTGAGACCTAATCTCACTCTGTCACCCAGGCTGGAGTGCAGTGGCACAATCTCGGCTCACTGCAGGCTCCGCTTCCCAGGTTCACGCCATTCTCCTGCCTCAGCCTCCCGAGTAGCCATGACTACAGTCGCCCGCCACCACGCCTGGCTAATTTTTTGTATTTTTAGTAGAGATGGGGTTTCACCGTGTTAGCCTGCATGGTATCGATCTCCTGACCTCATGATCCGCCCGCCTCGGCCTCCCAAAGTGCTGGGATTACAGGCGTGAGCAACTGCGCCCAGCCGCTTACCTTTTTCAGTAAGGAAGGGTCCATTTGGTTCCAAGCTGATCGCAACTAAGGGGTGAATTGGCAGAAGCAAGGTATTTTCTTACATGCTTTATGTGGCCATATTGAGTTTCTGTGCTCTACAGGGTTTCTGTTACTCCTATGATGTAATCTGGCACTCTCCTGTAGTTATTTTTTTTATCAAAATAGAGTAGTTTTTTCATTGTTCTGGCTGCCTTTGTTGGGGGGATGAGTGCTGAGACTTCTAGTCAGCCACCTTGCTGACCTCTTTATTCTTGATAACGTGTTCAGTCAATGTTCAGGGCAGGTAATTAGGGCTTCAGACTATCAACGCCAGGAGAACAACCAAAGACTAACTGGAGTTGGACAAATGCACTATTTTTCTCATCCCTCAAGTGGTATGATTCTGAAGCAAATTCTGTACTATTTCCAGTCCTCTATATGATTCAGATTCATTAGCCAACAGGGATAATATGTTCTTTAATGTGTCTACTTTCATTTCCTATTGTTGCCATGGCCAATTACAAAACAACAGTGGCTTAAAACAATACATATTTATTATGCTCTTGTTGTGGAAGGTGGAAACTCAAATTATTCCTCAATGGCCTAAACTCAAGGTATCAGCAGGGGTGTGGGCTGCATTCCTTCTCAAGGCTCTAGGAAAGAATCCATTTCCTTGGATTTGTCTGCTTCTAGAGGCCACCTGTTTGCCTTGACATGTGTTTTCTTCAAACTTCAAAGCCAGCAGAATAGCATCCTCAAATATCTATCTTACTGTAATTCTCCTGCCACTCTCTTATAAGAACTCTTTTGATACATTGGATCTGCTGAGATGGTCCAAGATCATTCCATTTCACTATGTTTAACTTAATCATGTCTGCAAATTCCCTCTTTTCTTGTAAGGTAGCAAATTCACAGGTTTCAGGGATGAGTGGATGGGCACTTTGGAGGATGATTATTTACCTAACCATGATCTATACTGTTATTTTCCTTTCCTTTTCTGAATCTCCCATTTCCTAAATGTGTTTTTTAGGATTTCACTTAAACTCTAGTCTGAGCATCTGTTTATGAGAGAAAACTAACTTGAAACAAATATTATTGAATAATTAAGTTATTAATTATTCAGCCAACAAACATTTATTGAGGAATTGTTCAAACTGCTGGGGGTAGAATGCAGAACAAAACTAAAAAAGTCCCTAAACTTTCAGGATTTATATTCTCATGGAAACATAAGCAATAAACATATACATAACTTTAGCAAATAAGCCAAAACAACAACAACAAAACAAATAGTGAAATGTGTCTTTCAGAGAATTACAATGAGCAAATATGACTGCAGTGCAAATAAAAAATGGTCAAGTGCTACTTGGATTGGGTGATCAGACAAGTACTCTCCGGGAAGATGACATTTAACCTGAGATTAAACTACTAGAGGGTTTTAGAATTGTGAGATTTAAGAGTTAAGGGAAAGACTCTATCAGATAAATGAAAAGGCTACTTTAAAATCTTTTAAGTAGAATCTATATTGACCTCATCAAGGACAAAATTAGAACTTGAAATTTAAAAACAATATAATTTACTATATATCACCAATGAGGGAAATTGTTAGGTAAAATTGTAACAAAATATTTACACAATGTATATGTAGACAAGAACAGATCTCTGATGAAGGAATTCAAAAAAGATATGTTCCATGTTTATGTATTGGAAAACTCTATATTGTTATGATGTTACTTCTTCCCAACTTGATTTATATATTCAGTTCAATCGCAAACAATAACCCAGCAGGCTATTGAAAAACTCATTTTAAAGTTTATACAAAAAGTCAAGGACCTGGAATGGCCAACACAATACTTAAGAAGAAAAAAAAGTTGAAGGGCTCATATAACTTGATTTCAAGACTTTCTCCAAGGCTGTAGTATACAAGTGTGGTATCGAGGGAAAAATAGACACGTAGATTGACGGAAGAAAATAGAGAACCCACTAATAGACCCACACATGCTCAAATAACCTTTAGCAAAGGCATGAAAGCAATTATATGGAGAAATAATAGTATTTTCAACAAATAGTGCTGAAAAGATAAGACATCTGTGTGTAAACAAAAAAAAAGGGGGAAACCTGAGCACATATCTTATATCCTTCATAAAATTTAACTTAAAATGAAACATAGATCGAAATATAAAATGTGAAACTCTAAAACTTCTAAAAGAAAACATAAAATACATAAAATTTACATGACCTTGGAATTGATGATGACCTTTTAGATATAACAGTAGCATAGTCTATAAGACAAAAATTGAAGTTGGACTTCATTAGCATTAAAAACCTCACTCTGCAAGATAAATTTTAAGAAAACAGCAACAGCAACAAAAATTGAGTTACAGACTGGGAAAAATAATTGCAAAATATATATCCAATAATGACTTTTATTTAAAATATTTGAAGATCCATTAAAATTCAACATTAAGAAAAGAAATAACCCAATTAGAAAAAAGGCAAAAGATCTAAACAGATACTTCATAAAGAAGAAATACAGATGGCACATATGTATGCAAAAAGATGTTCAACATCATTTATCATTAGGGAATGAATTGCACATTAAAATAACAATGAATTACTACTACAAATGTTAGATATGCCAGTATGTATTACATTTTTTATTTGATGTTCACCTTCACAAAGTTTAAGAAAATGTGAAAAAAATTACATTTTTATATTTAACCATATGTTTTTCATATCTAGTGTTCTTTCCTTAGCTCCAAGTTAAATCTAGTATCATATCTCTTTAGTATTTTCTATGTTTTTGTCTATTGTGAATAAATTTTCTTCACATTTTTTGTTTGGCTTTTAATTCTAAAAGTGTCTTTGTTACAGCTGTATATTAAAAAAAATCTCTTTACTGGGTATACAGTTCTAAGTTGAGAGAGTGGGTTTTTGTTTTTGTTTGGTTTTCCATTTGTTTTCTTGTTCCATGATTTCCTGGCCTCTATTTTTTTCTAATAACAAATTGGTAGTCAATCTTATCATTGTTTCCCCGAATGCAGTATGTGGGTGTCTTTTTTGTTTATTTGTTTGTTTTGTTTTGTTTCATTTACCTTCCATTTCTTTTAAGACTGCTTTTATTTTTGATGTTCAGCAGTTAGATTATGATGTTTCTAAACATGGTTTTCTGTAATTTCCCTGCTAGGCGTTTTCTGAGCTTCCATTGTCTTCTAGGTTTAGATGAATGTGAAATGCTTATGTGGCTTTTAAACATCCTATCATAAGCCATTGATGCACTGTTCTATTTTTAAGTATTTTCCCCTTCTGTGTACCTCTGAGGAGGTACCTCTGTGTACTTCACAGAAGGGGAAAATACTTAAATAGATAGTGGATCTATCTTCAAGTTCATGGATGCTTTTCATTTTGTGGGGTTGTCAGGGGAATAGTGTTCAATCTGCTATGAATCCCATGCAATTAAAGTTTGATTACCAATATTGTAGTTTCCAAATCTAGCATTTCAATTTGTTATGATTACTTTTGATAGTTCTGAAATTTTACTTGTTAAATGGTGGCCCCTAAAAGACATGTTCACATTTTTCTTTCATTTCAAGGCCAAACGTCTGTCAGGTTACCATCTAATTTATGCCTGCTTTTGTTGTTCCACGCCTTCATATAGTTATTGTATTTTTACTTTTAGATTAAACGAACACTAATATGCTATTACCAAAAACTTTGAAACTTTGATATTTGTTTCATCCCGGTATCTGCTGCTTGCATACAATGAGCCTGACACTTGAAATCTGTAAATTTTATTATATGTATGTTACATTTCAAAAAAAAATTGTTGCAACAATCACTTGACAATTCTGGCATTCCTATTTTGGGCAGTGATTTCAAATATCTATATATCCATGAATATTACAGATGTTTCAAACATGACATATCCAAAACTGTGCTCCTAATGGTTAGTTTCTTTCAACCTGTTCATCTGCCAGTCTTACTCATATCAAAACATGCCAACTTCTATTTTTATTTTGAGCTCAAGACAAAAATTTCTGAGAAATCCTTCAATCTTCTCCTTACAATATACATCAAATACAAAATTTTACTTTTGAAATTATCAATAACTACTTGTTAAATGTTGAATAAATGTGACACTTATGGATCTAGACATAATACAATAAAGTTACTCGTACATCTCTTTCCCCCATATATAGTCTCCAAATAAAGCAAATACCAAGATATGTCCTGTCATTTCTCTAAATTATTCTTTATCATCTAACAACTGACTTAATTGATTAGCCTCTTAATTTCTTGCATCTTGATTTCATAATTTAATTGATGTTATATCAATTAAAGAGGAAATTTAACTATTGCTATTGGTTAAGCTCCTTGCTCAAAAAACATTATTCAAAGAGAATTGAGAAAAAACAAGTATTTAGAGTGGGAGCTTAATTCTGGTATAATTGAATTATCATTTCAATCACCAGAGTTAAAAAAATACTCTTACATTTAATTTAAAATGCTTCAAAGTTTAATTTTCACATTTAAATTCTTAATTTTGGAATCAAATTTTGTAATTGATATACAGTGATTAATTTTCATTTTTTTCCATGTGGAGTGTACATTTTTTTCACCTCTATCTTATGCATTGTCCCTCCTTTCTGCATTGATTGACATGCTTCTGGACTAATATTTTTGCTCTACTGGTCCATGTATTTTAAGTGTTTTTTAATGAGGATATATACTTTTTGGTACAAATTCCTCTCCTGCCCATGTAGGACACACCCCTTATTCTACATCTTCAGAAGTATCTTGACTATTTTTGGCCATTTTTTCTTTCACATATATTTTAGAAAAAGCTTGGTGAATTCTATTAAAAAGTTGTTTGGGGTTTTTATTTGATCCATACTAATCTTGACAACTGTATCTTTGTGAAATTGAGCTTTCCGCCACAGAAGAATATCTTCTGCTTCTGCTGGAAGTCAGTGTTCATCATCCACCATCACTTTAGCTTTCTGCGGAGAATCCTGGTCAGTGCATTTTTCTCTCTCAGCTGCGTCAAGCCCCAGTATTGCTTTAGACATTCACCCGGAGGGTAAACTTAACCCTTCTTCTTATATGCACTCCTGGTAGTCATTGAAAGAATAGCAATGAATCAAAAATAGGTGTTTTGCAAAATAGTTCTGGAGCAAAAGGTTAGCAACTGATCTGTATAATTACCCTATTCATTTTTTAACCCTTGAAAAAAGTAAAAACAACAATCACTTATGTTTCAGGAATTAAAAAATGATAATTAAAAATTACCAAGAAAAGCTTAATCCAAATACACTTGAAAATTAAAACAAAATAGATAAATTATTGAAGCACATCTTCCCAAAACTGACACAAGAAGAAATAAACCAAAACAGCGTGGTACTGGTACCAAAACAGAGATATAGACCAATGGAACAGAACAGAGCCCTCAGAAATAATGCCGCATCTCTACAACTATCTGATCTTTGACAAACCTGACAAAAACAAGAAATGGGGAAAGGATTCCCTATTTAATAAATGGTGCTGGGAAAACTGGCTAGCCATATGTAGAAGCTGAAACTGGATCCCTTCCTTACACCTTATGCAAAAATTAATTCAAGATGGATTAAAGACTTACATGTCAGACCTAAAACCATAAAAACCCTAGAAGAAAACCTAGGCAATACCATTCAGGACATAGGCATGGGCAAGGACTTCATGTCTAAAACACCAAAAGCAATGGCAACAAAAGCCAAAATTGACAAATGGGATCTAATTAAACTAAAGAGCTTCTGCACAGCAAAAGAAACCACCGTCAGAGTGAACAGGCAACCTACAGAATGGGAGAAAATTTTTGCAACCTATTCATCTGACAAAGGGCTAATATCCAGAATCTACAATGAACACAAGCAAATTTACAAGAAAAAAACAAACAACCCCATCAAAAAGTGGGCAAAGGATATGAACAGACACTTCTCAAAAGAAGACATTTATGCAGCCAAAAAACAATGAAAAAATGCTCATCATCACTGGCCATCAGAGAAATGCAAATCAAAACCACAATGAGATACCATCTCACACCAGTTAGAATGGCAATCATTAAAAAGTCAGGAAACAACAGGTGCCGGAGAGGATGTGGAGAAATAGGAACACTTTTACACTGTTGGTGGAACTGTAAACTAGTTCAACCATTGTGGAAGTCGGTGTGGCAATTCCTTAGGGATCTAGAACTAGAAATACCATTTGACACAGCCATCCATTATACCCAAAGGATTCTAAATCATGCTGCTATAAAGACACATGCACACGTATGTTTATAGTGGCACTATTCACAATAGCAAAGACTTGGAACCAACCCAAATGCCCAACAATGATAGACTGGATTAAGAAAATGTGGCACATATACACCATGGAATACTATACAGCCATAAAAAATGATGAGTTCATGTCTTTTGTAGGGACATGGATGAAGCTGGAAACCATCATTCTCAGCAAACTATCACAAGGACAAAAAACCAAACACCACATGTTCTCACTCATAGGTGGGAATTGAACAATGAGAGCACATGGACACAGGAAGGGGAACATCACACACCGGGGCCTGTTGTGGGGTGGGGGGAGGGGGCAGGGATAGCATTAGGAGATATACCTAATGCTAAATGACGAGTTAATGGGTGCAGCACACCAACATGGCACATTTATAGATATGTAACAAACCTGCACGTTGTGCACATGTACCCTAAAACTTAGAGTATAATAATAATAAAAATAAATAAATATAAATATAAATATAAAAAAAAACCTGGAAAAAAATTTTTTCATCGTTTCCCTTTTATAAATAAGAACACATGAGCACATACTTTATAAAACTTGCTTCAGGTCACAGAGCCAGTAAATGAAGGATCTGCAATAAAACACATTTTAAATGTGACATCTTATGAGCTCTTATCTGATTTTATAGCCCAAAGTGAATGCTTTCTTCAATATCCTATATTATTTACTACAAATATGAAATGAAAATGGGTTTTAACTCATGGCCTTCTCTGTCAAATTGATAGTGGATATTTAGGACATTGTGATGAGTCATAATCCATTTAGGGTAGGATAGAGTCATAAATGATTAATGATATGACATGCAAAGTGAAGAATAATGCAGCATGCATATACTGTCCTTGGAATAAACTAGACTGTATGGTTATTTCACTTTATTATGCACATATTTAACTTCTTTCAACTTTATGTACTTAAAGGGCGAAGATCATGTTTTAATTTTCTGGTTCTTCTATGCCCAAGATGAATGTTCCTTATTAAATATGGGTGGAACAGATATAAAATATTAATTACTTTGAAATCATACTAAAACTACAATTAAAATCCTGGATATTAAAAACAAGCATAAAAAGTATTTGAAAGATAAAGAATAGATCTAGGGACCTCAGAAACTGAGGAATGAAAGGAATGTTAGTTACCTTGGCATTATTTTTTCCTCATATAGCCAAGATTAGATACTGGAGAAGATGGTGACAAAAATATAAAGCCAATTGGTGCAAACAACAAAGGCTCCAAGAAAAACCTACTCCTTCTAACCAAAAGATCAGGGAAAGGACATCTAAACAAAGCAGAAAACATTTAGATAATAATTGCTTTGCTCCAGCCACAATTGACAGAATAGAACTCACCATACTTTATCTCTCCCAGAAAACACTAATTGGAGAGGCTAGACCTCCCGTTTTTCCAGACTATGATGGGGTACCATAAGCCCTTCCTGGGATGGGGTCAGAGAAGGCCAAATGGAGACCAAAGATTTATATACTCAATGGGCAATAAAAAGTTTTTCTTCCCTACGGGAGACTGTGGAGCCACATGGGAATCTTGGACTTTCACCTTTACCCACATGTAACAAGGCACCTTCCACTCTCCTTACTTGAGTGGTGTTAGAAGAGGCTTACTAAAATATAAGTTCGAGGCCCTATACCGTATTATCTAAAATGGCCAGAATTCATAAACAGTAACTCATCATGGTACAAGCAAGAATAAACACAACCAACATTTATTGGTAAATGTAAACAGAGCAAATAATCCAATTTAAAGGATTTATATTCAGCATAAATATTTTTCATTGTGGTTTTGATTTGCATTTCTCTGGTGATTAGTGATATTGAGCATTTTTCATGTTTGTTGGTCATTTGGATGTCTTCTTTTGAGAAGTGTCTGTTCACATCCTTTGCGTACTTTTTAACAGGATTATTTACTTTTTTACTTGTTCAACTGTTTAAGTTCCTTATTGATTCCTGATATTAGACCTTTATCAGGTGGAGAGTTTGTGAATATTTTCTCCCATTCTGTAGGTTGTCTGTTTACTCTGTTGATAGTTTCGTTTGCTGTACTGAAGCTCTTTAGTTTAATTAGGTTGCAGTTTTCAATTTTCATTTTTGTTGCAATTGCTTTGGAGGACTTAGTTATAAATTATTTGCCAAGGCAGAGGTAATTTCCTAGATTTTCTTCTAAGATTTTTACAGTTTGAAGTCTTACATTTACATCTGTAATTCATCTTCAGTTAGTGTTTTGCATATGGTGCTAGGTAAGGGTCCAGTTTCAATCTTCCGTGTACGGTTTGGCAGTTTTCTCAACACCATGTATTGAATGGGCAGTTCTTTCCCCATTGCTTATTTTTGTCAACTTTGTCAAGGATCAATTGGCAATAGGTATGCAGTTTTATTTCTGGGTTCTCTATTCTGTTCCATTGGTCTATGTGTCTATTTTGTACCAGTACTATACTGTTTTCATTACTGTAGCCATGTAGTATAGTCAAAGTCAAGTAATGTGATGCCCCTGGCTTGCCTCTTTTCAAAATTACTATATGATAAAAACACCATGATAATAAAGATACTAATAATTTATATTTCTTAAAAAACAATATATCTATATATATTAGAAATACTAACAAGAACAAAATTGATGTGGCTATATTAATATTAATAAAAATAAAATTTAAGTCAAAATATTTGTTGAGCTAAAGAGATATTTTCTAATTATAATAGAATCCATTTAAAATGAAGTTGATATAGATAGATGGTTGATAGATAATTCTAAATTGGAATGTAACAAAGAGCATCAAAATGTATACAGTAAAAGATGACAGACTTTAATAAAATAGATATATCTATAATCAGTAAACCATTTTAAATATAATGTACCACCTCATATAAAAGACCTCTGCAATAATTTGAGTCAATTTATATTCCACCTAGCCTTTGTTATATTGTTTTCACATATTTTAATTCCACTAATATCATGTAACTCATGATATATTATATTACTTTTTATTTGATGAACAACTCACTTTAAAATAATTTAAGAAAGGATAAATAATATTTTTATATTTAATCACAAAATTTTCATGTTTATAGTTTTTAATTTCTTTCTTTAGATCCAAGTTTCAATCCGATGTTATTACACTTTAGTATTTCTTGATTTCATGTATTGTTCATGTGTTTGAACAAATCTCTCCCCATTTCTTTCTTTGTTTTTTTAAATCTGAAAATCTTTTTATTATAACTCCAAATTGAATGTTTCTCATGGCAAGAACAAGAAAAATCTCAAAATATCAGAGAAAAGACAATCAACAGATGCCAACACTTAGATAATACAGATGTTAGCATTACCTAACATTAATTTTAAAGCAGCCATCATAAAAATCCTTCAATGAGCAATCACGAACACCTTTTAAGTAACATTTTTGAAAGTTTAGCAAAGAAATACAAGATACAAAGAAGAGCCACATAGAACTAAAAAAATACAACAACAAATAAAATACTTAGTGGATGGCCTCAACAACAGAATTGAAAAGAAAATGGAAAGTATCATTGAATTTTAAGATAGAACAGAAATTACCCAATATGAAAAATAAAGAAATTTTACACACACACACACACACACACACACCTAACACACATTGTATTAGGCCATTCTCAAATTGCTATAAAAAAGATACCTGAGACTAGGTAATTTATAAAGAAAAGAGGTTTAATTGTCTCACAGTTCCACAGGATGTACAGGAAGCATGATGCTGGCATCTGCTTGGCCTCTGTGGAGGTCTCAGAAAGCTTCCAATTATAGTGGAAGACCAAGGGGAAGCACACACATCACATAGCTGGAATAGGAGCAATAGGGAGGCAGGGGAGGTGCTACACACTTTTAATAATCAGGTATTATGAGAATTCTTTCACAAGAACAGCACCTAGAGGATGGTGCTAAACCAAGCTTGTCCAACCTGCAGCCCATGGGCTGTGTGCAGCCCAGGACAGTTTTGAAAATGGCTCAACACAATCTATAAACTTTCTTAAAACATTATGAAGTTTTCTGTGTGATTTTTTTTAGCTCATCACCTATCATTAGTGTTAGTATATTTTATGTATGGCCCAAGGCAATTTTTCTTCTTCCAATGTGGCCCAGGGAAGCCGTGAGGGTGGTTCATTCATGAATGGTTTAGCACAATCCTGTTCTAAATCACTCCTGATGGATCCACCCCCATGATCCAGTCACCTTCTGCCAGGCCCCGTTTCCAACACTGAGGACTACAATTGAACATAAGATTCAGGCGGGTCAGAGATCCAAACCATATCACCCACATAAGAATCAACAAGGCTTCATGGACATGGGGGTCTATACCCAATTATTTGGCACTAATGTCACTAAAGTCCTACAGGAATGAAGAAAGAGGGTGGGGCTGAAACATTAAGGGAAGAAAATGCAATGGCTGGAACTTTCATACATTAGGCAAAATAGATAAAGCCCTAGCTTCAAGAAAGTGAATAAACCTTTTTTTCAAAAGTCCAAATAAATACATGCAAAGACTCATCATAGTCAATCTTCTGAAAACTGAAAAAAAAATCTTGAAAGTAGTCTTAGAGAAAGCAAACCTTATGTATAGGTATTAACCTATTTGAACTACAGCAGATTTCTCATTGGAAACTATGAAGGTTGAACAAAGTGACAAAACAATTTCCAACAATTTTCAAGAGTGGAAATAATTCTTTCAATCCAGATTTCTATATCCAGTGAAAATCACCTTCAGTTATGAAGGTAAAATAAAATTTATTTCGTGTAAAGGAAAACCTAGATAATCTGTTGTTAGTAGATCTACCTTTAAACAATGTCAAAAATACGTTTTCTAAACAGAAAACATTAAGGAAGGGAACTTGGAACATCAGGAAGTAAGAAAAAACAAAGTAAGCAAAATCTATGGGTAAATGCTACATACAGATTTTCCTTTTACTCTTAAGTTTTAAAAAATTGTTTGAATGTAGAAGTGATAATTATTACATTCTGTGATGTGGTTCTAAATGAATTTAAAGGAAATATATAAGGCAATTATATGATAAATAAAGGAGGCTAGAAGAGATGTAATAGTAAGATTTTTACACCTTACTTGAGTGGTTAAAATGACAATTTCAGTAGACTGTGATAAGATGTATATATAATATAATATTTAGAAACCACAAAAAACTTACAATTACATAAACTAAAAATAATGTAGATAAATCCATACTAATACTCACAAATATTCATGTAACCAAGAGGAAAACAGTAAAAGAAAAAGAGAGAAATTAAAACAGAAAAATCAAACAGAAAACAAATACTCAAATGCCAGATTTAAACCCTAATATATCAACAATTACATTAAGTGTAAATGGACTAACTATACTAATTTTTAAAACCAGAGATGTGTAGGGTGAATTAAAGAGACTAATTCGACTATCTGCTATCTACAAAAACTCATTTCAAACATAATGATGTGGGCAGGTTGAAAATAAAAAGACATATTGTAAAATGTTAATCAAAATAAATCAAATTGCTATACTAATATCAGATAAAACAAATTTCAGAGCAAAGAGAATTATCATATGAAAAGACATACTTTATATAATAAAGGGTTCAATCTACCCTGAAGACACAGCAATCCTAGATATGCATGCACCAAAGAACGGAGGTATAATATATGTGAAGTTCAAAGCTTAAAGAACTGAAATGATAAATAGACAAACCCACAATTATAATTGGAGACATCAACATCCCTCATTTAACATTTGGTAGAAGAACTAGAGAGAAAATTCACATGTATCTGAAAGAACTAAACAATACCATTAACCAACAGGATCTTATAGAAATTTATAAAACACCCCACCCAATAAAAGCAGAGTATACATTCAAGAAAAAACAATTCAAATATCAAAGGTATCACCTCAAGAATCTGGTAATATAAGAGAAAAATAAGCACAAAACAAGCAGAAGGATGAGCAGAAAAAAACAAACAAATCCAGAAAATAATATAGGAAATGTATTAACTAACATCTATAAAATTGTCAGACCTCTAACCAGAGTGATAAAGAGGGAAGAGAAAACACAAATTTCCTATATCAGCAGTGAAACATGGAATATTGCTAAAGATCATGCATATAGTAAAATAATAAAGGGATACTATATATAAATCTGTACAAATAAATTGGCCAATTTAGATGAATTGGACCAACTCTTTGAATAATATAAAACATCACAACTTATCCAATATAAAATAGGTCATTTAAATAAATTTATAATTACCAAAGACATTGATTTTATAGACTAAAAATTCCTAGAGCTGAAACCTTTCATCCTAGATCATTCCACTGAATGAGCAAAACTTAAAGAAAGAATTATCACCAATTCTATACAATACTTTCTAGAAAATAGAAGAGCTGGTTATATACCATGACCAAGTAAAATTTGCAAAGTTAGTTTGATACAGTCATGCATCTCTTAACAATGGTTACATGTTCTGAGAAATGCACTGTTAGGCAGTTTCATCTCTGTGCAAACCTAGATGGTACAGCCTCCTACATACCTAGGCTAAGTGGTATAGCATATTGCTCCTAGACTACAAACTTGTACAGCATGTTACTTTATTGAATAGTACAAGGAAATATTAACACAATGATAATTATTTGTGTGATAGGAACTTTTTAGCTCCATTCTAATCTTACAGAACCACCATCTTCTACATAGTCCATCCTTGACCAAAACACCATTATAAAGTGCATAACTGTATTTGAAAATCAGTCCATGTAATCTAACATATTAACAGGCAAAAGAAGAAAAACCACATTTGTCAATCAATTCATAGCATGGAAAAAGCATCTGATAAAATTCATCAAAAATTTGTGACAAAAAGTCCTAGAAAATAAGAATGGGAGAACTTCCTCAACTTTATGTTGCTGATTTTCATATAATTAAATTTAATTTATGTGAAGAAATTTGTTGAATAATTTTTTCCCTTTGTAACCATTCCCATTTTCACATGATGATTGCTAAGAAGTCATAATAAATGGTAAATTAAATTACATCATTATAATTGAATAATTTCAAAGGCAATATTATTAGAAAGTCTCTCAATACTTACATCAAAAATAGTACTACAGTTGTTACAAAGTGGAATAGAGACTGTAAGATAAGTGGTTTAGAGCAATGAATGTATTAATGAACTCTGAGAATTAAAATAAATTTTACTAAATTTGGCTTCGGTCTATTAAAAAACTATTAAAAGTATTACAATATTGCTACTTTTAATTAAACTGATTTTTCCATGAATAGTTATTTTTCTTGTAATTTGATTAAACTGTTAAGCTAGAATAAGAAAGCAATGAAAGAATAAAGTAATATTAAAATATTCAGTATGGGTAAATAACTTTGCATTCTTTGGTAACAGTATTTTTCAGGAAAACAAGAAACAATTATAATAGAATGTAGTTTTTAAACATTAAAATATAAGACATAAAAGGAAGTAGTACTTTGTATATATTTTAGGGAGGTGACATGATAGCAAGTTAAGACTTGTGGAATAATATAGATCAGAATTAAGATGACATAAAACGCCAATTATAAAATTTTCAGCCTCATATTGGGATGTCAAATCATTAAAATAAGATGTAAAGCAGTGGTGTTCTAACTATGATATAAAAGAAGACAAAATAATCATTAGTTTCAGAAGATATCTCTCACAACCACATACATATAGAAACACCCTACTTATACAATAAAGAAAATCAACTAGAAATGTATTAGAATTCAAATTTTTGTTGGTTTCCTTAGGATGTGTCAATGAAAAACAAATATTTCAAAAATATTAAGAGATTTACTGCATACCATTCATACAATTTAAAATAAAATTCAAATTTAAGAATCTTGGTTCACAGTGGAATAAATATACTATGCACATAAATTTTTAAAACACTATAAATTTTTTCATAGACAAAAATCTATGCATTCACCAAGAAACAAACTAGATATGAATAAATAGAAAACAACAATGTTCTTGAAGAGAATTTAATAAATTGAAGACACCAAGTAGCTCTGAAATTATGTTTAGATTTAATCAAAATTTAAATATTATGTAACTTTTGAAATTTTAGAGTTATTTCATAGTTCATCTAGATTTATAACTGTTGAAAATATCTAAGAGATTGTGTACAAAAATAATATGGGGCTGCTTTCAATATAAATATAAAAGCAACTTATATCAATTGAAATAATATAGTACTAGCAAATGAATAGGCAGACAATTCAGAAGAATCAGTCAAGAACAGTAAGATTAGAATGCAGAACCCCCTACCTCCAATGGAGTGCCTTAACTGAGGTCAGAGAGGTCAGGAGGCAATCATTAGGGGTTTTTGAAACACTAAAGGGTTTTAGCAGAAAACATCATGTTGAAACATTTGTTTCTCAAGATCACTTTGGCATAGTAGACTTCTCTCTCCATACTGAAAGCTTCTCTTCCTTGATATCTGTGATACCTCATTCTTTTAATTTTCTTCTTACTTGTTTCTTTGTCTAATCTCTAGCTTGTTTGTCCTTTTCTAATCAATCCTTAAATATTAGTTGTATGTACCCTTATATTTTTAACTTATACTCCCTTCAAAGCCATATTGTTCATCCACATCCACATAGCTTTGTTGCCCTTGATATACTGATCAATGAAATAAACATAACAAACATGCATCAGCTTAATTGTGACCTGATTGTCACAATTTATAATAAAATAATTATTGGTTCCGTTTCTTGATTAATGGTTGATCCTCTGCCCTCTCATTAAATTATAATGTCCTTGAAATCAGGCATGTGCTTATTTTAGCTCACCTATAAATATTTGGACCTATCACAGGGCCCAAGAAATGATAGAAAGCAAAAAAAAATCTTAACATAAAACAAAAAGGAAGGAAGAATTTAAGTATAAATGGTCAAATGCAAACTGGAATTTAGCATAGAGCTACTGAATACTAACACACAGACAGCAGATTGCAACTGAAGCTATGACAGTGTTTGCAATTATTCTGCAAAATTTAGAGTTAGAAAAGGAGTTGGCAAACCACAACCCGTTGGCCTAATCTAGCTCCCCACCTGGTTTTGTAAACAGAATTTACTGGAACACAATCACACCCATTTATTTACATATCATCTATGACCTCTTTCACACTACAATGGCAGAGTCTTGTAGTCATAACAGAGACCTAATGACTAGCAAAGGCTAAAATATTTACCATTTGGCTGTGTATGGAGAAAGTTTGCCAGGCCCTGAGTTATATCAGTAGGCTTCAGTAAACACCTAGGAGGAACATTAATCTTTTTCTGAATCAGAAGCAGGTATTACAAAGGAAGACTAAAGGAGACAAAGAATGGAGGGAAACCAATACAGTATTAAAGAAGTACCAATACAGACTTAAAGAAAACCTATGGAAACCAGAGGAAAATATTATTTTAATAAACACAGTGATTATCAGCCTCATCTGCTGTATGAAAAGCCCTCACAGTATAAGTAGTATTCAGTGAATTTAGGACATCCTAATGCATGCTACCATAAAGATAGCATTTGTAATGGGATGGTGATTAAAGTAGTCATCAATTGGCTCTATGGTTTCACTAGAGTAGACATTAATTACAAAACATGTGCATTTCAAATGAATGGAGAAAGATTACATAAAAATATCTGTGGTGGAGCTTAAAATTTTATATTTTGTAGTAAATATCATATGTGTATTATACACATACTTATGTGTAGATGGGTTCACTGTAACATTGAATTTGGAATGTTCAATTCATTAGCTAAAATAAGACTTATTTGAGAACTGTTTTACAGATTAGCACCTTCTTTGTATTTAAAAGGCAATATAATGTATTGGTTTAAGTATTGTATTCAAATCCTAGTGAGAGAGAAAAGTTAGGTAGTTAGCGTGGTCCTTGGTAAAATTACTTTTAACAGAGAAACAACCTGAAAAATCAGGCTGCAGGTTCAGATAAGGAAACTTGCACAAACTTCTGGCCCACTCAAATAAAGAAACAAGGCCCAACATAGAAACGCCTTTGTTCTTTGTGCCTAAAGACATGCCCACAACTACAGTGATAAGGGAAGAAGACCCAACCATATATATATAAAACCAGCGGGCTTCCAGTAAATAGTCTCTTCTCCTTTTGTAGGCATGCACAGGGTGGGCTCTGGTGGGTTCCGGTGGACACTTTCCTTTCCTTTTCTGGACAGGCTTTGGACTGTGAGTCGAGCCACTGTGAATCATCACTCCAGCTCCTGATTGGTCCCAGGCCGAGGTCCCAGGCCAAGCTGAGTAGCACTTTGTCCAAGACCAGTCAGTGCATTCCTTATCTTCCCAGTCCGTAAAAATCCCTGCCCCCATAGTCACACACCAGCCTGCCCACTCCCTCCACACGCTGCAACATCTTTTGGGCCCATGGCAACCCCTACATCACTTTGCTGGTGCATGTGTGTATGGGAAGGTTTTGCCTTCCTTGACCCACCAGAATACATGTGTGCATGCACCCTCCTCTGCCACTGCTACGAAGTGTGCTCCACCTTCGCCCTTCCCCACCAGACCGCCATTGCAGTCAGAGCCTAGGTGGAAACAGAGTCAGCCAGGCCTACTCCCACCATGGCTTGGCCTTGCACCAACACTGCCCACAGGAGTGAAACTAGGCGCAGAGAACCGTGGATCCTCCCCCACCCAGAGCAACCAACTCTGCCTGTAGCTCACAGCACACACAGACCTATGCCTGCCAGAATCCTGCCCCTGTGCTAACACCATCACCCATATGACCACATGCACAGTCACCAGCAGAGGCCCCTCACCCCTACACCTAGCCACACTGCCTCTACCACTGCGGTGAATGCCTGCACAGAGGCAGGCACCTTGGCACCCATTAGAGGCTGGTGAACATATACCCTGCTGCAGTGCCCCTGCTGCTGCTGGCACATGTGAGCAGATGGATCCTGTTGCCACCGCATTATGAAACACGTTTGCTGACATCACCAATTCAAGTGTAATGACTAGTAGTCCAGGAGCACCTCGGCTGCCCCAGCACAGTGGATTCCTAACCAGGAGGACCCAGGGAACAAAGTTAGGGCACAATACAAGTCCCTGAGAGTTATAGCATGCAGTCCAGGAGTTGGGACCTAAGCACTGGCCCACCAAAATCTTTCAGAAATGAAGCCAGTTGGCTGAATCCACCTTATACCACAATCAAATACTCAAGGTCATAAAATAGGGTGAAAGAAAAAAAATCGAAAGGTCAGCAACTTCAAAGATTAAGAACCATCAGTCCACAAAGATGAAAAAGAACCAACACAAGAACTCTGACAACTTAAAAAAGCCAGAGTGCCTTATTTCCTCCATTCAACCACACCACCTCTCTAGCAAGGGTCCTAAACCAGGCTGAAATGGCTGAAATGACAGAAATGAATTCAGAATACGATAAGAATGAAGATCATTGAGATGCAGCAGTACCTTGAAACTCAATTTAAGAAAGCTAAGAATCACACAAAACAATACAGGAGCTGACAGACAATAGAATAGAAAAGACTGGAACTTACCTGATAGAGCTGAAAACACACTACAAGAATTTCATAATGCAATCACAAGTATTAATAGAACAGACCAAGCTGAGAAAATAATCTCAGAGCCTGAAGACCAGCTTTCTGAAATAAGTCAGTCACATAAGAATAGAGACAAAAGAATGAAAAGGAATGAACAAAACTTCCAAGAAACACAGATTTATATAAAGAGATAGAAACTATGACTCATTAGTGTTCTTGAAAGATGGGGAGAGTGCAAGCAGCTTGGAAAACATATTTCAGGCTATCATTCATGAGAACTTCCCTAACCTAGCTAGAGACACCAACATTTAAATTCAGGAAATTCAGAGAACCCCAGTAAGATAGATCAAGAAGATCATTCCCAAGACATAATAATCAGATTATTCAATGTCAAAATGCAAAAAACAAACAAACAAACAAAAAATTAAAGGCAGCTAGAGAGAAAGTTCAGGTTACCTACAAAGGGAAGCCCATTAGACTAACAGCAGACCTCTCAGCTGAAACCCTACAAGCCAGAAGAGATTTGGAGGCCACTACTTAACATTCTTAAGGAAAAGAAATTTCAACCCAGAATTGCATATCTAACCAAACTAAACTTCCAAAGCAAAGGAGAAATAAGATCCTTTTCACATAAGCAAATGCTGAAAGAATTCATTATCACCAGACCTGTCTTACAACAGCTTCTGAAGGTAGCACTAAATATGGACAAGAAAGACCATTACCAGCCACTACAAAAACATACTGAAGTACATAGAACCATGATATTATAAAGCACCCACACAAATAAGTTTGTGTAATAAACAGCTAACATCAAATCCACACATATCCATACTAACATTGAATGTGTATGGGCTAAATGCCCCAATTAAAAGGTACAGAGTGGAAAGCCAGATAAAGAATCAAAACCCATTGGTATGCTGTCTTCAAGAGACACATTTCACATACATGACACCCATAGACTCAAAATGAAAGGATAGAGAAAAATCTATCAAACAAACAAACAACAACAACAACAATTAAAAAAAACAGAAAAAAGGAGGTGTTGCAATCCTAATTTCAGACACAACAAACTAAACTAACACAGATGAAAAAAGACAATAACAGGCATTACATAATGATAAAGGGTTCAATTCAACACAAAGACTACCTATCCTAAATATATATGCACCCAATACAGGAGCACCCAGATTCATAAAGAAGGTTCTTAGAGACTTTCAAAAAGACTTAGACTCCCACACAATAGTAGTAGGAGACTTCAACATCCCACTAACAGTATTAGACAGATCATGGAGGGAGAAAATTAACAAAGACATTCAGGACCTGACCTCAGCACAGGATCAAATGGAACTGATAGATATCTACAAAACTCTCTACTCAAAGCAGCAGAATATATATCCGTATTGCCAAATGGCATATACTCTAAAATTGGCCATATAATCAGAAACCAAACACTCCTCAACAAATGCATAATAATGAAATTTTAACGACCACTGTCTTGGACAACAATGCAACCAAATTAGAAATCAAGAATAAGAAATTTGCTCAAAACCATACAATTACATGAAAATTGAATAACCTGCTTCTGAATGACTTTCAAGTAAATAATAAAATTAAGGCAGAAATCAAGAAGTTCTTTCAAACTAATGAGAAAAAAATACAACACACCAGAATCTCTGGAACACAGCGAAGGCAATGTTAAGAGGTAAATTTATAGTGCTAAGTGCCCAAATGAAAAAGTTAGCAAGATCTCAAGTTAATAACCTAACATCGCAACTAAAAGATCTAGAGAACCAATAGCAAACAAATCCCAAAGCTAGCAGAAAACAAGAAATAGCCAAAATTAGAGCTGAACTGAAGGAGAATGAGATGCAAAAATAGCATGTGAAAGATCAATAAATTCAGGAGTTTCTTTTGAAATAAATAAAATAAAAGACTACTAGCTAGACTAATACAGAAGAAAAGAGAGAATTTCCAACTAAACACAATTTAGGAATGACAAACGAGATATTACCACTGACCCCACAGAAACACAAATAACCATCAGAGAATATTATGAACATCACTATGCAGATAAACTAGAAAATCTAGAAGAAGTGTAGAAATTCCTGGACACATAAACCCTCCCAAGATTGTGCCAGAAAAAAATTGAAATACTAAACAGATCAATAGGGATATCTGAAATTGAGTCAGTAATAAATAGCCTACCAACAAAAAAAAGCCCAGGACCAGACAGATCCACAGCTGAATTCTACAAGGAAGATCTGGTACCATTTCTACTGAAACTATTCTGAAGTATTGAGAAGGGACTCCTCCCTAACTCTACCTATGAGGCCATCATTATCCTGACAATAAAACCTAGCGAGACACAATAAGAAAAAAAAGGAAATTTCAGGAAAATATTCTTTATGAACATTGGTGCAAAAATCCTCAACAAAATACTGCAAACTGAATTCAACAGCACACCAAAAGGTTTACGACCAAGTAGGCTTTATCCCTGGGATGCAAGGTTGGTTCAATATACACAAATCAATAAATGTGAGACAACACATAAACAGAACTAGAGACAAAGAACACTTGATTATCTCAATAGATGTAAAAAAGGCTTTCAATAAATTCAACACTACTTTATGTTAAAAACTCTCAATAATCTAGATATTGAAGGAAAATACCTCAAAATAATAAGAGCCATCTATGACAAAACCACAGTCAACATTGTACTGAATGAAGAAATGCTGGAAGCATTCACCTCAAAAACCAGCACAAGACAAGGATGCCTTTTTTTATGACTCCTATTCAACGTAATATTGAAAGAATTGGCCAGAGCAAACAAATAAAGGTCATCTAAATAGGAAGACAGGAAATCAAACTATCCCTGTTTGAAGATGACATGATCCTATACCTAAAATCCCCAGTCTCAGCCCCAAAGCTCCTTTCACTGATAAACAACTTCAGTAAAGTTTCATAATACAAATTCAATGTACAAAAGTCACTAGCATTCCGATACACTGACAACAGCCAACCCACAAGCCAAATCAGGAACTTAATCCTATTCACAATTGCCACAGAAAGAATAAAATACCTAGGAATATAGGAATATAAAATACCTAGGAATATACCTAGGAATACAGGTACAAAAATCTATATAAGGAGAACTACAAAACACTGCTCAAAGAAATCAGAGATGACATAAAAAACTGGAAAAATATTCCATGCTTGTGGATAAGAAGATTCATTATCATTAAAATGGCCATACTGCCCAAAGCAATTTACAGATTCAGTGGTATTCCTATCAAACTATCAATGACATTCTTCACAAAACTAGAAAAAAAAATTGAAAAATTCACATAGAATCAAAAAGAAAAAGCCCAAAAAGCCAAGCCAATTCTAAGAAAGAAGAACATAGCTGGAGGCATTGTGCTACCTGACTTCAAACTATACTCCATAGAGAGGCCAGAAATAAGGTCACATACCTACAACTGTCTGATCTTCAACAAAGCTGACAAAAATGAGCAATGGGGAAAGGACTACCTATTTAATAATGGTGCTGGGAATTGGCTAGCCATATGCATAAGATTGGAACTGTACCTGTTCCTTATACTATATACAAAAATTAACTCACGATGGATGAAAGGCTTAAATCTAAAACTCTAAACTATACAAACCCTGAAAGACAACTTGGCAATCCCATTCAGAACATAGGCACAGGCAAAGATTTCATAACTGTATTTGTCAGGGTTCTCTAGAGGGACAGAACTAATAGGAGATATATATGTATGTGTGTGTGTGTGTGTGTGTCCTAATATATATATATATATATATATATATATATATATATATATATATATAAATGGGAGTTTATTAAGTATTAACTTACATGATCACAAGGTCCCACAGTAGGCTGTCTACAAGGTGAGGAGCAAAGGGAGCCAATCACAGTCCCAAAACTGAAGAACCTGGAGTCCAATGTTCAAGGACAGGAAGCATCCAGCACGGGACAAAGTTGTAGGCTGGGAGGCAAGGCCAGTCTCTCCTTTTCATGTTTTTCTGCCTGCTTTATATTCGATGGCAACTGATTAGATTGTGCCCACCAGATTAAGGGTAGATCTGCCTTCCCAAGCCCAATGACTCAAATGTTAATCTCTTTTGGCAACACCCTCACGGACACACTCAGGATCAAATATTTTGTATCCTTCAATCCAATCAAGTAGACATTCAGTATTAATTACCGCAATGACAAAGTCATCAAAAGCAATTGCAACAAAAGCAAAAGTTGACAAATGGTATCTAATTAAACTAAAGAGCTTCTGCACAGAAAAAGAAAGTATCAGCCAAGTAAACAGACAACCTACAGAATGGGAGAAATGTTTTGCAAACTATGTATCTGATAAAGGTCTAATATCCAACATCTATAAGGAACTTAAGTTCATGAGAAAAAAACAAACAGCCCCTTTAAAAAGTGGGCAAATGACATAAATAGACACTTTCCAAAAGAAGACACACATGCAGCCAACAAGCATATGAAAAAAAGCTCAATATCACTAATTGTTAGGGAATGCAAATCAAAACCATGATGAGATACTATGTCACACCAGTCAGAATGGCTATGATTAGAAAATAACAGGTGTTGGCAAGGTTGTGGAGAAAAAGGAACACATCCACTGTTGGTAGGAGTGTAAATTAGTTCAATCTTTGTGGAAAACAGCACGGCGATACCTCAAAGACCTAAAAACAGAACTACCATTTGACCTAGCTGTCTTGTTACTGGGTACATATGCAAAGGAATAGAAATCATTCTATCATAAAGACACGTGCATACATATATTCACTGCAGCACTGTTTACAATAGCAAAGAAATGGAATCAACATAGGTGCCCATCATTGGTAGACTGGATAAACAAAATGTGGTACAAACATATCATGAAATACTATGCAGCAATAAAAAAGAAGGAGATCATGCCCTTTGTAGAAATATGGATGAAGCTGGAAGTCATTATCTTTAGCAAACTAATGAAGGTACAGTAAACCAAATATCACATGTTCTCACTTATAACTGGGAGTTAAAAGATGAGAACACATGGACACATAGAGGAAAACAAGAGACACTGAGGCCTACTGGAGGGTGCAGTGTGGGAAGAGGGAAGGAGAGATCAGGAAAAATAACTAATAGATAGCAGGCTTAATACCTAGGAGACAAAATAATCTGTACAACAAACCCGTGCGACATGGGTTTCCTTATATAACAAACCTGTACCTGTATCCCTGAGCTCAAAATAGAAATTTAAGATAAAATAAAATAGAAAACAGTTGAAGGAAACAAAATGTTTTATCCATTCTGTGGCATGCAAAATGCAAAAAGAAAAATTCTAAGTTAAATGAACTTTCTACATAGTATACATCAATATATTTTGTTGCTTCCCCATCTAATATGCAGTCTACAACTCAATTTTCTCCCACGTGTCACAATTATTCAACCAACTAGCTTTATTGGGAATAATTTAATCTACTCACTATGCTAGTATTATTGAGAGTGTGTATAAAGTCTACTTCATTGTATGTGTGACAGAAAGAGCAAGAGAGAACAAGTGATATTGAGGCAGAAACCACACACCAGAGAGAAATAGAGAGAGGCATTTGTGTTTATAGATGTGTGTGTTTATGTCTTTGTTATTGATCTACCCTGCTCTTACTACCAAAGGATATATATAACTATGCTCTAAAACACACTTTGGGTTCACTGACCTATTCTGAAGTATACTTTAAATTTATAAATTCTTGCTATAAAAAAGCTACGAAAGTTAAATGTTTGTAATATTAATGAAGATAAAGCATTATATTTGGGGAGTTCTCATTATTTTCTAATTTATCCTTTAAGGGCTGTCCTAATTGCAGTGTAATAACAGTAATTTATTGAAAAGTTCTGATTTTTTTTTGACTCATGGCAAAACAAACAAAAAGATGCATATGCTAATGAAATAATTGAAATGGAAAATCTTATCGGAATGATCAGCATTTGAAATGTACTTTATTTTCCTTTTAGAGATTAGTATCAGAAATTATTTTTAATGTCTCTTGGTCCTCTTAACTATTATTTAATAAATAGATAATATAATATATTGAGTCATCGTTTTCAATAATTTTCTAAAAACATCATCAAACAATGCATTTTTTAGATGTATTTTTTTAGATGTTAGATTGGGACATTCAGTTATCTTAAATAAAAAGGTATGAGATCAGTTTGTATCATCTGGCTCTCCGGAGTTTAGAGAGCCATGCACAAGCGTAAGGATTTTCACTATTTACTTAGACCTTAATAAATAAATACTTAATAAAAAGTGAGTTTCAACAACTGATTTTTTCAAGCATTTATTCTTAATATTCAGAATAGTTGGTTATCTACACTAATTAACACATCACAAACGACTAAGGAACATTTCTAAATGTCTTACATTTTTATAGCATTTTTTTTCAGATATGCAAACAATCTTGCCTAAAATTCTGATTTGTATGTTCCAAAAAGAAATAGGCGTAAAATATTGTTTGCTTGATTACATGTCGATTTCTGTCAGTTTTGTAAGTCGTATCTCCATTAAATACTCCTCATAGAGAATAACTGATTATCTTTCAGTTATACTTAAAAAAAATGTTCTAGAAACAGGTATGGGTGAATCTTGAAAAATAATTTAATCATTTTGATTAGTGAATTGTCTTGTCCATTCCCTCTCTTTGCTATGATGGTCAACCAGGATGTGCCCTGTTGGGCTAAAAAAAATGAACAGCAGGGCAATAACTCACTCTGATCACACCAGGTACCCAGAGGAATGAATCACTAGAGGACATCACTTTGTAAGTAGGTACTTATGACCAGACCTCCCTGTAAAGTTAATAGTGTTAATTAGAAGTGTACCAGGAAATCTCTAACTATAAAATAGTTTTAGCCAGATGTACGCAGTCTTTCTAGATTGCTTAGCGCATTTCAAAGAGGAATGTATGCATTTATGGAACATGGCTGGCTGGAAAATGTGTGGGGGAGTGTTACATAACCATTTTCCTACCTATGTAATTAGGAGATTATAAAAGAGCTACGAAACAAAAATGGCTTTGCTTATGAACAGTACTTTTACATGTATTGCTTGAAACTTCTCCTTTAACCTGAAACCAAAACATTGACTAATGAGGCAGAAGAAAAGAGAATCTTGGAAGGTACATCTGACAGTTTGAAGCTTCTTCAGGAATGGATTGTTTAGTTTGTTTCTGGTGATGGTAAAAGCAGCCTATCTGGAGCAGCTGCTGTGAAGACGCTGGCGGCAGCAGAGGAGGCATGGCTGGGGCTGAGCGCTCCATGGAACTAGCAGGAGCTGGGAACAGGCAGGAACCCTACCCGCTGCTGAGTTGGCGCAGCTGTGGACTTGGGCATCCCTGCACTTATGGGGGCCCAGGAAGTCCCCCTGCCCCTGCAGGCTTGGGAATGCCTGCTTTTGCTACCTGGCCTCTCCTGGGCTCTCCTGGCCTTTTCTGGCCCCCGGCACCTGCTCCAATTTCAGAGCAAAGTTGAAACCGAGCCTGGGCACTGTTGTGAACCGGCTGGGTGTGCATGCACTTGGGGCAGCACTGACACGCCAGCCCCCTGCTGCCTCAGCGCCCTCTGGACTTTGGGTGTCTATGAGCACGAGAGGGAGGCTGATGGGAGCTGCTGAGGGCAGCTGGTTACGGGCCTGCAGGAGCCCCTCAGCACGAACAGCCTGGATGCCATAGATTATATGTAGATGGTGGCAGGGGGCAGACAGGCTCCTGGGTGGAAAAGGGTTAGTTCCTGGTGATGCCCCACCTTCCAGCCAGGGATGGGCCGAAGCATGAGGGCTGGGTTGTCAGTTCCAGGTAGAGTCTCGTGGCCTAGAATGAGAACTTATGCTTTATCCTGGCCCTGCCATGGCTGTCCATGGATGAATCAGCAGGTACTTCCTCTCTTCTAAACCCCAGAAAAACCCCAGACTCAGACAGACTCACAGAGATGTTGGGATGACCTTCCTGTGGATAGGAGCTACTCACTCCAGGTGTCCTCTCCACTGAAGGCTGCAGACTCAATGGGACAACCTGCCTGCAGATAAGAGCTGCCCACTCTGTGTCTCCTCTCTGCTGAGGGCTGTACAGATGTCAGGAAGTCTTGCCTCTGGGTAGAAGCTACCCACTCCAGGTCTCCTCTCTGCCGAGCGCTGAACTCCTTGGGACGACCTGTCTGTGGAAAGGAGCTACCCACTTCAGGTCCCCTGAGAACTGTACTGTCACTCATAAAGCACCTTTTCACCTTGCTCACCCTCCAGTTGTCTGTGTCACCTCATTCTTCCTGGACATAGAACAAGATCCTGGGACTTGCAGAATGGCAAGGTTGGAAGAGCTGTAACGCAAACGGCTGAAACATGCCCCCTCTTCCCTGCTCTCCATGTTGCAGGTGGCAAGGAAAGAAGAGTCATGTGGCCTTTCCAGGATCCCAGACCTAGGGGCTCCCTGACCCAGGGCTGTGACATCTTCTGTGGGGCTCCGTGATTTCTGACATCTCCAAGCTTCTGGGTGCCACTGTGTTCCCCTCATCCAGACATGGGTGCCCACAGCAGGAGCTACTTGTGGTGCATCTGATCCAGCCACAGGCTTGCATGGAGCCAGCACCTGTGCTGGTGCCTGGAGCTTCCTGCCCCACCACAGCAGCCAGTGTGCCTGGGTGTGCACAATGGCTGGACCCCACACTCGCTTGCTCACACAACCGTCACCACTCCATGCCCTGCTCGCCCTCAGGAGGCTTGGGATCTGGGCTGGTAGCACAAGTCACGTGCAGCTTGCCGGGTTGAGCGGGTGGAATGAGCCCAGTGGGCCCAAGCAAAACTTGGGCAAAGGTGCCACTGGCCACAGAGGCTTCTGGCTAAAAAGTGATACCCTAAGGATACTGTGACACTGGTGCCTACCTTCACTGTTTAAATCATTATTAAAGTTTGGAGCTGAAAGCGATCTGTCACTGGTGTCTGCTTTGACATTTAAAGATTTGTGGTAGAAAGATTAGTGGCAGCTGTGGGATTACCTTTTAGACCCATAAATTGTAATGTCTAAGGCATTATTTGGCAAGAAAAGGAATGAGTTTGGAAATAATGTGAATTTCATGTTGGGATGGTTCGCTAAGCATCCTTGGTGTTAATGGAACTTATTGTTTGCTATACACTGGGAATGCAGTGGTGGAAAAGATGGACATAATTTTCTTATTAGTTTCATCTTCATAGTCATTATAACAATTTCCATAACTTAGTGATGAAAAACAACACAGATTTATTGTTTTACAATTCTGAAGGTAAGAAGTCTGAAATAGGTCTTACTGGGTTAAAGTCAAGGTGTCAGCAGAGGGCAAGATTATGTTCATTTCTGAAGGCTGTAGCAGCAATCACATTTTTTTTTTTTTTTTTTTTTTGCCTTTTCTGCTTTCTAGAGGCTACCCACGTTCCTTGGTTCATGCCCCTCTTTAATCTTGAAAGTCTGGGATGGCTAGTTGAGTCTTTCTCACATTTAATCACTCTGACACTGACTCCTCCTTGACCTCTTCAATTTACATTTAAGGACCCTAGCTGGGTAGCATGCTCCTGTAATCCCAGGAGTTCAAAGCTGCAGTGAGCTATGATTGCATTACTGTGCTCTAGCCTGTGTGACACCGTGAGACTCTATCTAAAAAATAAAGAAAAGTATGTTTGTGATTACATTGGGGCCACCCATATGGTATAGAATAATTTTCCTATTTTAAGGTCAATTAGATTAGAATTAGAATTGTGTGATTAGTGATTAGAAACTTTAACTGCATCTGCAACTTCAATTCCCATTTGTAATGTAACATAATATATTCACATATGAATTAGAAGATTTTTCTTGGTTATTCATAAAGCCTGAAGATACCCAGATTTTATATTAATCTTTTTGACTCTGATGGCCTTGCTCTATTTATTTTTCATTTAAAAGCTGCAGAAATGTTTGTGTTGTTCTAAACAATATATTATAATAATCTTAATTTCAGTGATAGCCCATAGATTATCATTTGGATGTCTTGAACTTTGTGTCTTACCAGCAACACCATAGTACAAAGTAATGTCTGTATAGCACAGGCAATGTAAGTCAGGATGGCATTATTTGCTTTTATTTTACAAAAGGGAAAATAATAAAGGCATGAAAAACTATTTGGTTATTCCACCAGGCATGGCTAGGAGCACTGGAACTAAAAAACATAGTTTTCTGCTTTTAAAACCTTTGCATTCTAATCTATCTTCAGATGTTTTACGGTATATTTTTTAAATATAAGTTTCCATTTATCTGTACGGGGTCACTAAAAGATGGCTAATCTATAGCTACTAAGGACATCCATAGGTACTTTCACATTTTTTCTCAAAGGATGTCTCATTCAAGTAAAATTTCCAGACCTACCCATATAGAACTAGTCTTTCTCTAAAGCACCATGTTTTATCTTATATGAGTATATCTGATTCATGTTGATTTTATTTCCAAGGTTTAACTTTTCTTATAACTTTATAAATCATGTACAGTTCTATATACCCACCATAACCAATTATTTACAATAACAATAATACTAAAGAACTTGAGTATTTATAAGTTTTAATAATAACTTCTAAATTCTTACCTTTCTTGTTTAAGTGGCATAGCCTTGCTCAATTTGACAAATCAGTAGAGTTGAGAAGACTTATTTTTATTTTTATTTAGCTTAAAATTCAGAAAGTCAAGACAAACTTAACTAATTTTTGCTATTGTCACCTACTTTTTTCTGAAAAAAGAAGTTGCCATATTCTGTGCCTTTCACCAAAAAGACCAGGAATACACACATTTAAAGCTAAAAAAAAAAAAAAAGAAAAAAAAAGAATAATATAAGCAATTATGCTTCCTGTACCATGCTTGTGTCTTTTCTATAACTCATGTCTTTGGTGATTATTTAGGATAGTAATGAAATTGGGATACTACAGTTTAACTTAACATCATGTAAGGCACTGACTAAAATATTGATAATGCAAAACCTAAATAATTTTCAACAAAACAGTAGTCGTTTACTACCCAAAAGGGAATAATTTGTGTGCTAAATTGTTTTTGAGATTCTTGAAACTAGGCATACCTTAAAGCTCATTTCTAATTGTCACTAATATTGATTTAATCAGAACTTTGCTTTCATACTAAATATTATTTCTTGAATGAAAGATTGCACATAAAACTATTCAGGTGGATTGTGCTTTAAAATCACGACCAGTAAGTATGATCACAATGTAGCTTCATATTGCTGGATAAATATGAAGCTACCATCCGTGGATTTTGGTGACCATGGGGGTTCTGGAACAAATTCCCCATGAAAACCAAGGGACAACTGTATTTATCCAAACATATAAACACCTCTTCATTGGCAAGCAGACCAAAACAGTCAGAAGGCATGATGATGAAGTGGTTCCTAGCTCAGCTTCAGAGGCAGATCCTCTTGGTTCAAATCCAAGGTGGATACCTTGCTAGCCCTCCAGGCCACATTTCTAAAACTCCATGTGCCTAAATTTCCTTATTGGAAAACCTGCGTAAGAACAGTCTAAGGGAATAAAATAAGTTTTGACATATAATGTGCTTAACAAAATCTGACATAAGTGCTCAATTAAAGAAAGTTACATTTACTATGTCCAAGTTCAAGATAAAGTCTTCTGAAATCTGGTATTTGTCATTTTGGTATATAAATTATCAATAAAACAAAAATTTTAATTAAATATCCACATTGATCTCAGTACTTTATTAGGCACAACCAGCCCTTAAGAAGCTCATAAGTTAGCACATGCCATGAGTCAAGGTTGGCAATATTAACTTGCCAAGATCAGCTAGAATGGTTTCAGTTCAACCATAAGGAAACTCTGCAGGCTGTAGCACAAATCATCTAGGCAGGACATGTGTGCAGGTTCAGTGCCAGCAATACCCACTTACTTTCTGTGTGCTGGGCTCAAATAGAATTACTGGAGGCAGGGAAGATTCCAAAGATTCACTGTGGAAGAATTTCAAGCAGGGCTGTATAGACATTGACCGCTGGGAAACTGTATCTTCTGGCAGACCAGTGGAGCAAGCAATTGTCATTTGGAGCCAAATGTCTCAAAGCTGATGAAAGAGAAAAACAGATCTTACAACAATAGTAGGCCATATTAGGCATGACTTTTCAGAGGCCAGAGGAAGGATAAGCACAATCAGTGTGGGGATCCCCGGGAGATGTTGCAGGTACAAGGTCACATGGACAGAACTCACTATTAAATATGATATTGTGACTTACTTGCAATTTTGTTACAATCAACAAAGCAATTTCCTAACAGTTATCCCATTAAACACCTCCAGTAATACTGTAAGGTAAGTAGGCAGTATTATTTTCATTTTGTAATTTGGGAAACTGAGGGTCAGAGATTTCAAGTTAGGTGCCCAATTCAAGATATACTAAGCAGTCAAACTATGTCTAAAAACCAGATTTTTAAAATTCATTTTAATATTTTTTTAATTAAACCTATTTTTATTTCATGTAAGAAAAACAATGCTGTATGTATATACATAAATAATACAGATAAAAAAGTAATAATATTAAATAGATGAAATAAGAAAAAGTGTGATTATTGGAAGTCCTTTTAACTAAATCTTTTGATATATTTTTCTCAGTCATGGAAGTATTTTTATTCTAACAAATAAAGGAAACTGATCTGCAATAAAAAATTTCTCTCCAGGTATCACACACAGTATTGCTTATCTTTGACAAATTCAATTTTAAGAGCAGTCATTAAATGGCAATTAGAATGGTTCAATATAATTTACTGAATGGTTCAGTAGTGTTTACGTGTGTGATTTCTACATCTGTTGGTTAGCTTAGAAAGAACCCTTTATGTTTCCGCATGTGATATAAGAGATATTTCTTCTTTTGCCAGAGACATTATTTATAGCTACTCTGTTTCCAAAATCTTCAGATTACATATGGGGCTACGTACATTGCCATAAACCTTCACTAAAAGCAGCCCAGAACTGTTCTATATTGCTATTTTGCATTGCTTTCAGAATCAAAGTCTTTATATTTTCTGCACTTCACCATGTAATCACCAGAAAGATAAAACGACACAAATGTTGGTCTAGCTAACAGTATGCTTAAAGAAATAAATTTAATTGGGTGATTAACGTATCTTACAAGGAATCAAAGCAGTTTTCCTTGTATTTCTTCTCAGCATGAATAAAACTACAACTCATTTAGCAGATTTCTTTTTTCTTTTCTTCCCTTGTTTCACCTTGTAATAGGACCTTGACTTCTTGCTCTCTCACCTGCCAGAACTATAGTTTGCCATCCTGGGATATGTGAACAGTTCTTTCAATGTACATTTTAGGCTTCTGAATACAGAATTAAAAGGTTTTGAAAAATAGTATATACATTAACACGAATACTAAATAAAGTAGGATTTAATATCAATTTAATTAAATAAATTGACACTGCAGTTCCTTCAGTTTTCATTATAGTCTCAAAGTTAGAACAGGCTCACAGATTTCTGAACATCATTAAAAAGCTGAACTTTCAATGCTTTTGAGTATACAATGGAGAATGTTTCTAGTATCACTATAGAAAGTATAACAACAGCTTCATTTTCAGCAATAAGTCCCTATACACATCATTCTTTCCATGTTCCTCTTCATATCACATCCCAAACTTGTATACTTGTGTATGTTTGTATCTAACTGATGCTTCTTTGATTATAAGTGGTTTCATTGTAGCATTAAAAAAACTAGTTTTAAATACCTATATAAGAATTTCATTGATTTCATTCAACAAATTATAAAAATAAATACTTTGCACTCTTTCTTTTACTAAATTAAAAGCTCATAGGTGCTGCATAAATATATGTTCTTCTATTTTATCTTTTAAATCTCTAATACTCAAGATTGTAATATAGACTGATTTTTGACACCAACTGCATTTACATTACAGATGAATTTAGAAAAAATAAGCACTATACTTATAACTTCTGACACATACAATGCATCACTGACTTTATTACAATCTCCTGTGTTTTCAAGTTTTTTAAAATTTTCAGTTATGTTTAAAATAGGTTTTCATCTATTCTTGCTACAGCTTATTCTTAAATATTTAAATTTTTTATTTTTAATGTGAATGGAATATGTTTAACATATTTTCTCGCTAGTTTTTCAATATTTATAGAATAACTATCACTTTGAAATATTTATTTTTAAAAGCGATCTCACTATATTTTTAGCTTTATTAATTTGTTGATTCCACTGAGTTTTCTAAGTAAGTTTATCATACACTTATAATGTTATTTTGGCTTTTCTTCTTTGCAAAGGAAAGAAAAATATGTAATATTTTTATATAAAAACATATCTTTTTAATTTAATAGTGTTTCTTAGAACTCGGAACAATTATAAGCATTACTACCAAAAAATGTCATTTTGCTCATCTTCTTAACTATAATGAGAATGTCCATAGATTTTTAACTGTTATTTAGTTTTGACTGTTACTGTAAAATGGGTATTCACTGTAAAATATTTAGTTAGTACCAACTCTTTGACAGTTACTGTGCCAAAAATGTAGGGAAAAAACTAACTGCTATGATGAATGAGTTCAAAAATGTACAGTGGATGTGGCAGAAGTTCCCTTCTTCTCATAACAATACTGGATGGGGCCATCCTCCTCAATCAGTGACCGAGGGTTCAAGGCAGCTTTCATCCACATGTGACTTCAAAGTCACCCTGAAGATTTAATACATTCCAGGTAAGCTGGAAGTGGATCAGAGCAAAGAGTAGTGGTTTTACATTTTAAGGGTCTAGGTGTTGAAATGTGACACATACATTCTTACATTCCACTAACTATAATTCAGTCACAGTGTTCACACCTTACTGTAGGAGGGTGGGAGGGCCAGGAAAAATAGGAGGACATGAAATTGGAGAGAAGCTAATAGGCTCTACCACACAGGTGAATAAAGAAAAACTTGCAGAAGTCATGCTGTATGAATTAGAGGCTAAGTTATAAAAGATAGTTTAGCATCTCTTTCTCTCTTTCCCTCTTTCTCCCAGGCCAAATGTAGATGTTCAGGCTGATAGCTCCAGCTGAGTTCTCAGTTGACAGCTAGCAGCCCCTGCCAGACATGTGAATAAATGGGCTTTCTTATTATTTCAGTCTCTCAGCTTTTGTGCCTTCTAACCGAGGTTCCAGATGACAACAAGGAAAACCTGTCCCTGTTTTGCCCCATTTAAATTTCTTTCTAATCCACAGAATTCATGACCATACTGACTGGTTGTTTCATGCCATGAAGTGGTAAGGTAATATGTTAGTTACATAGGTCACATAACTGGAATATCAACAATAAAATAATTGCACAGCAATACCTAAATATCTACACATATTTTCTTTGGAAATTGTATCAGAATTATTCACCTCACACATAACATCTTAAAAATTAGTGCTGAAATGTTTTTTGTGAATATTATTAATTCCACAATTACTTATGTATATAATTTATGAGCCTATAAAACAACTTGGGCAAGAGGTTCTCATAGCTCCCACTCTATTCTAACTTTAAAATAAGTTTCCAAGCAAGACTCTTGAAAGGATTAAATGAGACTAGATTCATAAATAGTTTGGGCTTGTTGACTTGTACATCATAGGCATTGAATGGTTCCTAACAATAATAAAATGAAAATGATGACTTTCAAAAGACATAAAAATTTAATTGTAGGATCTTTTGCCTGTTAAAGAACTGCATATTTAAGACCTTATTCAAACTCCTCAAATATCCACCCCATTTAGTGATAGTAAAAATTATTTTGATACAATTTTGAAATAAAAGGATGTTAATTACAATATCCTTGGTGTTTTTTTTTGTACATTAACATTCTAGCTTTCTGAGTCAAATACAAGTCAATTCTTCACAAGAATTTTTAATAGCATTTTCTCACTCATTGAAAATAAAATTGACCGGGCGCGGTGGCTCACGCTTGTAATTCCAGCACTTTGCGACTCCGAGGCGGGTGGATCATGACGTCAGGAGATCGAGACCATCCTGGCTAACGCGGTGAAATCCCTTCTCTACTGAAAATATTAAAAAATTAGCCGGGCATAGTGGCGGGCGCCTGCAGTCCCAGCTACTTGGGAGGCGGAGGCAGGAGAATGGCATGAACCCGGGAGGCGGAGTTTTCAGTGGGCCTAGATTGCGCCACTGCACTCCAGCCTGCGCGACAGAGACTACATCTCAAAATATAAAAATAAAAATAAATAAAAAAAATATATTTGCTTGGTACACACATAGGAAAAAAAAAAGTCAACAGAAGAAATTCAAATGCTTCTCCAGGAGAGAGAGAATCCGTTTGGACAGAAAGAAGCAGTTTTATATAGCTGGGTCTCAAAGAGTCAGTTCGAATGCTAAAACACAAACTTTCCAGCTGAAAATTTTCTTGACAATTAAATGGAGAAATCTCAAATGTCAGACAATTCCAATGTCAAGGAGCAAGGAGAAAAAAAAAAAAAAGCTTTCTTCTAATTTATGGCTAATTCCACATGGTGTAGGCTGAATAATCATCCAGAATGCTATCATTCTCTGGTCACAATGACCTCTCTTAGAAATCTTTTATTTTTTAATCACTTCCACGTGTCTTGAAACCACTGGATAAGCATATTTTTGTACAGTTTTTTTTTTTTTTTCCCAGCTCAATGAAGAAGAATTAAAATGCAACGAAATCTCCAGGATATAAACAATTGAGATGCAGTTTGGGACATGATAAGAAGGGGTCAGAAGATTTCCTATACACGAGGTAAATATTCGGCCAATTAGAAACAATCAAAATAGAATAAACAGAACTAATCTCAAAAATGGAGGTAATATATATGTAATTAAAGAAAACAGCAGATAAGGTTAACTTCAAAAATTTCCATTTATTATAACAGGTACACTTTTTTTTTTTTTTTTTGAGGCAGAGTCTCCTGCTGTTGCCCAGGCTAGAGTACAGTGGTGCGGTCTTGGCTCACTGCAACCTCCGCCTCCCGGGTTCAAGCGCTTCTCCGGCTTCAGCGCCCCCGAGTAGCTGAGATTACGGGCACCCGCCACCACGCCCGGGTAATTTTTTTTTTTTTTTTTTTTTGTATTTTCAATAGAGACGGGGTTTCACCGTGTTGGCCAGGCTGCTCTCGAACTCCTGACCTCAAATGATCCATCCGCCTCGGCCTTCCAAAGTGCTGGGATTACAGGCGTGAGCCACCGTGCCTGGCCAACAGTGACACTTTATTTTAAGACAGCACTAAAAATCTTTCCTAGGACTCAAGAACTACTTATCAGTCTTTCTACTGTTCTTTTAATTTCCTCCTCCTCATCTTCTTCCTCTTTTTTCTTCTTCTCCTCCTCCTTTCTTATATATTATTGACATGTAATAAGCAGCTCATATTAAAAGTGTCCAATTTGATAAATTGTGTGCTATATAAATCGACATTCATGAAATCATAGCCACAATCAAGATAGGAATTATATCCATCACTCCCAGTGGTTTCTTCATATGTCATTATAATTATTTCCCCTTCTTTCTGTACATCTCACTGTCTGGTTCCAGGTTCCCTGACAAGCAATATATACTTTCTGTCACTATAGATTAGTTTTCATGTTCTAGTTTTTAATATGCATGCAATAATATAGTATATATTATTTTTAATCTATTTTCTTTTACTCAGCATAATTATTTTGAGTTTCACTCATGTTGTTGCATATATCAGTAACCCATTATTTTATTGCTGAGTAGTATTTTATTCTATCAATATACCTAAACTAGTGAATTTATTCCCAGTTGGACATTTGAGTTGTTACCAGTTTCTAGCTATTGCAAATAAAGTTGTCATGAGCACTCATGTACAAGTCTTGTATGGTCATATGCTTTCATTTACTTTAGGCACATTTTTAGGAGTAAAATGGTAAGATCATAAAGTAGTTATATGTTTAACTTTTTAAGAAACTACCAAACTGTTTCACAATTTGTTTGTACTATTTTACATTCTCAACCAGTGTGCGACAGTTCCAGTTCCTTCATGTCTTCACTAGTTCTTGGTATAGTTAGCCTTTCTAATAGATATGCAGTGATATTTCGTTGTGGTTTTAATTGCATTTCTCTGATTGCTTTTGATATTGGGCATTTTTTATGTGCTTATTTGTAAACTTTATATTTTCTTATGGCTGGTGAGTTTACTTATTGAGTTATCAGAATTCATTATATTTTAGATATGAGTCCACAATTTTTCTTTTACAAAATGTTTAGTTTTTCTGCATCCCATCCCATATGAATTTTAGAAACTGCATGTAAATTTCTACAAAATATATTTCTTGGATTTTAATTGGAATTGTGTTGATTTATAGATTAATTGCTATAATTAACATTTTAGCAATTTGAGTTTTCTGAACAATAAATACAGCATATGTCTCAATTTATTTAATGTGTCCTTTAAATGTTTCCTTCCATGAAATCTAATTTTCAGTGTGCATGCCTTGCACATCTTTTTTCAGATTTACTCTCACATATTTCATATTTAAGTGCTATTGCAAGTGCTATTTTTTCAGGTCTTCTATATCCTTACTGGTAGTCTCTCTATCATTCTGCCTAACTGAAAGAGCAATTAAAGGAATTATAGGAGAAAGGGAATTGAAATCAGTGGTTATAATTGTGAATTAATCTATTTCTCTCTGTAGTTCCATCAGTTTTTGCTTCATGTATCTTGAAGCTCTGAAAATAGATTCATAAACATTTAGGATTATGATGTTTTATCAAGGGATTGATTTTTTAGCATTATTAAATGACCTTATCCCTGGTAACACTTTTGCTTTGAATTCACGTTGCTCCTTGCTAATATAGCCACTGTACATATTCTTTCAAATAGCATTATTATTATGTATAGTTGTCCACATTTTACTTCAACCTAATGTTGTTTATATATTTAAAGAGTCTATTCCTTTCCCAATGCATGTTCTTGGCAATTTTGTCAAAAATCAGTTGGCTATATATATGGATATATTTCTAGGTTTCCTATTCCACTTCATTAGTCTATGTATTTGTTTTTATACCAGTACAATCCTGTTTTGGTCACTACTGCTTTTCAGTTGTTTATATATTTAAACTGTATTTCTTACAGGCAGATTATATTTGAGTCATGTTTTTTTCATGCAATCTGAATATCTCTGCCTTTTGTTTAGTACATTTAGACTGTAATATTTAATATAATTGCTGGTGTACTGAGGTTTAACTACCTTTTTTTCATTTGTTTTATATTTTTCTCATCTATTCATTTTCTTTCTTCTTTTCTCATCATTTTTGTGCTTTTTATATCTTCACCATATTGCTTGTGTTGGTTTATTATCTATAACTGTTTTTTATTTTTAATTGACAAAATAATTGTACATATTTATGAAGTACTGTGTGATATTTGGATACATATATACAAAGTATGATGATTCAATCAGGGTAATTAGCACATCCACCTCTTCAAATATTTATCATTTGTTTATTTTGGGAGCCTTCAAAATCTTCTATTTGAAAATACACAATGAATTATTGGTTCCCTAAACAGCTGTAATATTGTATCCATTAAACAACCTCCCTCTCCCCATTTCTGCTTTCCTCTACCCTTCCAGCCTCTTGTAATCACTATTCTACCATCTACTTTCATGAAATCAAAATTTTTAGCTTCCACATATGAAGGAGAACATTCAGTATTTATCTTTCTGTGCCTGACTTATTTCACTTAACCTAATTTCCTCCAGGCTCATCCAAGTCACAGCAAATGACAAGATTTCAATCTTTATTTATGACTGAATATTTATTTATGAGATATATATATATATATATATCACATCTTATTTATTCATTCATCTGTTGATGAACTCAGGTTGATTTCATATCTTGGCTATTGCGTATAGTGCTGTAAGAAACAAGAGAGTGCAGATATTCCTTCAATATACTAATTTCTCTTCCTTGGACATATACCCAATAGTGGGATTGCTAGATCATATGGTTGTTCTTTTTTAGTTTTTAGAAAAACATCCATACTGTTTTCCATAATGGCTGTACTAATTTATATTTCTACCAGTAAGGTATAAAAGTTTTCTTTCTCCTCATCCCCATCAACATTTATCTTTTGTCTTTTGGATAGTGGCCATTCTAACTGCAGTGAGATGATATTTCACTGTGGTTGTGATTTGCATTTCCCTGATCAATAATGGTGACCATTTTTTCAAATAATTATTGGCCATTTACATGTCTTCTTTTGAAAAATATCTATTTTGATCAATTGCCCATTTTGAATTATTTGAGGTTCCTTATTTTTTGTTTTTGTTATTGAATATTGAGTTCTTTGAGTTCTTGAATACTCAGGGACTTAATTCCCTGTCAGACAAATAGTTTGTGGTTTCTTTCATTCTTCAGGTTGTCTCTTCACTCTGTTGTTTCCTTTGTCTTGCAGAAGGATTTTAGTTTGATTTGGTCCCATTGGTCCATTTTTGCTTTTATTGTCTATCCGTTTGAGGTCTTATCCCAAAAATATTTGCCCAGACCAATGCCCTGAAGCATTTCCCCTATGCTTTCTTATAGTAGTTTCACAGATTCAGATATTACATTTAAGTCTTGCATCCATTTTAAGTTGATTTTTCTATGTGGTGAGAGATAGGGATCTAGTTTATTCTTCCCTTTATGGATATCTAGTTTCCCAGCACCATTCGTTTAAGAGTCTATTCCTTTCCTTTCTCAGTGCATGTTCTCGGCGATTTTGTCAAAAGTCAGTTGGCTATATATATGTATGTATTTCTAGCTTTCCTATTCCTCTTCATTAGTCTATGTATTTGTTTTTATACCAGTACAATCCTGTTTTGGTCACTACTGCTTTTCAGTATGTTTTTAAGTCAGGTAGTATGATACCTCCAGAATTGTTCTTCTTGTTCAGGATTGTTTTGGCTATTTGTAGTGTTTTTGTTTTCATTCATATTTTAGGATTGTTTTATTTTCTATTTATTTGAAAATTGTCATTGGTATTTTGATGGGGATTGCATTGAATGTGTAGATTGCTTTGGCTAGTATGGCCATTTTAACAACATTAATTTTTCCACTTTATGAACATGGGATGTCTTTCCATTTTTGTGTGTCTTCAACATATTTCATCAGTGTTTTTTGGTGTTCTTTTCTTGTTTTGGTATAAGGGCAATGCTGCCTGTGTACATTGAGTTTAGAATAATTCTCTCTTCAATTTTTTTGAGTAGTTTGAGAAAAATTGATGCTAGTTCTTTAAATGTTTGATAAATCTCAGCAGTAATCCAATCCAGTCCTGAGCTCTTCTTCGTTGGGAGATTTATTACTGATGCAATCATGTTACCTGTTATTGATCTGCTCAGGTATTCTGTTTCTTCCCAGTTCAATTTTGATAGGTTGTGTGTGTCCAGGAATTTATCCATTTCCTCTAGGCCTTTCAATTTGTTGGCATATACCTGTTCATAATAGTCTGTAATGATTCTTTGGACTTCAGTGGTATCAGTTGTAGAGTCTTTGTTTTTGTTTCTGATTTTATTTATTTGTATCTTCTCTCTGAGTTAGTCTAAGTTGATCTTAGCTTTTTCTTAATCTAATTAATGGTGTGTCAATTTTGTTTATCCTTTCAAAAACACAACTTTTGTTTTGTTGATATTTTGTATTGCTTTTTCATTCTCAATTTTATTTATTTATTCTCTGATCCTTATTCTTTCTTCTGTTTTACTAATTTGGGGTTTGGTTTGTTCTGGCTTTTCTAGGTCCTTGAGGTGCCTCAGTAGGTTAAACTCTACTTTTTTGATGTATAAATTTATTGCTATAAATTTTCCTCATGGTCCTGTTTTTGCTGTATCCAGTAGGTTTTGGTATGTTGTATTTCTATTTTTATTTGTTTCAAGCAATTTTAATGCTTTTTAAAATTTCTTCATTGATCCATTGGATGGAACATGTTATTTAATTTCAAAGTGCTTGTACATTTTTGAAATTTCTTCTTATTGATTTCTAGTATTACTTAATTGTGGTCAGAAAATATGCTTGATATGATTTCAATTTTTTTAAACTTGAGATTTGTTTTATGGTCTAACATATGGTCTATCCCAGAGAATATTCCATGTGCTGATGAGAAGAATGTGTATTCTGCAGCTGTTGGATAAACCGTTCTGTAAATGTATGTTGGGTCCATTTGGTCTATAGTAGAGTTTCAACATAATGTTTCTTTGTTAATTTTCTGTCTAGATGATAGGTCCAATGCTGTGACTAAGATGTTGAAGTTTCCAACTATTATTGTATTGGAGTTCATCTTTCCCTTTATATCTGAAAATATTTGCTTTATATATCTGAATGCTCTTGTGTTAGGCGCCTATATATTTACAGGTGTTATATCCTGTTGTTAATTGCTCCTTTTATCACTATATAAAGACCTTCTTTGTCCCTTTTTACAATTTTTTTATCTAAGTATTTCTTTTTGGCTAGATGGACACATCTGATTGGTATAATCTTTTTCTTTTTGTAGTGCTCTTTGCTGGAGAAAAATCATTCATTTTAAACATTTTTATTGGTTATAGAACACTGAATTGTCAGTTATTTCTTTCACACTTTAAATATTTTGTTCTACTGTCTTCTTGCTTTCATTGTTTCTTCTGAGAAATATGCTATCAACTTTATATTTGTTACAGTTTTCCTATATTTGTTTTTCATATTTCCTCTTTATTACTAGTTTTGAGTAATTCAATTTTGATGTGCTTTGGTGGTTTCTTCAGAGCTCTTGTTGAAGCGCTTTTTGGATATATAAGTATATTGTTTTCATCAATTTTTTTTAAAATGGCAATTGTTTTCTCAATATTTCCTCAAATATTTTTTGCCCCCTCCCTTTTTATTATTATCAACAAAGCTGTGGTCTTCATACGTCCTGATTTCAAATTTATTTCGAAACTACAGTAATTAAAGTATTATGGTCCTGGCAAAAACATATAGACCAGTGCCTGTAATTCCAGCACTTCGGGAGGCTGAGGTGGGCAGATAACTTGAGGTCAGTATTTCATAACCAGCCTGGCCAACATGGTGAAACCATGCTTCTATTAAAAATAGAAAAATTAGCCAGGGGTGGTGAGGTGCACCAGTATGGGGAGAGGCAGGAGAATTGCTTGAACCTGGGAGGCAGAGGTTGCAGTGAGCCAAGATTGTGCCACTGCAGCCTGGGTGATAGAGTGAGACGCCATCTCCAAAAAAAAAAAAAAAAATTAAATTAAAAAAAGTATATATATGAAAGGAATAAAATGGAGAGCTGAGAAATAACCCTCATTTATCTCACTTATCTAGTCACCTGATTTTCAACAACAGTGTCAAGATTATTTAATGAGGAAAGGACAGTCTTTTTAACAAATAGTGTTGGGGAAATTGAGTATCCATATGAAAAGAATGACGCCAAACCTTCACTTTATACTTATATGCAAAAAATTAACTCAAAATAGATTCAAGACCTAAATGTAAAAGCAAAAACCAACAAAAAAAAACTCTTAGAAAAAAATCATAGGAGAAAACTTCACGACATTAGATTTGGTAATGATTTATTGGACATAGCACCAAAATCACAAGCAACAACAACAAAAAAAGATAGGTAAATTGACCCATCAGAAGTAAAACTTCTACAGAGAAAAAGGGTGCAATCAACAGGATTAAAATGCAATGCACAAAGTAAAATAAAATATTTGCAAATTATACATCTGAAGAGAGGTTAATATATCAAATATATAAAGAACTTTTACAACTCAGCAATAACAGCTACAACAAAATCAATAACTAAATTAAAAAATGGATGTGGGGCTCAAATACACATTTCTCTAAGAAAGATACACAAATGGCCAATAAACATATGAAAAGCTGCTCAACATCACTAATCATTAAGGTGATGCAAATGAAAACAACAATGAAATTCCACTTCATCACTAGTATGGCTTTTTTTTTTAATTCCAGAAAATCACAAACGCTTTTGAAGATGCTGAGAAAATGGAACACTTGTACATTGTTGGTAGAAATGTAAAATGGCGCAGCTATGATGTGAAATAGTATGGCATGTCCTCAAAAATATTAAAAATGGGATACCATATGATCTAGTCATTTTGTTTCTGGGCTTGTACCATCAATAGTGTAAAGCAGGGACTCAAATAGATGTTTGTACATTCATATTCATAGCAGAGTCATTTGTAACACCTAAAATGTGAAGGCAACCCAAGTGTCCATTGACAGATGAATGGATAATGTGGAACATACATACAATAGAATATTATTAAATCTTAAAAAGGGAAGGAATTCTGATGCATGCTGCAACATAAATGAACCTTAAGTATGCCAGGTTAAGTGAAATAAGCTACTCACAGAAAATACATATTGTATAATTCAACTTGTATAAAGTATCTAGGGTAATCAAGTTCAGAGAGACAGAAACTAGAATGGTGATTTCTAAGGGCTGGGGGAGGGGAGAATGGGACATTATTGTTTAATAGGCACAAACTTTCAGTTTTACAACAAAAAGAGTCCTGGAGATAGATTGTGATGATGATTATATAACAATGTGAATGACTTAATGCTACTACAATGGACAATTAGTAATGGTTAAGATACTAAATTTTATGTGTATTTTACCACAATAAAGAAGAAAGACAGGCTGTGGGATGGATTTGGTTATAAGCTTTAGTTTTCTGGACTCCTGATATAAAGTAGTAGTTTAACTAATACATGTTTTATGTCTATAGGGTAGTGGTGTTGTTTTTAATCCTCACTGCTCAAATGTGTTCCCAAAACATTCCCAGAATAGATTAAGTGAAAATGCTAAAGAAAGTTCTATTATAAAACTGGAGCGAGTAGACTATGCCAAAGACATAGGAATGAATTATTAATTGTGCCTATTAAGTCTGGTAAATGAATCCAGATTAACTCTTTCTGAATTTCTATCACTGACTCTCTTCTCATGCAAATCTTGATTCTCTCTTACTATGGTACTTCTATTGGTTCTTTTTTTTTTTTGCCATTAGATTCTTTTGTTTGTTATGCCTATCCTACTTAGTTTTATCAATTCAGCAGTGAAATGCATGACAACATTTATTAGTACTGTTTTTTCTTTTTCTAAAATTGTACTTTAAGTTCTAGGATACATGTGCACAACGGGCAGGTTTGTTACATATGTATACATGAGCCATGTTGGTGTGCTGCACCCATTAACTCATCATTTACATTAGGTATATCTCCTAATGCTATCCCTCCCGCCTCCACATGACAGGCCCCGGTGTGTGATGTTCCCCTTCCTGTGTCCATGTGTTCTCATTGTTCAATTCCCACCTATGAGTGAGAATATATGGTGTTTGGTTTTTCATCCTTGCAATAGTTTGCTGAGAATGATGGTTTCCAGCTTCATCCATGTCCCTACAAAAGACATGAACTCATCCTTTTTTATGGCTGCATAGTTTTCCATGGTGTATATGTGCCACAGTTTCTTAATCCAGCCTATCATTGATGGACATTTGGGTTCCTTCCAAGTCTTTGCTATTGTGAATAGTGCCACAATAAACATACGTGTGCATGTGTCTTTATAGAAGCATGATTTATAATCCTTTGGATATATACCCAGTAATGGGATGGCTAGGTCAAATGGTATTTCTAGCTCTAGATCCTTAAGGAATCGGCACACTGTCTTCCATAATGGTTGAAGTCCCACCAACAGTGTAAAAGTGTTCCTATTTCTCCACATCCTCTCCAGCACCTGTTGTTTCCTGACTTTTTAATGATTGCTATTCTAACTGGTGTGAGATGGTATCTCATTGTGGTTTTGATTTGCATTTCTCTAATGGCCAGTGATGATGCACACTTTTTCAACTGGTTCTTATAATAACTTCACCACTTAGGATGCCATCATTTCATAATACCTCATATTTCTCCAGTTGTTCAACAGACTCCCTGTTCAGGCAGCCTCATCTTTATAGCAGGAATAAGCAAATGTTTAGTTCCTTGTTAATTCTCTAAAGAAGTTATGAATATTGGAAATGAAAAAGAAATACAAGAAAACTGGAGAGAAGAAATATTTGTTTCAGAAGGTAAATAAAAACTAACCATCTTGTTAACCCTTATTGAACAAGCCAACAAAAATACTTATTTGTGGGGTGCTTTTCATTCCATTAAATTTTACGAAGCGTATGCCCCTACACTGTTTCTACAGTAGGGTTATAATCTTCACTGAACTATACCCAATCCTCGAAGCTTTTCAGAAACTGTCAGTTACATAAAACAGAACAAGGAAAATCCTTAGTTCTTTGTAAGGTCATAAAGAGTGATAAAGAAAATATATAAATGGCACATGCAGAAGAAAAAAGGCAATACTTCATTAGAAAGTCCTCACCTTGTAGATAGTCCCTTTAAACAAAATACAGTCATTAATAAAACAGTATATGCATTTTTTTTCTGTCTTAAGGGCTATAAACTGCTAGGTCCACACTCTGTTGATCATTTCTTTCAATCAAAATTATTTTCCTGGAGTAATGCTACTGTATTTCTTCATTGTGGGCCAATGACTTGAGGCCTAAAATGATGCTGACATGTTAGTTATTTTCTTTTATTTTTGAATAGGAAAATAGTGTTTTAAAAATTCTGATTATCTTAGTGGGGGAAAATAAAGCAAAGCAAATAAAAAACTCCTCCAAAGTAATCCATATACCCATTTCTTTTCCAGGCTTATTTCCTTTACCACATCTTCAGAGTTCCCTTTCAGTGAGAGTAATTGTGCATTACATTGTCTTATTGGGCCTTTCCTTTTGTATTACATATGCTTAAATTGGTTTTATAAACACATTTATAAGAATTTGGGGAAAAATCAGCCATATTCAAATAAAGACTATAGTATACATTAAATTGGTAAGAAGAAAAACCAAAATATTAACTTGATTCAAATGTGTATAAAATCAGAAAGCAGCATGATATACTGGAAAATAAAAACACATTATTTATCCATGCCAAAAGTAGCACTACATCTTATTTTCTTTTTCATCCTCCCACACAGTTACTCAATGTACCGCTAGTACATACATTGAAACTTCCTGTGACTATGGTGAAAAGATTTAATCTACCTGTGTTAAAATCTAGAGGAATAGCTTTCCCATAATTGAAAAATCTGATTGAGAAATCTTGCAAAACTGTCTGCTCTTGATTTTTTCTCAATTGGAAATGTACATTTCTTAATTGGATTTATGTTCTGAACTTTATTTTTATTATTGTTCTCTGTACATTTTGGAAATATGTGTATGCTAAAATGAAGTTGCTCTGACATTTAGAATTTTTGTTTGCTTGTGTGTTTCTACTCTAAAAGCCATATGCTAGGATGATTTCATTTTACCGGTAACATGTGGCCCATAAAGAAAATTGCTGTGACTTTTTTACTGCTATATTTTCTTAGATAAGCCAAAAACCTCATTGCATACTAAAAAAGCAGTCTTTTTCTTAGTTGAACTGTAGAAAAGGTAAAACACTAGATATGGAGTAAAATAGTTATTATACCCAATTTCTAAATTAGCAGATTCATTCCATCACTGGTGCTAGAAGAAAGAATGCAACCCCATGTTGTAGATTCTCTATATAATTTCAGGCATTACAATACGAAATATTTTATAATATATAATGTAATTCATAGGAAAAACCAAAACTTAAACACTGTTCAAGGCGTAAAAATCAGCAGGTATACGGAGTTACATTTATATTTTTAAAACCTGCTGACATTTATTATTACATCCTACATTCAAGAGATCCAGAAGTTAGTCTTCTGCTTAAAAGTCAGTATATGACGCTTGTATTTAGTTTCCCGTGGCTGCTGTAACAAATAGCCACAAACTAGGTGGGTTACAAAAGTAGAAACTTTTTCTCTCACAATTTTGGAGGCCAAATATCTGAAATCAAAGTGTTGGTATTGGCAGGGCTGCACTGTCTGTGAAGACTCTGATGAGAATCGTCTTTTTTTTCTTCTAGTTTCTGGTGGGTCCAGATGTTCCTTGGCTTGTGGCTGAATAATTCCATTGTCTGCCTCTGTTTTCACATGCTCTTCTCTTCTCTGTTGGTGTCTTCTCCTTTTCTGTCTGTTACAAAGACCTTTATCATTAGATTTAGGGCCCACTAATAATCCAAAATCTCAACATTTTTAACCTAACTGAATCTGCAGAGACCCTTTTCCCTAATAAGGTCATAATCACAGATCCTAGAGGTTAGGCCTGGAACACTGGCACACAATCAACAGCCTACACTATCAATATATGTGTATATCTTATTCTTGTAGTCAAAACTCAATCATAGTTAAATTTATCTAAAATCTAGATTATATCGTGTATTCCACATGACTTTTATATATCAAAAGTATAAATTTGTTTACCTTTAGTTATCAATTTTCAGATAAAAAAATTGATTTTCTATTATCCTTCTCAGAAAGATGACTATTTTCAATACCATATGGACCCATGAAGTTAAACATATTTGATGTATTTTAATCTATTACAGTTACTTAAATTGAAACACAAATTGTCCCCTTGTTGGACAGAAATCTTCATGTGTATTCCTGATTTCTTTTGGCATGACCTTACTATTTTTCAACAGTCTTCTCAACGTGGAGAATGACAAGGTGTGCCAGGCTCAGCCATTTCCCCGAGAACTTATTTTAGCTGAAAAAAACAAACAAACAAACAAAAAAAAAAGGTATTTCAAGATCACACTCTACATGCTAGTGTTGCTTATTCTTCTGAGGTTCTTATTTTTCCTAGACTTCTTCTGTGGCCAGAGCTAGAGATTATACACATGTTTTATAAAGTACCTTACAAGAATATATTATTTCTAATTCAAATTAAAGATTATAGAGCTTCTGATTGACCACTTTCTCTATTATATCTGTATCTCCTTTATTCCACATCAAGATTCCTGGTGCTTAAGAAGGACAGGATGCATAACATTGGAATCACCCACTCATATGTTTTATTCCAAAAACGAATACTAATTCTACCCTCAGTGCTTACCAAAAACATTTTAAAAGGTTTATTTGCATACTTTCTTTCTATTCTTCTTGCATTCAAAAAATTGAGCTGTATATTCATAATTGTAAAATACAACCACCGTATATATTTTTTCCCTCTTAGTCTTCATTTAGCCTTAGTTTTACAAGGAATGAAATAATTAATGTTCAACATTTATCCTTTTGTCAGTGTCTCTCTAGTCATATTTATTTTCAACCTCTTTCTTTGGTAGATTACTGAAGGACAGCTAGTGGAATAGTATTAACTGAGTCTTGAATGTTAATAACAATTTCAATGGCCTTTATACATAACAGTCAGTGTTTCTGATTTTAATAATTGCTTGTTTCACACTTTATTTCCTTAACTATTTAAAGTACGTCACTCAATTTTCATCCTGCATAAAGTACTGCTGTAAAATTTTGATAATAATCTAATATTATTATATATATAGAAAGGATTTTGTTTTTACTTTGAAACCAAGAAAAATATTTTCTCTTGGCATTGACCTTCCTAACTCAATATTTACAGGTGCCTTGTCTACTCTTTAAAAATGTAGATATTATTTAATTTTATTTCCAGAATTTTCTTGAGTTATAGTTTTTTATTATTATTCAGTTCTCCTCTTACATTAGTTTTTGGCTCTTTGCCTGTCTTCAATATTCGTCACTGTCTTGACTCTCTTTTCAATTTTTTTCCTGTTGTGTGTATTTCCCTGTCTATTTTTACTATGGGGGGTTGGAGAGACTGAAAAATTGGGCTTCTGCCACTGTCATCTTCCCAGAATCTCACCCATTACTTTTATTTTTCATTTCCCATGGTGTTTTTGCAACTCAGCCTCATGGATAAATGCAGCTATGCTCTATTTTCTCTCTTACAGAGTATACATCTATATGGATATGCAAACAATGTATTTATCCATTTGTCAGGTAACTTATTATTTAATGCTTTTTGTTCTACTGTAACAATGTTTCTATATTTTGTGCACTGCCACTCCTACACATGTGGAAAAGATTCTCTAAGGAATTGCCCCTCAAAATGTGGCCCAAGTTTTGGAGAGAAACAGTGAAAATATCAGACAGGGAAGGATGCTAAAGATGATGATAGGCTGAGTATTTTTCCTAAGTGAAACTAAATATTACCTAAAAGGGACTATTTCTACTGTTATACCATATTGATTTAAAATTGGTAAGACTAAAATTATTTATTCTTGTTTATCAGAAGTCAGTAGGGGCTTGTGAAGAAGAGTACATATATGATAGAGAGCACTGTAGCTATAGCTTATCTGCACAACTTAGTTGTATCATGAATAAACTTTGTGACCTTTCAATGCAAAGTTCTCCTAGCTCTGTCATAATCAAAGTTAAAATCCCTACAACCTTTTTGTACATATGGCTCATAATTTAAGTATTATTTCCTCCTTCCTCATTTGAGGAAAAGTTTTATTATATAAGAAATAGGCAATCAGAGATCTGGACGTGTCTCGAGATAATAGGAATGGAGGGAGAAAAATATCTACTCTATGGAAACTTTTTTTTCTGCTGCAAGCTGGATAAAAAACAGAAACTGGAAAATGTCCCTCTAAGATGAAGCAGGAAAAGACATTTAATCCATGAACTAGAAGTGTTTCCATTGAGTGAATTTCAAATGGTTTACAGAGAGTGTTGTAAGAGACAGGAATTAATCCAGGAAAATAAGCTGATCTAACGTGATAAAAGATGGCAGCAAAACTATATTTTTGTTTATAATTATTCCCTCTCTCTCCTATAGAAGATTAACTCCCTTTCCCTTTTGCCATGTGATTTGCCATACCTCCTGTGAGAAGGGAACACATACCAGCCTCACTTGAGTTTCAGCTTGGCCATGTGACATCTTGGCCAATGGTTTGTGAACAGACATGAGGTACAACATGTCTGAGTAGAAGCATTAATATGCAGCGCAGCTTTAAGATGTACCCATGACAAGAGTATGATCTATATATAGGTCTCTGTTTTCAGGGTGCAAGAATAAAAAAAAACACCTGGAGCAAGCAGATAAACAGCCATTAGCTGACTCACAGCCTACCTTCAGGTAGGAAATTAATGTTTCTTAATGCAAATCCCTGAGATTTGAATATCATTTGTTAGTGTGGCAAAATTGACTAATACAAATGATAGTGAAAAGGCACTATGACATATATAGATGGTATTTCCCAAGTTCATATTCTTAAACATAACCCCATAGAGCTGATTGTTTAAAAATGGCTTGCCTTAAGGTAAAGATTGGTCCTACAAACTGGAGGAAGAAAAACCTGGGAAAGAAAGGCAGGAGATCTTATTTGTTGGTAGTAGAAGAAAATGGCATTTGCTAACAAAAGGGCTTAAATATATTCCCTGTTATTTTTAATGTTATGCTGCAAACCTTGGATTTATCTCATATAGAAAATATAGCGTTTCGGTGTTGTAGACATGAAGTCCTTGCCCATGCCTATTTCCTGAATGGTAATGCCTAGGTTTTCTTCTAGGGTTTTTATGGTTTTAGTTTTAACGTTTAAGTCTTTAATCCATCTTGAATTAATTTTTGTATAAGGTGTAAGGAAGGGATCCAGTTTCAGCTTTCTACATATGGCTAGCCAGTTTTCCCAGCACCATTTATTAAATAGGGAATCCTTTCCCTATTGCTTGTTTTTCTCAGATTTGTCAGAGACCAGATAGTTGTAGAAATGCGTCGTTATTTCTGAGGCCTCTGTTCTGTTCCACTGATCTATATCTCTGTTTTGGTACCAGTACCATGCTGTTTTGGTTACTGCAGCCTTGTGGTACAGTTTGAAGTCAGGTAGCATGATGCCTCCAGCTTTGTTCTTTGGCTTAGGATTGACTTGGCGATGCGGGCTCTTTTTTGGTTCCATATGAACTTTAAAGTAGTTTTTTCCAATTCTGTGAAGAAAGTCATTGGTAGCTTGATGGGGATGGCATTGAATCTATAAATTACCTTGGGCAGTATGGCCATTTTCACGATATTGATTCTTCCTACCCATGAGCATGGAATGTTTTTCCATTTGTTTGTATCCTCTTTTATTTCATTGAGCAGTGGTTTGTAAGCAATGGCAACAAAAGCCAAAATTGACAAATGGGATCTAATTAAACTAAAGAGCTTCTGCACAGCAAAAGAAACTACCATCAGAGTGAACAGGCAACCTACAAAATGGGAGAAAATTTTTGCAACCTACTCATCTGACAAAGGGCTAATATCCAGAATCTACAATGAACTCAAACAAATTTACAAGAAAAAAGCAAACAACCCCATCAAACATCAAAAAGTGGGTGAAGGACATGAACAGACACTTCTCAAAAGAAGACATTTATGCAGCCAAAGAACACACGAAAAAATGCTCACCATCACTGGCCATCAGAGAAATGCAAATCAAAACCACAATGAGATACCATCTCACACCAGTTAGAATGGCAATCATTAAAAAGTCGGGAAACAACAGGTGCTGGAGAGGATGTGGAGAAATAGGAAGACTTTTACACTGTTGGTGGGACTGTAAACTAGTTCAACCATTGTGGAAGTCGGTGTGGCGATTCCTCAGGGATCTAGAACTAGAAATACCATTTGACCCAGCCATCCCATTACTGGGTATATACCCAAAGGACTATAAATCATGCTGCTATAAAGACACATGTACACGTATGTTTACTGTGGCACTATTCACAATAGCAAAGACTTGGAACCAATCCAAATGTCCAACAATGATAGACTGGATTAAGGAAATGTGGCACATATACACCATGGAATACTATGCAGCCATAAAAAATGATGAGTTCATGTCCTTTGTAGGGACATGGATGAAATTGGAAATCATCATTCTCAGTAAACTATTGCAAGGACAAAAAACCAAACACCGCATGTTCTCACTTATAGGTGGGAATTGAACAATGAGAACACATGGACACAGGAAGGGGAACATCACACACCAGAGACTGTTGTGGGGTCAGGGGAGCTGGGAGGGATAGCATTAGGAGATATACCTAATGCTAAATGACGAGTTAATGGGTGCAGCACACCAGCATGGCACATGTATACATATGTAACTAACCTGCACATTGTGCACATGTACCCTAAAACTTAAAGTTTAATAATAATAATAATAAAAAAGAAAATATAGCATTTCATGTATATTAGCTTGCAAAGCATGAAATATTTCATGACAAGTGATCAATTTATGATTTTTCCAAATAAAATGTGGCATTTCCACTCTATGCTTAAGGGAGGCATAAAATGTCTTCTTCCTTCTTTATTTCACCTTACATTAGCAACTACTGTTGTCTCAGAAAAAAAAAATGCCTAAGAACTTCTTCATTGACAGCCCACAATTTATATAACTTGGCTCAATAAGAATTCCCTTCTGCAACTGCTTTCAGCATTTAAGAATGTAATAGTTTATAAACAATAATTGCTCACAATTTTAGAAATATTCATTTCTATGGAAGCCCTAAAATCTAGTCCAAGAAAGTTATTGATGTATGTTCTTTACTTGCAGAAATAATATATGCAAATAATTAGAAAGCTTCCTTTAATTGTACAACGAATGGCAAAATCTGTGCTAGAAGCCTTGTTTTCAAACTACAAAGTCTAACAGACAATGTTATTCCACTAACAGAGAATGTTTTAGAATAACACACTTTTTTTTTTTTCTGCCTCTCACTGGTTTGTAACTCCAATTCATATAAAAATTATAAAAATTGATTTCTATCATTATAAACAACTATTACAGAAACATTAAGAAAATCAGGGTGGTCTAAATTATAAAAAAATAGTAAATATTGGATGCAAAGATATTTTAGTGTAAAGTCAATTGAATGGAGGAGAAAATATAATTAGAAAATAATTTCAGTATCATTAAACTTTTATGTATTTCTGTTGTTTCTTATACCTTAAAAATTCAACCTAAAAGATCATTCATTCACATACACTCATCAGCATGCAAAATGATGTCTACTTCTAATTGAAATTGTATCTAGTCCTTGTAAGTCTAGGACTTACACAGTGAAGTTGCATGCACATTTGAGAACACTTTTAGGCTATGTTGCTTTGTTATTTGACCCATTCTACGTGAATGTTCAACAGACCACTGATTGGTATCTTATAAGCCCATTACATTTTCAATCTCAAACCATTACATTTTCAATCTCAAAAGCCCATAGATTACTGACATTTTGGATCAGATATTTCCTCATCAATGTTTGAAGAATAATTTTCTGAACAAGTCTGAATATAAAGTTTTATTAAATTGCAAATAGGCCTTCTGTGGAGAGGAAACAATATTCGCTTTTCTCACAGTTGTTTTCATTATACCAAGGCACCTCTCTAATCCTACATGTACTGTCTTCATATTTTGGGGGAACCTACTTATTTTTCTGTTTTGTAAAAACTGAACATATATCTTTAGACCTAGGAAATACAAGATACTGTAAGTATTTTAAGTTAGATTTAACAACTTGATATCTCTATAATTTATTAATGTTTCTGTGCCTTATATTAGACAAAGTATTTATTTCAGCAATAAACATAGTGATGATGACAGTAAAATAAAGCCTAGGAAGTGGAAATAATTTTAACTGAAGGAAATGTATACAGCAATAGATTACTGATAATTATATGTAAATCCCTTTGCTGTGAATCCCCTTGAATTGTAATTCGAATAGTAATCCCCACGAGCTGGGGATATTTTCATGTATGAATTTTAGGAAGTTATCATTTACTTTATAGTATAGTTATAATCATATTTCATTTAAGAAATTCAACTATGTGGGCCTAGCAAAAATTATAAATCATAGAGTGAGAGAGAACGAGACAGAGTAAGAGAGAGAGAAAGAATGCAGTGAGCATTGCCTAAAAGCAAGTGCAATATAAAACATCAGCTGTTCATTTCTGTGCATACCAGTTATCTTCGTCTTTTCCTAACATACAGTGAAAGATTAATTTTTTGCCAAAGAAGGCATTTCTTTGAAATTTACTTGTGGTTAAATTTAATATTAGAAAATATGGTAATGCAGACATAATTTTACTTCATTGTCTTTGTTGACCATGATGTACCTGTAACTTCTTGATTAAATATAGTTTATTTTTAATCTACATTGCAGGTACAAAATAATGCCACATAGTTTTGGCATTTTCTTTTCAGGATTTTCAACAATTATTAGCACATGCAACAATAGAAGCACAAATAAGGGATGGATAATTTCTTCACATGTATATAGAATATTCAGAATATATTATACATATATTAATAAATATATCTAGCATACAAAATTTAAAGTGATACAATTTTATCAGTGGTCTTTAGTTCTCAAGAGTTTTGTGACCTGTGATCAAATCAGACTGTAGAAGTAGCAGATTTGGAATGGTAAAATAGGAGGAACTCACTTTGGGACACATAATGATTTAGTTTTCTTCCATTAGTAAAATGATGAGTAGATACTTAACTATACAAATCTATAGGTGCACACCAGAAATTCAGGGACTTGTTCAGACTATTGATATAAATTTGAGTCAGACATATTCACATAGCCTTTAAAGTAAAAGATTGAATTAGATCACAGATAGAGTAATAGACATGGAAAGCAGAAGTTGATTAAGGATTGAGCTGTAGGGCCTTCCAAGCTTAGAAGTTGATATGGTCTGGCTCTGTGTCCCCACCCAAATCGCATCTTGAATTGTAATTCGAATTGTAATCCCCATGAGCTGGGGGAGGGACCTCATGGAAGGTGGTTAGATCCTGGGGGCTGTTCCCTCATGCTGCTATGTTATTCTCATGGTAATGAATGAGTTCTCATGAGATCTGATAGTTTCATAAGGGGCTTGTCTCCTGCTTTGTTCTGCACTTCTCTCTCCTACCACCATGTGAAGAAGAACTTGTTTGCTTCCCCTTCTGCCATGATTGTAAGTTTCCTGAGGCCTCTCCAGCCATGCAGAACTGTGAGTCAAGTGAACCTCTTTCCTTTATAAATTACCCAGTCTCTGGCATCTCTTCATAGCAACATGAAAATGAACTAATACAGAAGTGAAAAAGATGAGCAATAAAAACTAGGAAAGAGAAGTCTGAGAAATAGGAGAAAAAGCAAGTGAAGATAGTGCCTTGAAAGCCAAGTAAATAAAATGTTTCAACAAATAGAGAACAGTCATGTCAAATTCCTCTGACAAGTTGACTAAGACGAATAATGAGAATTGGCTGTGTTTATTATGTAGTTATAATGTTTATATATGTAGACATTTATTTAAGGCATTTATATATATGTACACATAGTTTAATATATATGTACACATCACGCAATTTCTACTTGCTATTTAGTGTTCTAAATGCTTTCCATATATTAACTAATTTAATTTTCTACCAATCATGTGAAGTAGATGTTCTTATTATTCCCATTTTTTAGATGAATAAACTAATACACACACACACACAGAGAGAGAGAGAGAAGTAAATTGCACAGGGTCATATATATCGTAAGCGGCACAGCAAAGTCAAATTCAGGCAACCTGTATACACTTTCCCAAGAACAGTTCTATTTCAGTTGTCTTCTCTTTTTAAAACTTTTATATATGTGTATTTCTGACCCTGTAACTCAGAGAGCCAAACATGGATCTGATATAAACACCATGTGCTCATAAAGCTTGAATTCCCTAGGATACCATTTTTTAAGGCAAAAAAAATGATTACAAACTCATGATATTCTTTATTTCTCCAAGAGTGGTTTTGGATTCTAATTAGCAATATTAATATTTATATTCAGAAAATATCTATTCTAAGGAATTGTTTCTGAAATTCTGTAATCATTAATACATTTTCATCAGTGTTTGTGACAGTGTACTAGACTCACATAGTGAGAATTATAAAATACAGTTTTCTTTTAAGATTTTTTAAAGTAAGCAGTAATCAGATCATGGAAGACTAGTTTTGACTTTAGGTTAATGGGAGCTTATTGAATTGATTTACATAAGGGAATATAGTGTGATTAAATTTCTACTTTTAGGTGTATAGATCATTCAAAGTGAAGACTGACTTAATGAGATAAAGCCTATAGTCCAGAAATACATCGAGGAAACCTCCCTAACAAGTCAGGCAAGGTATGTGATGGAAGTAGTAACTAATGATGGAAATAAGCAAACAAGCTTTAGGGCTATGTAAGGATAGAAATGGCATATTTAGTGACTAATTGACTGTGTGGCTCAAAGAACAAGGAGTAAAGAATAATCTCCAGATATTTAAGTAAATAAGTGGATGGTGATGTCATTCATTGGCATAGGGAAAAGAGCAAGGAATAAATGTAAGGACTAAAGCATTAAGAAAAAATTAATTTTATTTTTAAGCTGATTAGATTGAGATGCTTATAGAACTTTAAAGGAGATATTTCATTGTCAGTGACACAATGGACCTAAAGATCGGAAGATTGATTTGGGTTGGAGATACGTCTTTAAATCTAGGTCAAAAATCATTTCAGGGAAATCTTTACCATATTTCCATTGCTGGAAGGTACCCTTGTTAACTGTTCTTGTATCAACCATATAGGGACATAGAAACCATACAAGTTATTTCAACAGAATTTAAAACGATGAATTTTTATACAGTTGCTGAAAATCTGAAAATATAGAAATAGCAATTACGAGAAGTAGCTACCACTCTAAAGCTATCGAAATGAAAAGAAGAGTTTTGTTTGTCTAAAATTCTTATTGGTTAGGAAGGGGAACTGCCTAGTGAGTCCTTCTGAAGCTAAGAGGATAGTGTCCATAGAGGGGTTTCTGACCTCTGAGGAAATGGCACTCTACTGCTAGTTTTGTTATCTCTGATAGAGTTATAATGTGGCAGGCTCTGAAAATATGAGAAAATCTGAAAACTGGAAACAGTTGCTGATGAAAACAATTCCTGCTGTCGGGAGGTTTGTTTTTGTTTTTGTTTTTTGTTTGTTTGTTTTGTTTTTTAAACAAGAACAGCAAACAGAGAAAGACACCATTGACTTATCCCCATCTAGTGCCCCCTACTAGCAGAAGCTAAAAGAAATTTAACCTGCAAAAAATAAATGTAGTTATTCAAGTCCCTGCCCAAGCATCACAGAACCCATAAGGTTAGGCTTGTGAAAGAGAAAATAGCTTAATAGCAAAAATAGCTCTCATAGCATCCTATATTTTCCTTTCACTGCATTTGCAACAGTTTGCAATTATGTAGTTTGTAATAATATGTAGTTACATGTGACTTTTTATAGAAATAAGTGGAGGTAAACACTTGTCATCATTTCTAGATTGTGAGTACCAACAGAGCAGAGTTTTTGTACTTTGCTTAGCCATGTGTCCCCAGTATATAGCATAATACCTGTCTACAGTAAGTGCTATTTGTTATAGGAATATAAATATAAATAAATGAGATTTTGATCATAAAAATCTTTGGAAATAATTTAATAATCTAGTACAAAAATATTATTTGGACTGAATCTTAGAATGTGCATAGCATTAAAAACAAAATTTATGGTATGCTTTAATCATATGCCAGAGGTAGCAAATTGCCTATATAAGTCTCAGGTTTATTAATGTTAAACATTGAGAATTGTAGGAAAACACACAAAAAAATCATTAAACCTCTTATTGAATGAAAATATAAGAACAGTAACAAATTATGTGTTCAGATATGAATGAACATCTTTGAAACTCTTATATCAGAGAGCTTCTGTATTAGTATCATAGCCAGAAATAAGGCTAGCTGGGCTGGACAGAATAAGAACAATTCACACATTATAATAAAAGCCTACCTCTTGTTTATATTATTTCAATAGGAAGGTGAAAAGAGCAAATTAGAAGCAGCTGGCAAGCAACTGCCAAATAAAAAACCATAATCTAATTTATTAATATCCTGCTGACCTTATTTTCACGTTACTGTGAATACATAGTGGGAAAGCAGTGGTAGAATGCTTGTTTTTCTAGCATCATGGGATCCAGGGAAATAAGTACGTTGGTAATTACGGATATAAAGTCCTTATTTTAATTCTATTAAATTGAGTTTCTACTTTGGATTTTAAAAATCTATATTTCAGAAGTTGGTACACTCAACAAGCATTTAAAATTCTTCAGAATATAGCAAAGCTAGTACTAAAGACACATTTTCACGTTAATGGTTTCTGTCACTACCTTATCACCGAAAAATAAATGACAAATATAAAATTATTTAAATTTAATTTACCTGAAACATTTTTTATTATAGAATAAATGAGGCAATACAGAATTTTGTTCATTTAACTCCCACTTCAACTCACCTTATTATTTTCATGCAATCTTCACCAGTTTTAGGAGACAGGTCTTTGGTTAAATAGAAAACAGAAAAAGTAAAAAATTCTGTTGACACAAAAACATCAGGTTATGTTATAAAAAGAAGTTTCTGACCCCATGCAGACAGGTACAGACAATGGAGGTGGGAATGAAATGTTCTAGGAGTAAGGGGAATAAAGGAAAAATCAATGTTCAAGAGCCTGATTAGAGATTCAGGCAAAGTAAAGAACTTCTAAAAATTATACCGTGTTCTCTGAATATTTATGATTATCCAATAATATTTTTATATTAATGAACCATTTCTCCTTCTTTTCTAGATACTGCAGGGCATAATTATGAGATTAAGCTAATTTCAATCTATTCTCCATTAAAATCACATTTTCTGTTCTTGTTACTACACAAATGTCTTGTTAATAATTCTGGCTTTGTCTGAGCTTGGCTCTGGGTTGTTAGGTCAAGAATTATGAACCCACATTTGGGCCTCAGAAAAATGGAGCCATGATTTGAATAACCTATTCTTCAAATTAGGTATATATATATATAAATACAATGTTCTTAAAGAGAATCCTCTTCTTCTGAAAGTGAAGATTAAAATGAGTTGTTTTAGAAACCACACTAAGTGTTGGTATCTTTATAAAACTTTTTTCTGTATTACTTATAAGTATAATTATTTTACAGTTTATTTTGTATCAGGTACTGTACCGACCTTAGAAATACAAAAAAATAGGCCAGTCCTGGTAACTGATGCCTATAATCCCAGCAATTTGGGAAGCTGAGGCAGGAGGATCACTTGAGCCCAAGAATTAGAGACCAGTCTGGGTAACATGGCAAAACCACATCTCTACAAAAAATTCAAAGATTGGCCAGGCACGGTGGCACACACCTGTAGTCCCACCTACTTGGGAGGCTGAGGTGGGAGGGTTGATTGAGCCCTGGAGGTCAAAGCTGCAGTTAGCCTTGACCATGCCACTGCACTCCAGCCTGGGTAAAAGGGTGAGATCCTGTCTCGAAAATCAAAACAACAATTAAAAAAAAAACAGAAATACAAAAATAAATAGACAATTGAATTCTTGCCCTCAGGAATTCTCAGTTCAATGAGGAACACAGACATGTAAGATGTTAATAATTTCAAAACAATTCTACTTTAGATATGAGGTTTCAGAGAGGGGGTGATTGTTTCAGACAAAAAGCTTACATGGCTCCCCAATTTCCAGAATGGTTTTATTCCGTCCTCATGACCCATCTGCCTACAAATCTGTCCAGTGAACAACAGAGAGGACACTCGTCCTGAGAGTGCATGCCAGCTCGACCAACACAATGCCAGGAGTTTCCAGCCTCCCACCATTTCTAGATGGTGGATGGAACAATGGATTATGTGGCATTGGATCTGGCACCAAGTAAGGTGTCAATTGTAAGACAGCAATATAAGGTATCAAATGATGCAACCTGCAAGGGCAGAGATTTAGTTTCCCATGGGTGACCTTTGACCAATGGAAAACAGGAAATATGGTGGAACATTTATCTCAGCTTTCCACAGGTGAAAGAATAGGTGGAATATTTTTATGTGACGGGAATTTTTAGAATCCTTCTTATTAAGAAATGGAGTCCCTATTTCTTTCAGATAAATTTATTATAGGATAATAAATGAGTACCTGACTAAATGCTCCAGAGGGGCCCAGATGTTATCTCCTTCACCTAGCAATTAAAAATGCACTGGTAAATTGGGATTCAGCATTTCTGAAAACCAATGCTGGCAGCTAACTACTATAAGCTAGAGTTTTTGGTGAGGGATGCCACCATTAGCTTGAACCCCCTAATATCAGTGGAGAATCATATAATTCTGTAATGCAAACTAATGACAGTAGTTAACCATCAGAAACAAAGGTAGACATAATTACCGCAATGGACTATAAAGTCAAAGTGACAATCAGAGAGCCTTGAACCACAGGAAACTATGGAAGTGGCTAATGGGTATTCTTAGGAAAGTTTTTAGATACCTGGGTGTCTGGGACATACTGGAATATCCACTTTGATATAAATAAAATGCTGTTTTATTTGTATAACCAACAATTTAGAAAGAGGTAGAGTACCTTTGGAGCCTCTTCAGACTTTGAAGGCAGCATATATTTCAATTTGGAATATTGTTCCAAACATTTATTGGGCAACCAAGCAGCGTGGAAAATTTGAATGAGTTCCAGAGCAAGACAGAGCTTTGCAGTAGATTTAGGCTATCAGTGCAAAGTTCTCTGATTCAGGTGTCATATGATTTAGCAGATCTATGTTGCCAATAATACCCTAAGTAATAATATTGGCATATTCAAATTTAAAAGTCTTAGCATTCTGGAGCAGGGGTATGTGGTCTGTGGCCAGAAAATAATCTATTCATAGAAGTCCTGGTGTCCCATTGTCACTAGATTGAGCCTCAGCTTCTGACCATGAGACATACCAAAAGACTGCATGACCTGAGGTTTATATCATGAGCTAGGTCAAAAGACTGTGTGACCGGAAGTTTATGTCATCAGCTAGGTGTTATTCTCTGAGTAAAAAGGTGTGGATTTACAACAACAAACTATTGTGTGATGGAAAAGGTATATTGAGGACTGAGTTTGTGCAGGTCCAGAATTCACAAACAAATCATCTCAAAAGAGTGGCCTAGACTGCTGGTCTACTACCGCATTACTAAATTTCCCTCACTGCACACTGATGGTCTGTTCCCTTTGAATAATGAACAAAAGAGGAACAGACTCTGCCAGATTCACAGATCAGCTGGCATAATATGTTAGTGCTGTCATGGATAGCTGTCATGGATAGCTGAACATGGATGGCTGTCACATGACAACTCTATCTGACTGTCTGTAAAAGATGGTGTTGGAAGGGAAATAAGAGTAAGGAGCTGTGGGAAAACTTGGCCACCCACTTCATGTGGAGGGAGCATTTATCTAAGGTACATTGTAGACTGACTCATGGGCAGATTTAAATGGTTTACTGAGGTACTTAAGGATCCAGAGTTGCCCCTTCACAATAAAGTTGAAGATGAATGTGTCTAGAACTCAGGAAGTTCACTAATGCTTCTCTTTGTTGTTCCTTGTTCAGTAAAGAACACCAATAAGTGATAACAACCACCACAACACAGGATAGGGCTAGCAAGAATTCTAAAAACTAAGAATGAAGATATGGCAAATGTGAGCCAGACCATCTGACGTACTAGCAAAATATGAGATGAACTAAAATAGGTAGAGGACAAGGACGATGATGAATGTAAGTTATGATCACAAGACCACATAAAGCAGCAAAGACTGTATCTTATTTTAACATCTCCTTTGCTGAAGTCTTCTAGGATATTATAACTGGCCTCCAACTTGAAGAATGGTGTACTTCCCCTTTGAGAGAAGGAGTGAGAATATCTTTATTCTCATAAAAAAGCGTAAGCTTAATATTGTAAAATGGAATCTATATACAGTGGGAAGACATGAGTGCATTGAGTGGCACAAGAAGTAGACTGTATCAGACAAATCTTATTTGCCTATTTTGTTTTGGTTCTTTCCGTCTGAATACACTTTCTACCTCTTGGACCGTGCTGCCACAATCATGGCATAATCACTTGTTCTGGGACAGCAAAGCATAATCAACCTGGGTTTTTTGTTTTGTTTTGTTTTGTTTTGTTTCTGGATCTTCTCACCAGATTCAAATCTTAGTGAAATGCCATAACAGGGTTTGTGGTATTATGAAATAATGAACAATCACCTATGTGATTCTCCAATGCAAATTGGATGTGAGGAGAGGTTACTATTGCATGAGGTAAACTTCAACCAATTGGTAATAGGAGATAAGAGGGAGTTTGGAAAAGAAATTACCCTTCCGTCTTCTCTTTCATGGGATACTCCAAAAGGCAGTTGCTCACTGGTCTGCATGTCAAGTAAATGTGACTGTTTGTGACCTACTGTTGTCTTGCAAATTAATACTTTTATAATTTCTTACACCTGTCTATACTGCAATCTCTGAACGTAAATTGTGAAGATTTCATGGACATTTGTCAGTTCCCAAAACAATACTTTTATAATTTCTTACGCCTGACTTTATTGCAATCTCTGAACATAAATTGTGAAGATTTCATGGACATTTATCACTTCCCTAATAATATTCATATAATTTCTTATGCCTGTCTTTTCTTTAATCTCTTAATCCCGTTATCTTCGTAAACTGAGAATGTATGTCACCTCAGGACCACTATTGTACAAATTGATTGTAAAACATGTGTTTGAACAATATGAAATCAGTGCACCTTGAAAAATAACAGAATAACAGCGATTTTCAGGGAACAAGGGAAGATAACCATAAGGTCTGACTGCCTGTGGGGTTGGGCAGAATAGAGCCATATTTTTCTTCTTGCAGAGAGCCTATAAATGGATGTGCAAGTAAGAGAGATATCGCTGAATTCTTTTCCCAGCAAAGAATACCCTGGGGAAGGAATGCATTCCTGGTGGGAGGTTTATAAACAACCGCTCTGGGAGTGTCTGTCTTATGCAGTTGAGATAAGGACTGAAATACACCCTGGTCTCCTGGAGTACCCTCAGGCTTACTAGGATTGGGAACTTCCAGCCCAGTACATTTTGGTCAGACCAGTTCTCTGCTCTCAACCCCTGTTTTCTGTTAAGACGTTTATCAAGACAATACATGCACAGCAGGCCATAGACCCTCATCAGTCATTGTAATTTTGCCTTTGCCTTGTGATCTTTATTGCTCTTTGAAGCATGTGATCTTTGTGAGCTACTCTCTGTTCGTACACCCCTTCCCCTTTTAAAATCCTGAATAAAAACCTGCTGGTTTTGTGGCTCAGGGGACATCACGGACCTACCGATACGTGATATTACCCCCAGAGGCCCAGCTGTAAAATTCCTCTGTTTGTACTCTTTCTCTTTATTTCTCAGCCTAGCCTACACTTAGGGAAAATAGAAAGGACCTATGTTGAAATATTGGGGGCTGGTTCCCTCGATATGTTTCAACACATGAATTTTGGAGAGTACATAAACATTCAAACTGTAGCAAATAATCTTCTGGGGAGCTGTGTGTGGCCTACCCCAAACGTTTCTGGTAATCAACTCCCTATTTTCCATTAAAATTCATATGATTAAATAAAAATCTTTAATTTTATAATACCTAACACAAACTCTACTCACACTGATTTGCCCTAACCTAAAGGTGGGCATCTGAGCCAGACTAAGCTAATCTGAGTTCCTTCTTGGGCATTTATGAACTGAAATCAAGAAAAACCTCAGTCCTGTGAACTGAAAGTATAAGTTATAAAAGCCAGAAATTGCCATTAACTATGTTTTTGGTCATAAAAAAATTTTTTAATTGTAGGGAGAGAAAATTTGATGGGTATAAAGGAGCAGAGGTGAGAAATTGAGACAGATTCTTGATTATTGCTAAAGCACAGTTTCTAGTCATTGACAAGGCCAACTTCTACCTTTTCCTTAAGGCAGGCCTGATTTGATGTTTTCAGTCAATAAATTTCCAATTTTTCTTAAGGTAATTTTAGTTGTACTTTTGTTAATCATATCTAGAAAAAAAAGATTATATAAGCACTTAGCCCTGTCGTTATCATATAGAATATACTTTATAAGTGGCAATACACATATTTGTAAAATAGTTAATTCATTAAAAATAGTAAAAGGTAAAATTTTCAAAAATTTTCTGCGGCATACGTGACACTTTTGTGTAACTGTTTATTGTAGAAACACTGGTGTATTAACTACAACCTTAAAGGATTATTTGTGAGAATAATCTCCCTAAGGGAAGAAACAGCTAAGAATGGAGTCAAATAATGAGAAAGATGGACATTGACTTATATGATATCTCTTTCAGCTCTTCCCCAGTGGTTATCCTAGTTGAAAATGACAAAGAAAATCCTAAGGCATTTTCTGAAAAAATTAAAAAAATATACAAATTAAAGAGAATTTCCAGGCCTTTGGTCTATATTTCATCATTTCATATGTCAGTTTTTAGTATCAAAGAAATGTTCAGCTTGAGCATTGGAAACTAAAATTTTGCAGAAAGAATGCTTTCAAAGTTAAATGGATATAGGAATGTGACCACATAAGATGAAGCAATCTACTATGTCTTCAGTGACATTAAGGATTATTATCTTCATTTTTTGCTGCTAAAATGAATATTTGGGCATAAAAATTATATTCAGAGACATAAACAAGTGAATAGTTGAGAAACTGTCATATAACAGTGACAGTTACAACATCACTTTATTGAACTTTGTACATTTTACACTCTCCTAGAAAAAAAATTAGAGATTTATAAAAAGCCACTGTTAGAGTATAGTAAAATATAGTAAATGTTACAACACTTAATTTTATCAGGTAACTTAGTTATGTAACATAATATGACAGCAAATGCATAGTTAGCTCACAAAGCCATAATTATAAACTTGGAGGATGAAACATAATTTTTCTTAATATATGAAAGACAATGTATTCTTCACTTGAGACAGAAGAATATTATGCTCTCTTAACCTATGCTTTCAGCACAGCCACTCACAAAGAATTATTAAGAGACAGTTATTTGAAGATGATTACTGGAATCTAAGTGATCGTACAAGCTAAAGCACATACTAAAAAATATTGTTAATTTTGGCAATTTGAATTCAGTTGAAATCAGATTGAAGGAATTGCCCAAAAAGGAAATTAAAACTCCCAAATACAAGAAAATAGTGCATTGTTGAAGGAAGTGTTCAAGGAAGATATAGCAACAAGATATGGCAACATTAGAATCTGCCACATCTTCTCATGTTTCTTGTAAGAAAACTCACTCTCTAAGACAATTTCCATCAGTTTTTAAGCATCTCATCCCTATTTACTCATTCATTTCTTCTTTCTCTACTAAGCCCTTTCATTTGTATCCTTGGAGCACAAAGTTTATGTTGAGCCATAATCTCCCTGGGTACATTTCCTTCTCCTAGCCTCAGCTGGCCATGATGCTTGAAAACATATCCAAGTGATATTAGCTCCCTCCCACCACACACAACACTGTGCCAGGCCAGGGGATGGACCATACAACCTCCTTTATGGCCACCACCCAAACATTGCCATTTCTATCAATTTTCTGTCTTATAAAACATGAGTTCTGTTGAAAATTGTGTCATCTAAGTACATCACAATTACAAACATGTTACTGTGAGCTCTCCTAGTCATTCTGTCTCTTCACTGAAGGCTTAAGCACTGTGGCCCAGTTTTCTTTCTCCACAGCTGCATCTATCCTCACATTCATACATATTGTCTATATTGTTGGAAACGACACATCTAATACTGTGGCCTCTGTGGTCCTTTGATCTCTTCATAGCCAGCCACCTTTCCTTCCATCTTACTCCCAGGGTACCATAGTCTCCATCTCTCTGCATGAATTTACCTGCTTATCTCTCCATTTTCTTTGCAGCTTTCTCTTGCTTCCTCTGATTACTCTCCTTTCTGTTCCTCAAACAGGAATATTTTTATACATTATAAAGTCTGAATTGGGCTAAAGGACTGTTGCCCAGTGAAAGATGTTAATAACATAATCTTTTACAGACTCTTTAATTTGCCCATTGTAAGGAAAGTTTATTTGACTTACGATAATAAGAGAGAGGACACAGAACAAAATTTTAAGTAGTATACATTACCCTGGGCAACATAAGGAGAGCAACAGTTTTAAGAGATGATCATATGTCCATAAAAAAGACTAAATAAAGAGGTCAAATAAGAGTTTTATTTAATTTAAAGAAATTGTGTTTAATATTCACCAATTAAGCTGAAAGAATGTCTAAAAAGATGCAGACAATAAATATTACCAATTAATTTTTTAATATGGAAGCCTTAAATGTGGTCATAAAAATGAGTTTATTGAAAACATAGGAGCAGAACCCAGATAGCTAGACTCTTAGCAACTATTTATTATAAATCGTTGATTAAAGTTATTTCAATAAAAAAACACATGGATTTTGAAGATATTGTCTTCTAATAAATGATGTTATTTTAAGTAAGAATTAGGAGGTAATTGCACTTAACATGTTTGTTAACAATTTTCTTCTGGACTTAGTTAAGGACTTAATCGGGAATGATTTTATTATATCATTCAGTTTTACATGAGTAACAGATCAATGATAAATGGTAAACACTCAACAAGCACTGTCATCAATAGCTTTATGTACAATTTATCATTAAAAACATCTTCTTAACTAAATGAGACACATTTTCTCTGCCTTCTTAAAGGAGGGCATATTAAATTAAGCCCCTTTTATAACTTTAAAATTTTAAGAAGTAAATTCTATGGTTTATATTTCAGGTTTCACATACCTATGGTGAATATCCATAACATTAACATTATGTTTACAATGATAAAACTAAGCTTACAGAGAGTAATTTAACAATTGTTTACTAATAAAATTACTGAGCAAAACTGAGTACTTTAAAATATCAACCATAAGGTTGTTATAGGATATATATAGATTGTAAGAAAGTCAGTACAGTGAAGCAAATTAATAAATCTAGGGATCTCATGTACAACATGAGATCTCTAGGCGTATTAATGAAATTGTACTGTGTTGGGGATTCATGCTAGATGCATAGATTTTTAGCTACCCTTACCAAAAAAAACAACAATGAGAGGTATAAGTAAATTAAGCCTTTGAGCAACTTTTAGATTTGACTTTAAAAAAGAAATAAGATATCAAATGTGTATCAGTTCACATTAATTTCTTTACATTTTTGGAGAATTAGAAAGGATCTAGTTTAGTTTTATTCATAACTTGGGCATGGATAATCTTGAAATTATTAAATTTAAATACTCTATGTTTAATATTCTATGTTAAATAGGATAGCATCGAAATCATTCAACTATTAGCTAAATATTTTTCAGGAGTTACTCTTTGCCAGAGTCTGCACTAATATATGTATATGCAAATATCTCCTTTCAACACCTTATAAGGCATATACCTATGGTGAATACCCAAAAAGTTAGCATTATTTTAATTTTACAGATGAAGAAACTAAGCTTACAGAGGGTAATTTACCAATTATTGACTGATAAAATTACTGAGCAAAACCAAGTACCTGAAAATATCAAGCAAAATATCTAATTTTTTTACTGATTTTATTTGGATTTTAAGAAAGTGTGTGTGTGAACATCTAAGTGTGTATATAACATATTTCGTGTTGTGCAGATACAGCTTGATGACTGCCTTTTAATTTTGTCTTGTGTATATTGTCTTCTATAGTTGGGATGCCTTAATTCACACGAACTATTTATTTTAATATTGCATTTCCATATAAAAACAATAATTATTATATTAACAGTCTGCCTATGCCACATATTTTTTTTTTATGAAGATAAAATGGCCAAGTGTTTAGGGTGCCATTCTCTGAAGTAACATTGCAGCCTTGAGCTGTTAAAATGTGCTGTGGCAAATTTCTGGTTGAGATAATGAAGCTTAAGTTTCCGAGCCTCTTACTTGCATATATCTCGTCCAATGACATACGATGGTCCTAGCAATGTGTTCATGTGGTCATTTTGTCCTCCCAGTTTTGGGACACGAAAATCATATAATTGTGTGGTCTCACAAGCACTAGTATTCACCGCTAACTAACAACATTGACACCTTGGTTGGATCCACACAGTTCAGATACTTCTGACAAATCTCACAGAGTTTTGTTTTTGTTTTGCTTTCTATGGCTCCTCAGACTTTTCTGTATTTCTAGACTTCCATATTTCTTACATAATTGAAAGAACAACATATTTTTAAACGATTATTGAATTGATGTAAAACTGAAAATATAAATGCTCTAGTCCTGATTCTGCCACCAACTCTGTGTGATTTTAAATAAATTACTTCTCTGAGGCTTGGATTTTCCAGCTGTAATTACTGGCATTCTCTTCTGTTCTGAGAGTCTGTGTCTTCTCTCAGGGTGCAATTAATGTTAGTATTAGGGTGGTCTGGCTGTAGATAATTTTGCTTTTTAATTTTTTTCTTATTTCCCATACTTCTCTTTGTAGTGATTTGTCAACAGTTTGTCTTTTTAAAAAATAGTTAAGTAGTGTTAATTATATTAACATAGTTGTGCAACAGAGTTCTAGAACTTTTTCATCTTGCCAGACTGAAACTCTGTATCAAATTGAAATATAACTCTCCATTTCCCTGTCCCCCAAGCACCTGGCAACCACCAAATTTCTGTTTCTATTAGTATATTTTATATACATGGAATCATACAGAATTTGTCTTTTCATGATCAGCTTATTTCACTTAGGAATTTTGTCCTCGAGTTTCATTCATATTGTATCATGTGACAGAACTTACTTCATTTTAAGGCTGAATAATATTTCATTATATATATATTTATGTATTATATATTTTTATATTATATTATATATAATATATATTATAATATATTATATTATATATAATATATTATATTATATATAATATATATTATAATATATTATATTATATATAATATATATTATAATATTATATGTTACATATTATATGTATTGTATATAATATATAAATATATATAATGAAATACATATATATGCCACATTTTCTTTATACAATAATCCATGGATAGATATTTGGATTGCTTCCAAATTTTATCTATTGTGAATAATGTTACAAATATCTCTTTGAGATCCTGTTTCAATTCTTTTGGATATATGCCCAGAAGTGGTATTGCTGGATCATATTGTAATTCTATTTTTAATTTTTTGAGTAATCTTCATACTGTGTTCCATAATAGCTGCACCATTTTACATTTTGCCAACAATGCACAAGCAATCCAATTTCTCCTCATCTTCATCAACACTTTTTTAAACTTATAGGGCTGGGTGTGGTGGCTCATGTGTATAATCTCAGCACTTTGGAAGACCGAGACAGAAGATCACTTGAGCTCAGGAGTTTGAGCCTGGGCAACATAGTGAGACCTCATCTCCACTAAAAATTGAAAAAACAAACAAACAAACAGGCATGGTGGCATGCACCTGTAGTCTCAGTTACTCAGGAGACTGAGGCAGAAGGATCACTTGAGCTCAGAAGAGTGAGGCTGCAGTAAGCCACGATCACGCCACTGCACACCAGCCTGGGTGAAAGAGCAAGGCTCTCTCTCTCAAAAAAAAAAAGGAAAAAAAAAAGAAAAAAAAGGTAGTCATTCTATTGGATGGGTGTGAACTGTTACCTCATTGTACTTTTGATTTTAATTTCTATTTTATCACTAATCAATACCAATGCTTATTGGCCATTTGTATATCTTCTTTGGAGAAATGCCTATTCAAGTCTCGCCCATTTTAATTTCTGCAGTTGAGTTGTAGGAGTTCTTTAAATAATCTAGATGTTAAAAGATTTCCTCCCATTTGGTAGGTTGGATTTTCACTCTGTTGATTGTGTCCTTTGATGCACAGAAGTTTTTAAAAATTTTTTGATGTAGTTCAATTTATCTATTCCTCTTTTTGCCTGTGCTTTTAGTATCATATGCAAGAAATCATTGCCAATCCCATGTTATGAAACTTTTCCTCTTAGTTTTCTTCAGGAATTTTATAGTTTTTGCTGTTACATTTAGGTCTTTAATCTATTTGAGTGAATTTTTGTAAATGGTGTAAGGTAAAGGTCCAACTTGATTCTATTGTATGTGGATATATAGTTTTCTCAGTACCAGTTGTTAAAGAGAATATTTCCCATTGCGTGTCTTGGCATCTTTGTCAAAGATCATTTGATCTTATATTTGAGGATTTATTTTTGGGCTCTCTATTCTGTTCCATCAGGGTCTATATCTATCTTTATGTCAATACCACCCTGTTTTGATTACTATAGTTTTGTAATATATTTTGAAATTAGACATTTCCATACTTCCTATAATGCTTATATTACTTTTTATTTTACTAATAGTTGTACTAAGATATAATATACATAATATAAAATTTACTCTTTTAAAATGTACAATTCAGTGGTTTTTTAGTATATTCACAGAATTGTGCAAACATTATCACTATCTAACTTCAGGACATTTTAGTTTCCCCAGAAAGTTTCAAATAGATGAGATATTTCAATATGTGATTTCTTTTTGTGACTCACTTCCTTCTCTTAGCATGCTTTCAAGATACATCCATGTTGTAGCATTTATCTGTACTGCACTGCTTTTATTGCTAAATAATATTCAATTGTATGGATAAACCACAATTTGTTTATCTACTTGTCAGTTGATGGACATTTAAATTTTTTCTACTTTTTGGCTATTACTAATAAGAATAATGCCATGGCTGGGTGCAGTGGCTCACACCTGTAATCCCAGCATTTTGAAAAGCTGAAGTGGATCACTTGCGATTGGAAATTTGAGACCAACCTGGGCAACACAGAAAAACTTTGTTTTACAAAACAAACAAACAAACACAAATTTTTAATTAGCCAGGTGAGGTGGAATGCACCTGTAGTCCCAGCTACTAGTGAAGCTGAGGCAGGAGAATTGCTTGAACCCAGAGAGTTGAAACTGCAGCAAGCCATGATTATACCACTTTCTCCCAGCCAGGCTGATGGGGAGACCCTGTCTAAAACAAAAAACAAAAATCAGAATAATTCCATGGAGTTACTTTTAATTCAAGAATTAAAAGGGACCTGCTAAACTGTTTCCTGCAGAAAAAATATATTTAAATTTATAACTTTTAAATTAAGCATAACATGTTAGTCATAATTTCAAAATATGTAAATATTTAACTTCAATTTAATTCTAATATTAACTGCCAATTTCGTTTCTAACAGTGAACTTTGGATAGAATTAAATAGTTCAATGTTTCCTAAACACTAGCCCACTAACAAATGCCGCGCTTACTGGCTCAGAATCAGCTAAAAAATATGTTAGAAAACATGGCTCATAGGCCTTACCCCACAAAGTTCCAATTCTATCTCTGTGTTGGTAGGATTAGTATATCACTCAGGGTTCTCTGAAGAAAAAGAGAAATAAAGAACAGAGAGGAATAGAGAGAGACAAATTTTATTTTAAGCAATTGGCTCATACAATTATGAGAGTTGGCAAGTTTTAAAAACGTAGGGCAGGTCGGTAGGCTGCAAACTCAGGCAGGAATTCTCATTTAGAGTTAAACATAATTCCTTCTTTTCTAGGAAAGTCAGTTTTTGCTCTTTTAAGGCCTTTAATTGATTGAATGAGATTTGTCCTTTACTTGTAATTTCCTTTACTTGTAATTTCCTTTACTTAAAGTCAACTAATTGTAAATATAAATATACCTACAAAACATGTTCACAGCAACATCTAAACTAGTGTTTAACCAAATAACTGGCCATTATATTGTGTTCAAGTTGATGCATAAAGTTAACCATGTCAACAATATTTTTTTTAATTTAACGTTGTCTTAATGTTAGAAATGGCCTGTGAAAATCAAACATTTGTGACTCTAGTTCCTTTTTCAATTTTAATTCATTTGGAAATGAACACAACATTTAATATATTCTAATGAAGAATTCATTATTTAGTATTGTTTTAAAATTTGAAAAGCCTAATCCCTAACACACTTTTATTGATCATAGTTGCATTAATTGATGGCAATTATTATGGCTTGCTGCCTAATTTTTTAAAATATTACTTTCTACACACTTTGTTTTCTCTTAATATTTCTACGCATATAACTATTTTCCATGAAAAAGTACTTGGAAGAGGTATATGAGACAAAAATTTGAAAAGGTGCTTGCAAGAAGGAAAGAGATTCAAAATTTTTCACATTAGAGGAGAAAGATAGCCATTTGTTTCCCACCCCCACCCCCACGCCGCCACATCTCCCGCTGGTGCACACTTCTTCTTAACTGATACACGTGGATGTCAACAGTACTACTAGTGAGAGGAAAAGAATAGAAATATTCTCCAGGTAGAAATTATTCCCCTAAGTCCAAGTGGCAATTTCACTCTGAATTATGGCTAAGGTTCTAGAGGAAAATTTCCCCTTGCCTTCTGCCTATATGGAAGCTGAAATAACTATGAAATTATATTAGTAAGAACAATAGTTCAATCCTGAAGACTTTCTCTCCTGTAGATATGGCAAATGTTATGCAACTTTTATATCTGTAAACACATTTATCTAATTAATGTGCTACTAATCAGATGAAAAATCAGCCTGACATAACACAGCTAGAATAAGGTTTTTGAGAACAAGTCAAAATAGAACCCTGGCTTATAGATTTAAGCACAGTTTTGAACTGTTCATCTTAACAGTATTTTAAAAACAGATTTTTGGAATATGTTTTAAAAACCTCAACACATTTGCACAAATAATTCATAAGGTCCTAAAACAAATATCACTCATTGAAAATTCCAATATTATTAAATTCCTTTGAAAAAACACTTTGTCTCAAAACCATTGCTGATCTTAAAAAACAAAATTTATTTCTATCCCGATGAGAACTTGCAGGCATTTAATTCAAGGCACGTGGGTAAAAAACATGTTTATGACCAATAAAAAAAAATGAAAATGTCACTAACATCCATTCTAAACTTGTTATTTAAAATCTGGTATTGATGAGGGAATAAAGAAAAAATGTAACTGAAATTTGCTTGGCATAGGTTTGCCAATAAATCCTTAGTGGGATAACCAAAGTTATAAGATCTGAAGACTTCATTTTAAGGAGTATAGCAATATCATATGGAAGCTTTAAGAATGGGTAAAATGTAAAGCTTTGCATATTCTGTATATGGTTTATTTCAAATCTTGGTGTCACTGTTGATAAAATAATCATCAATATAAATACATAGTTTCTGTTAAATAGCTTAAAATATTGATGCAAAGTCACACTACAGAATTTAGGTGTCATGCCAAAAAAGAAAGCATTGTAACACAAGTTTGAGAATTTGTTAGAATTTTGATCCTGATGTCAGACAACAAAATACATGTAACATTCTTACTCCAGTTGGTTTGAAAATGACACTAATATACTTCTGTCATTTGTTTAATAAAATCATTTTAGTGGTATAACATGAAACATCAAAAATGAGCTCATAATCTTTGACTAAACAATGTCACCTTTCTCATTTTGGTCTTTATAGTCTTCTTTTTGAATGATGAATAGCAAGCAATCAATTAAAAAACAAACAAAAACTAAAAAGCAACAATGTAACAGATGCCCAAGACCCCACTTCCAAATTTTATTTCATTTAGGCTGATATGAAATTCAGGAGGCATTATTTTTAAAAAAAACTCCAGAATGATTCTATTGTGCATTTGCTTCCAGAATTTCATTTATAAGTCTATGTATACAATTATATTACGTACAACCAAAGATAATATTAGCCCCTTCCTTGAAATTTTTTGTGTCCCATCACTTACTCTTCTCTAATTATTAATACTATGTCTAATACATCCAGAATTAAATTAGCATGGTATTTGGCAACTTTTTTACTAATTATAGGGAAGATGTTTCTACTGTTTTGCCATAAAGCATTAAGCTATATTGAGATTGGATTTTATTATATTAATATCAAGTTTTCTTCCTTTTTAAATGTTCTTTAATGCAGAGAGAATAATAGTAGAACTGACCACTTATTATTGTTTAGATGAGAGCGTACACAGCAACCATTTGACAAAGTTCTTTAAAGACAGCACTTAGCAACATATGTAAGAAAATAATATAATCTATTAAGTACCATTATTTGAAATTCAAGTAATGCATTGTCTTAGAAAAAATATGGGTGTATTAATCCTCAAATTAATTCTACCTTACACTGGTTATGACTTAATAATACTTTATTTATTTCTCTTCTTTCCATGAAAATGTGATTAAATATGCTAAATCAATGGTTCTATTCCAGATTGTTTCATTATACACATACAAAACATACAGTATTAAAAATTTCAGAGATGCACATAACAGTGTAATTAATAGGTAATCCATAAATAAATTTATACATTCAAAATAGTTTAAATATAAAATGCAACTTAAAATAATAAAAATAACTCAAGATTGCATACTGAATAATTATATTTTATCAAAATTTAGTATATATTTATTATGTGCTAAATGCATTCATGTGAACAAGTAAACTAGTAGCTCATACAGGGATTGGAGGAACCTAAACTCTTATGAATAGTATAGATCTTTTAGTCATTAAAATTTACTATCCAACCTTTTATTTCAGTTTCAACATCTAAAGAACTCAGAAGTCATAATTCCCATCTTTATAACAAGAAAACAGCTGAGCAAACTGAAAATCAATGTCTTGTCTGTCTTTAACCTGTCAGAAAACTGAGGTTGCAGAACATATCACTAAACCTGGAGAGTCAGTTAAATCCAGGGTTGCACTCAGGTATGCTTACCTGGAGCAGAAGCTACTGAAGCGATATACTGGTAAGAAAGCAAAATGATAATTTTGACAAATTGCTTGAAGCTGAGTGTGCACTAGCTTTAGAGAAACAAAAAATAATATTCCCTGGTATCCACAGTCTTTCATGAGCACCCAAATGCATGGGTGTTATCTCCAGGAACGCCACCAGGCTTTTACAGCAAAGAGCCAAGAAATGTCCCCTTATGGCTGTGGAGAGAGAGGACAAAAGCAGTTACTTTGAAACACACCCAGAAACTATACAAATAGCTACTCTTTAGGGAAAGAGACTAGCAGAGCCTTATCCCAGCTGGGGGATGGGCATTTGTTCTCTAGACTCAGATAGCCTTCCTATGTCACCTAAGAGATAGAGGTGGGGAAGCTAAGAATCAACTGTAAAGATTCTAACCCAAGGATGTAGTACTGTTAAAGGACTGAGATTTAGTAGTAAAATTATATCACACTAACCCTTCCTCAAATCTTACCAGCATACACCAACAGGGCTGCAGTAGAAAAGCAGTGGATTACAAAAAAGACCTGCAGGATGTAGACTTTGTTTAAGGAGAGACTTTTAGGGAAGCTCAAAGACAACAGGGGAGACAAAATCAAAAACAGTAGTGGAATGTATAGCTTCTGATGCCTACAGTTACAGAAAACATTAAGCAAGCCCAGCTTCAGGCCAGATTAACATACAACCATATATTAAAAATCTATTTAACCCAGGTTCTATTATCCAATACATTATGTCCAGCTTTCAACAAAAAAATTACAAATCATGCTGAAAGACAGGACAAACATAATCTGAAGACACAAAGCAGGCAAGAGAACCAGACTCAGATATGACATAGATTTTAGAATTAAAAATAACTACTTAGGGAATTTAAAAGACCTGTGATTAATATGTTGAAGGCTCTCATGAAACAAGTAGAAATTGTGAAGGAACAGATGGGTAATAGGAGCAGAGAGATAGAAACTCTAAGAAATAAGTTAAAGAAAATGCTAGAGATTGTAAACACTGTAATGGAAATGAAGAATACCTTTGAAGGGTTTATCAGTAGATAGGACACAGCTGAGGAAAGAATCAGTGCACTTGAAGATATGTAAATAGGTTCTACCCAAACTAAAATGAGAAGAAAAGAAGGGCAAAAATCAGAAAACACCATCCAAGGACTTTGAGACAATTTAAAATGTATAAAATATGTGTAATTGGAATACCATAAGTAGAGTGAACAGAGGAAAAATTTTTTTGAAGTCTCCAACTATAATAGTGGATTAGTCTATTTCTCTTTGATAATGACTGAGAACTTTCAAAAATTAATGGCAGAGGCCAAAGGGAAGGTCTAGGAGGTTCAAAGAACACCAAGCAGCATAAATATAAAAACAAATTATACCTAGACGTATTATATTTAAACTGAAGAAAACCAAAGATAAAGGGAAGATCTTGAAAGAAACTGAGGTAGGGAGAAATTTTACCCATAGAGTAACAAGGGTAAGTAAATGTTGTGGACATATCACCAGAAACTACACAAGCAAGAAGAGGGTTAAGTGAAATATTTAATGTGTTAAAATCAAAGCAAAACCAAACACCAACCCATAATTTTATACCCAGTGAAATTATCCTTCAAAAGCATAGTCATATTTCCAAAAGCAACACAAAGGAAGGCCCGGGTCATTACCTATGAAGACAAACTAAAACCCAAATTTCATACCACTGTACACACTTCAAAGTGGCCAAAACTGAAAATACTGATAATACCAGCTCTTAGTATTATGTAGTAACCTGAAACTTCATAAATTTCTCATAGGTGGATAAATAACTGGAATCACTTTGGAAAACTGTTTGACACTGTATACTGAATCTGACCATATATATATCTATGAGCAAGAAATTCCTCTCTCCAGAGATTGACTACACAAGTGTATTAAATATGCGTAAAATATTTATAACATCCATATGTACCTATATGGGTCCAAAGTGAGGAGAATTGAAATGTCTGTTGATACTATAGCAACTAAAATGAACACTATTTTGCTACATTGGTAACTTACATGAATCTCACAACATAATGTTATGTAAAGAAATCAAACAAAAATATAAATACTATATTACTCTAAATAAGTTCAAAAACAGATAAATTTTTAATGTACTCTTAGAAGTTTCTAAATTCAGTCACTTTTACCCTATCTTGTATTAAAATATTCTATAATAATTTTTCTGTCAAAAATTTATTTTAAAATTTGGTTGACTTTTATACTTAAAATATCATTGCCATTCACCAAATACCAACTTTTCTCTTCATTTTAGAAGACAATGTAAATACATGCTGTTTCATTTTAACACATAAAAATAAAAACCTAAATATTATAACAATTGAGTAATAACAAAATTATAGTAATATTTTATTAAATATATAAATGATAAATTATAACACATTTATAATCATTTAAAATAATTTTAAATGATTTTTAATCCATTGCTAAAATTACTTATTATAAAGAACAATTGTTTCATCATTTAATATTAATGTATTACTTAGCTAAGAAATACACAAACAGGCAGGGTGTGGTGGCTCACGCCTGTAATCCTAGCACTTTGGGAGGCAGAGGCAGCGGATCACCTGAGGTCAGGAGTTCGAGACCAGCCTGACCAACATGGCGAACCCCTGTCTCTTCTAAAACATAGAAAATCAGCTGGGCTTGGTGGCGCGTGCCTGTAATCCCAGCTATTCCGGGGGCTGAAGCAGGAGAATCGCTTGAACCCAGGAGGCGGAGGTTGCAGTGAGCCCAGATTGAGTCATTGCAGTCCAGCCTGGGCAAAAAGAGCAAAACTCCATATCAAAAAGAAAAAAAGAAAAAGGAAATACACAAAGAAACACGTACACACACCACTAACATATAGCATCAAAAAAATCAATTTAAATCTCTCGTGATATTATGGAAATGTGAAAATTATTTGAGGAAGGCTGAAATATCACTTGGAATTAGTTTTTATCTTTTGAATGTACTATTTGGTAATGTCCAAATAATTAAGGGGAAACCACTCATTACTGGATTTAGTTTGGAAAAACACATATGAAAAACTTCTATTAATATATTTTGATTTATAATATTAGAAATCATTTTAATTAATACTTTAGATTATGTTGCATTATGGATATTCAGGCAATGAAAACACTGTATTTGTTGCTTGGTTGAATAGAGTGAGAAAACATAATTTTTCACCTAGAGACCTAGGGCCATTGTGTTTGAAGTGCATTATCAATAGTTGACATTTATTAATCCATTATGCTGGATACTATGGTAGGTGCTTAGCTAGTAACATTTTAATTATCATTGCAACCTTACAAAGTAAGCATTTTTATTATTTGCATTTTTGAGTGGAAGGAAAGAAACAACATCAAAAATGTGGTCAGAATATCACACAGCTCTCTAGTAGCAGATCCAAGATACCAACCTGAGCCAGGCCCACTCAAGACTTGAACTTTCAACTCCACATTCCTTTGCCCTGATGAGCTGATTTAAAGCAGTGGCTAAAAATTGACCTCAGTTTCTTTAGTGCATGAGCAAGAGAGGATTTTAGAAAAACTTAAGCCTAACTTTTGAGGAAAACCAGTATTTAGGAGAAATATTAACATTTACATGTGAACATGTAATATTTACATATGTCAGGCACTATTTCCAAGTGCTTTACATATTTATTTAATCCTTATAAAAATCCTGGAAGATAGGAACTATTATCCCCATTTTATCTGTGAGGGATCTAGGTAGCAGTCATTAAGTAACTTGCCCCAGATTCAAATTGCACAGCTGAGAATCAAGTCCAGAGTCTATTATCTTAATTACCAGGCTATATTACCCCAGAGCAGAAGAGGAGAATATGAAGATGGAGCAGTAGTAGCAGGTGAAGTATAATAGAATAAAAAATAAAGTAATTCTTAATATGAAAGTCTTGGAAAATGTAAAAGACTTAAGAATTAAGCTATACCTTTAAGGAAATGTAGGGCATCGGGGCGTCCACAGACAGGAAAACAGGCAGAGAAGACAAGACACAGCAGGAGCCTAAGTGGGCTAGAAGAGCCTGAGAGCACAGTGACAGGTCATTTGTACTCAGTGGAAGGATGGAGGGCGAGGTTAGGAGAAAAGGTCAGGCAGGTTCGGACAAAAAAAAAACACAGACATTAGAGAAAGAATTTGTGCTTTATGCTGTTGAAGATAAAAAGAATTATTCATGATAATTGAAATAAGATTTGGGTTTTAGAATTTTCTAAACTATGTTGATAATATAGTTTGATTCTAATCATCTTTGTTTATGTCTATTTTCCAAGGAAAAGTATAAATAGAACCTCCTTTTCCTCTAAAAGATTCTGAGTTAGGATAATGTATTTTATGGCCACTGTAAGTTGGATCAATGGTTATACTTCAGATTCACAAAATTCAAAATTTTGACATTATCAAATGTCAGTGAGTTTCAAAGGTTTTAAATTGGAGCAGTCAATTTGAAGAACAACCTCACAGTAACATTAAAGAAAAAAAAGAAAAAAAAAAGGAAAAAAAGAAGTACCAGGCTTCAATACCTGCCCCAGGGAAATGTGATAATGTGCATAATGAGGCATACAAAAAGACGTTAAATGTCTCATTCCATTATTGAACCATTAAAAAAAAAACTCACTTCCAATACATAAAGTGCCACATAGACTATATTATATATTGTATATATTTACTATACTTTATTATGCACCTGTCAAAAAGACAAAGAGACATTCTCATGAGTACTGACATAAAAAAACTAAAATAAATAATAGTATTATTTTATTTCCTCTATTGATGTAAATAAGTAATAAAAGACTAAAGCGAAACATGCAACTCATTAAAGAAGGGCCTGGAATAAGGTTTGTGAGCCAATTAAAGAAGTGTTTATTCTACAAATAAACGTTCAAGAGAACATGAACTATAGTTGTGGCTGTATACATAAAAAGTAGTAGACCGATTCAAGGAATTACATGAATAACAAGATTATTAATTTAAAAATTATATCAATTAACAAGGTTCGGACCTTCATTTATATGGATAGTGAAGGAGTGGGCTGATTCAAATTAGGAATGCTCCAAGTTTTGAACTTGCATTCCTGAGAAGATGATGATCTAATTTCTGAAATATCGATGGCAGAAAATATATGAAACTGAATACAACACACTTTTTTTTTACATTCTTTATTTCAAGCCTTGACAGATCTGCCATATATAGATAACTAGCAATGAGTTACAGTTATTCATTTAGACCTGTGTCTGCTTGCATGTTATTGGATATAGCATTGCCACATTATGTAATGGTTGTTCAGTTTTCCTCATGAGTCTGTGAGTTTGAAAATTTTGTTCAACTTCACAAAATCTGAACCAAGTGTTTCTGATTATTATGTTCTACACCGCCCATGAAGGTAAGTACAATGTCAGCTTACCTTACAACTTTTAAACTAATATTTAACCACTTCTAAATATTGTTTATTTTTATTTCCATTTAACGCTGTGATATTACATTAATATGATCAAATTTTGACCCTGCATTGTGATATATGATTTCATTTTTTGCTCAACTAGTCACTAAGTTGGGGAGAACAGGTCTTACTTATTGTGAATCATACAGTACCTGGTATATAGCAAATATTTTTTAAAAAGTTTGTTGAATTAAAATGTAGAGCCATATATAAGGAATACTGAAATGTTTGATTAAAAAACTAATAGAAATAAAGTATCTTACTTTGTTTTTCACATTTTCTGCTCTCCCTAGCTTCATTTAACATTTCAGCATTAGGACATTATGCAATGTAAGTTAGATATCTGTCATTTGCATCTTCTCCGAAGCATTTTAAGAAGTAAATTTCATAGTTATAGTGTTTGTTATTACAGCTGCTTATCAGGCGAAAAGCTAAACCAGTAAGCCAAGCAGAATGAAACTGTATAGAAAATCTAAAATATTTCTTCATGTTGCTCCATTAAAAAAAGTCACAGATATACTGTAACTAAGTTTACAGCAAATTGGATTATTTAGCTGCATCAGTTCCTTCATTTTATGGATTTTAACACCTTTTAGACCCACAGTGTTATTTTTGTTCTAGCCATTCCAGCTCAGTTTTGAGCAATGTTATTATTCCTCATTATGTAACTTAGCCTTTGGGTATGCTACTTAAAAGCCAGCCCCACGTAACACCATATATTCCTATGCTGAAGTTTGTTTGGGAAGCAAAGAGATTGCACTTTCTCATTTTGTCCCTATACTTTACATTTTAGTGTTTCAGTTTGTATGTAAATCAAGTTATTTTAATTATCTTACAATGAACATTACTATAATTTATAAATGCATGCATTATAGAAATGATTAGCATACTATGGTTCATGTGATACACTGTATTTTTTTACGTTCACTGATATGTGTTACATGGAGTTTGCAGCCCATTGGCTTAAAATAAAACTTTCTTATAGGGAAAAAATAAATTAATATTAGTGTTCATTTTAATAAAGCAGGAATAATAAAAATCAGTATCAATTTCCCATTGTGGTTTCGAAGAACTAATGACCTAGACTGCGTCTTTTTTAATGTCACTGCATTACAATTTTAAACTTAAATTAAGCATTTTATTTGAAAAGAGAAATTATGTTGTCCACCTCTTGAAAAATTCTACAGTGCTTATCAATTTTTTAATGTGCACAAGACACTCCATGCTAAATGTCTGGAAAATGCTCATGGGAATTGAAGAAGGAACATTATATATTAACTCAATTGAAATAGAAAAAAGAAAGCACTTTAAATACAATAAAAATATTTAAATGCTGAATCCAAATTATCGGTAGCAAGATGTTACTTTATGAAATGTAATATTAGTGTCAAAGATCTGAATTTCTTCTGCAAGAGAAAATTAAAAGCCTACAACATTCTCACGGCTATTAATTTAAATAATAAAAGTCAATGTATGCTAAGGCTGGCCTCTTCAGTATATTAGGCATACTGCTAGTCTTCTAGCTCTATATTTTAATGTAATAAAAGAGGCTGCTCTTTTAGCTGTTTGTCAGCCAGCAGAGACAGATGGATTCACAAATTAAACAGTGTGTGTGTTGTACCAGCATGAGGATGCTTGCACATCTTACACATGATAATATGGAGAGATTGGCTTGCTGAGAAACTGGCATAAGAATGCAGAAATATCAATCAGGGACACCTTGAATACTGCATCATCTGACATTCTCTGAATAAAAATGTGTCTTAGCTGATGCTGAGAATATATAAGAATCAGCACAGACTGATTTTCATTACAATTTTCAAAGGGAAACCTGTAGTGTTAGTTGTTGTTGAATGTACGGTAAACTGAATTATCAAATAACTGTTGTATAGGAAAAAATTTGATCTTATATGAATAGAAGTCACCTTCAGTGATTATGTCCTACAGGAAACTAACATCAAGTAAAAGTCTACAACTACTTTTGCTCTGTTAAGTTATGTATTATTGACTAAATAAATCAGAAATATATAGTAAATGTCTGTTTGCATGTGTGTGTGTGGTATTTATCTTTGGTAACCCTCAAACTGCCCTGTAAAAAGGCAGATGAAAATTAGTCTACTCATTCAAGGATGTATAACAAACAAAACGAAATTAAATGATAATTTTGCAAGTATAACAAAAGAAAAATTTACTCAGTTATACTCATTTGTTTGAACTAAGTAAAATAAGTTTATAGGACAAAAATCCTATCAAGAGAAAACATACATCAAGTTGCACTTTCATAAGTGATTCCACTTACTCTGATAGCATTTTAAAAGACTTTCAGGTTATTAACTTTGACATTTCTATTCTAGGCATTTACAAACTATTATCAAAATGTGACTATATGAAGTCTTCAAAATCTGGAAGCCAATAAAGACATGTTAAAAAAAGCTGTATTAAAAAATTTTCTAACCACAAGTACCATCAATCTAAGAATATTATGACTATTTGAATAGCCAACAGTCAGCTCCTATGACATTGAAAAAAAGTGAATGAGTTAACAAGCACAGAGAACCATATTTAACTCTTGACCTAATTTGTATCTCAAGAGAAATCAGAGGGAAAAAAATAACTGCTTAGTTTAATATAATCTATATGTGTTAGGGCAGCAGTCTTATTTATATTGGCAAAAATGTAAATGTTATTATTGTTAATCTGTTAGAGTAAATTCTAATAATTATATGGATTCTCTGTTCTGCATAAGAGGTGGCCTACAGGATCAGAATTTTAGAAACATAGAACTAAAAGAAGCATAAAAGACCATTTTGTACAATCCTCTTGTTTTACAGATAAAGTGAAGAGGAAGCTAAATGACAAGGTCATTTCAATTTAATGTATTACTTATAATTTTCTGATATAGAAAATGTAGTCAAGATTCTAATTAATGTGTCAAAAACAGCATCATGCTCAAGTCTTATTAATACTGAAAAAAAGACTTATCTTACTCTTACACATCCTTCTAGTTAAACCTTATCTGTGCACTTCTCTTTACGGCTCCAGGTTTTTAAAAATGGTGTATGCTTACCGTTCAACATTCTCACTCACCGTTTACAATTGTCACAAGTGGCAGGCCTTACGCTAGGTGGAGATACCTAAGGCTCTTAAAGCTTCTAAATCTGTGCAAACTCAGCATTTCTGAATACATTAAAATATACAGAGTCCCTGGTTAGCCCCTCTCATGTTTGAAGATACCAAACAGTAATTAGTCACACAATGTAGGAGATTTCAAAGAGTATATGAAATACAGGTTGTTTATTATGGGGTTGAGAGATAAAAAAATTCTGGTGTCATGTCTGTGTTCCGATAGGGAACGGCAATTGTAGAATCAATAAAATGAGTTAAGTTATTAACCCGAGTTACTAGCCTAGTGTGGGATCTATCAAAAATTCTAAGGGTGCACCTAGGCATGTAGGCAGCTGTCACAAATGTTGTGGGTTGGCAGCAATAGTAATGATTCCAATAACAACAGTGAAACAGGGTCACGTTTTAGGTCATACCCTGTACCTCAAGTAACTGCTTCCAGCTTCTGTTCCCACTCTTCTTCCATAGCAACACTTCTTGTTATAGTAACTAATAACCTCATTGTTAATTGCAATGGATAATATTCCATATTTATTATTGTATAAATCCTCTGCAGCTGCTCACAATGTTTACATTCTTCATCTCTAAGATGTCCCCCACCTTGGCTTTATTAATATATTGATTCAATATATTTTAACACATACATCCTTGTTATTATCTTTAACATACACTTTAGGAAAAGGAACTTTTACTCATCATCTTATCATTATCACCACCCTAATAGATATTAATATAAGTTACTGGTTTTAATATTATTTCTAGACTTTCTGAGAACTTCCTCTATCCTGGGATATCCTCATCAAACTCAGGTGGCCCCACTATTCTCTTTAGTACATTAATAAATAATGGGGATTAAGAGTAAGGAGTAGGATTGGTATCATCCATAATGAAAAAGATGATACTATCAAAGTAAATAATGTGGAAAGATGGATGAAAATGAGTATTTGTTCCTCATGAGACTAGACTCTTGTAAATTTATTTTGTCTCAAGGAGTTATATAAATTCTTTCTGAATTTGGCTTTTCAAAATCTACATTCTTAATTGAGTGCCATTACATCGTATTTCAAACCCGATAGGAAAGTGCACATACCTCAAATAAACCACTGGGTATCGCTAATTCCCTTACATTTATTTAAGCACTGAATTTATGCACCTGCAACTCATGTGCACAGCAGGACAGCTTTTTGCTTAATTTAACATGGAGACTGGCAGTCAGAATCACAAAACAATGATTCTTATACACACATATTTATAAATTATCTATGAAGAAAACAGGAGACTAAAAGATGAGGTTTTATTTTTTCATTTTAATTAAATATGGTAGAGAGTAAAAAATGAGTCGAGATTTAAAGAATATGAGTAAATACTCTTTACCAAGTACTATTTATTTTATTTATTTGTTTGTTTGTTTATTTATTTAGAGCCAGAGTCTTTGTTGACCAGGCTGGTGCCCAACCCTGATCACAACTCGCTGAAACCTTAATCTCCCAGGTTCAAGCAAGCCTCTTACCTCAGCCTCCTTAGTAGCTGAGACCACAGGTGCATGCCACCATGCCTGGCTCATTCATCTTAATAAATAATTTTGATCTATTATGTGCAGTATACTTTGCTTGGAAATCCACATTTTTCAAATGTTCACATTTATACTCCTATCCCTCAAAGAGCAGAATGTCTATAATCAGGATTTAAAAGGCAAAGCTACAAATGATGAACACTGAAGACAGAATGAGAGGTCATGCACATGCCAACAAGGTAGCACTTACATCTGATTTAGGAAATATGAGGTTACGTTCATTTTTACTTCCAATTTTTATTCTGGTTTTAATGTTTCCCCAAATAGCAGCATCTTTTCCTTCTTAAAGTTATCTTCCCAAATACAAAGTTTCATTGTAGGTAGGGGTTTGCCATCTTGGGGTTGTAATATTTAGGACATCCAACAAACATACATGATGGTTCTGTCGTTAGAAAGGTGTGGAGGTGGAATGGTGACAAACCTGTAAAGATAATCAGTGTTACTGACTGTTTCTATAATAGAAAGCCAATCCTGAGCAGCAATGTGGTCTGGTTGGAAAGAATTCTGGCCTAATGCTGGAGACCTGATTTCCAAAACTCTTTCTCCTTTGAGGTTAATAAATTCCAGCTCTACCAATCCTCAGTATTGAATCTTCTCTCGGGTTTCTGTCCTTATATGAAATGAAAACATTGGCACCTAGTGTAAAGTCTTCTTTCCACAGAATATTTTATTGTCAATGTAGAAAAGCTGCCCATTATATTTTAAATTTATTTGTTTACTCTTTGTCTTCTACACTAGAACATAAGCACCATAAAGGCAGAGGCATTGCCAGACATATTATTATACTCAGCATTTATCATGTATTAGTTTGGTGCTTAATAAACCATTTTTAATAAATAAATATATAATGACACTCCTTGTTGGAATATCTTCTTTCTTAGTAAGTACAAAGCCCTGAAATAGAAAGAAATCTGAAACAATTAAGTTATGTACAAAAGGAAAACCAACTGGAATGAACAGTTGATGAGATGAGGCAGAGATATCTGCAGGGGAGACATGAAGTGGGGTCCTGTGAGTGTTAAGCTAATGCTAGCAGATTTCAAAGGTAAAATGAAAATATCCATACACTGAAACTTACACAATGAAAGCCCAACACCAATTTTTCTGACAGGCCAATTTTTTTGGAGAGGGTTGTCACTGCTCCGTAACATCTTTGAGGTCCTCTGAAGCCATGGCCCAAGCTAGCTTTAAGATGGCAGCTTTCAGCCACAGCTCGAGTGGCTGGGATGCAGGGCACCAAGTCCCTAGGCTGAACACAGCGCAGGGACCCTGGCTGTGGCCCACAAAACCACTTTTTCCTCCTATGCCTCCTGGCCTGTGATGGGAGGAAGCTGCCGCAAAGGTCTCTGACATACCCTGGAGACATTTTCCCCATTGTCATGGTGATTAACATTTGGCTCCTCATTACTTATGCAAATTTCTGCAGCCAGCTTGAATTTCTCCTCAGAAAATGGGAGTTTCTTTTCTATCACATTGTCAGGCTGCAAATTTTTCAAACTTTATGCTCTGCTTCCCTTTTGAAACTGAATGCCTCTAACAGCACCCAAGTCACCTCTTTAATGCTTTGCTGCTTAGAAAGCTCTTCCACCAGATACACTAAATCAACTCTCTCAAGTTCAAAATCCCACATATCTCTAGGGCAGGGGCAAAATGCCACCAGTCTCTTTGCTAAAACATAACAAGAGTCACCTTTGCTCCATTTCCCAAGTTCCTCATCTCCATCTGAGACTGCCTCAGCATGGATTTCATTGTCCATATCATTATCAGCATTTTGGTCAAAGCCATTCAACAAGTCTCTAGGGAGTTTCAAACTTTCCCTCATTTTCCTGTCTTCTGAGCCCTGCAAACTGTTTCAACCTCTGCCTGTTACACAGTTCCAAAGTCGATTCCACATTTTTGCATATCTTTTCAGCAGCACCTCACTCTACTGGTACCACTTTACTGTATTAGTCCGTTTTAACACTGCTGATAAAGACATACCTGAGACTGGGAAGGTAAAGAGGTTTAATGGACTTAGTAGTTCCACATGGCTGGGGAGGCCTCACCATCATGATAGAAGGGAAGGAGGAGCAAATCACCTCTTACGTGGATGGTGGCAGTCACAAAGAGAGTACTTGTGCAGGGAAACTCTCATTTTTAAAACCATCAGATCTCATAATACTCATTCACTATCAAGATAACAGTGCAGGAAAGACCTGCCACCATAATTCAATGACCTCCCATGGGTTCTGCCCAGAACACATGGGAATTTTAGGAGTTACAATTCAAGGTGAGATTTGGGTGGGGACACAGCCAAATCATATCAAATAGCAATTCTGTTTTAAGTTCTTCACAAATTGCCAAACTATTTTCCACCATGGCTGGACTAATTTACAGTCCTACCTTCAGTTATAAGCATTTTCTTTTCTCTAAAACCCTGGTAGCATTTGTTATTTTTTGTCTTTTTAATAACAGCCATTCTGACTGGTGTGAGCTGGTATCTCATTGTGGTTTTGATTTGCATTTCTCTAATGACTAGTCACATTGTGTGTTTTTTCATATCCTTCTTGACCACATGTATGTCTTCTTTTGAATATTGTCTGTTCATGTCCTTTGCCAACTTTTCAGATTCAATAAATGGTGCTGGGATAACTAGGTAGCCATATGCAGTAAATTGAAACTGGATCCCTTCTTTACACCATATACAAAAATTAACTCAAGATGGATGAAAGACTTAAATGTAAAACCTAAAACTATAAAAACCCTGGGAGATAACTTAGGAGATACCATTCTGGACATAGGACTGAGCAAAGATTTCATGACAAAAATGCCGAAAGCAATTGTAACAAAAACAAAAATTTGACAAATGGGGCCTAATTAAACTAAAGACCTTCTGCATGGCAAGAGAAACTATAAGCAGGGTAACCAAACAACCTACAGAATGTGAGGAAATAATTGTAAACTGTGCATCTGACAAAGGTCTAATATCTAGAATCTATAAAAAACCTAAACAAATTAACGAGCCAAAAAATTTGCCTTTTTTCTGTAAACTGAATTTTATTTTTAACATCTAATAGAAGTACAGAACAATGAAATGCAAAAGCATAGTAGATGCTAAAGAGAACAGTATATATCAGGGAAGAAAGATACTGTTTTACTTCAGATGTACAGGATACAAAGATTGATAAAGATGTAGAAAAAATAAATCCTCCTGCCTTGTTCAGGACTTGTTCAGGGTATAGTTAATTAAGGCTACTGGATGAAAGTCTTCCAGTGATTGAATCTGTGTGGAACTGGAGAAGAATCATACAATATAGTGTTCTTATTTTAATCCAGTGCCCATTAAAATGGCAAAGATGTATAGGGACAAATATTAGAGAGTTGTGAGGAAAAATTGAAGTGCGACAGTTTTTGTTCATTCAAATAAATCAAGTAAAACATTATTTCAATAACCATACTTGACTTTTTATCAAGCATTGTAAATATTCTCGACTAAATGATCAATCAGCAATAAATTGTGGGTGCTCTGATTGTGAGTCTTTAGTCAGAAGCTTGGGTGGTAAACTTAAACCTCAACCTTTGCATTTTCTCTTCAGAAACTCTTCCCATAAGGAATCTTAAATTTGCCTCCAAGGAGACTTAGGACATTGTTTTAATCTATCTTGACTCTGACTTTATTAGATCCTTTAGGGATTCTTTAGGGTTAAAAAAATAACTTTTGATAACAATTTCCAGTGTTTATATAGAATATTGTTTGTACTTATCTTTATAAATATTTTACCTAAATATTGGGCTTGGTTATTTTCCTTAAGGAGAAGGACCCACCTAAGTTGCCATTTCTAAACATAATTATTATGCAGATGAATCAATCGATATTTCCTCTTCCAATCAACTTCACAGAAATATTTTCATCCTTATGTCTGATTGTAAATAATTATCTGAGATCCAAAGACAATTTAGCTTCTTGGATAGGCTCAACAGTCTCATATCTAAAACTATCACTATTAGTTGCTCAAAATCTTAACACAAATCTTCGATTGAAATAGTCAAAGCAAACTCTACAGGGATACTTCATTTCAGATAACTTCAGTTTGCCTAAAGGTGATTAATGAAGAAAAAGCATGTCTCCCAACAAAAATAATATAAAATATGCAAGTGATTTATCTGATCTTGAGAAAAATGCACCACATTTTTAAATTTACCACTATTTTAAAATAAAAGATGCATCTCTCAAAAAATTAAAAGTAAATAAAAATTAAGTTTTAGAAATGGATTGTGAATATGGGTTGTTCATAAACAATTTAAGCATTCTAAAAGGATTAATCTGCTGTAGTTACTATTCTATAGTTCAATCCTAATTAAGAATCAAGGAGCTTGGGGAATGTCAAAACAATGACAAAGCTCAGCTTAAAAAAGTTCAAATTATGATTAAACGATGTATCTAAGATCAAAAAGTTCAGTATCAAAAACAATTTGTTTGAATATATAATTAAAAAATAAGGAAATATTTTCCTCTATTGGATTCATCATACATATTCATAAAAGGAACATATCTTTCTTTTCTTTATACAAACACATAGTTTTCCTGCAGCACCTTAGATTATTGGTTAAACCTACAAACAGAAATTTAGAAAATCTTGCATATTTTATCATGTTAATATACTGCAAATCATATCCATGTATTATCAATTCTAATGTTGGAAGTATGATATAACTCACCTCATTTTCTGAACTACCTATAATAGAATCATCTGGAGTGCTTTTAAAAATGAAAATTTTGGAACTTCTCCTTAGACTTGCTTTTCTGGTCTGAAAAAGTGGAATAATAATAACAAATAACTTGTGGGATTTTTGTAATGATTAAGTGAGAAAACCCACAAAAATCCTTTAGCGCGGTGTTTGATATCTAATTACTATGTTGTATTCGGATTGGGAATCTACCATTTTATTCATAACTAAATTTTTAGAATCACAGGTAACAGATATTGCATATTAACCTACTATCTTTTTTTTGTTGTTTTTTGGTTTTTTTTTGAGACGGAGTCTCGCTCTTTCGCCCAGGCCGGACTGCAGTGGCGCCATCTCGGCTCACTGCAAGCTCCGCCTCCCGGGTTCACGCCATTCTCCTGCCTCAGCCTCCTGAGTAGCTGGGACTGCAGACACCCGCCACCGCACCCGGCTAATTTTTTGTATTTTTAGTAGAGACAGGGTTTCACCGTGTTAGCCAGGATGGTCTCGATTTCCTGACCTTGTGATCCACCCGCCTCGGCCTCCCAAAGTGCTGAGATTACAGGCGTGAGCCACCGCTGCCAGCCCAACCTACTATCTTAAACTAAAAGAATCTTAACTAGAAATGTCAGTGGGGATGTATCTAGTTTTTATCTATAATATGAGAGTTTCCAGTTGGATTATTTACAGAGAATTTTACAATGTGAACAAAATATTAGAATATCACCAAAATAGTGTACAGGTAACCATAGAAAGTCTTCAGCTTAATTTTATTATCATAATTTTGATAGAGGGAGGAGGCAGAGAAATTCTAGGCAGACAGGGGCAGGTCCCTGGTGAAACCGCACCTTCAAGCCAAGGTAGCCTAAAACCTGCAGCCCAAAGTGAGAACTTCTCTTTCTGTTTGCCTGCTTTCTCCTGATTGGTTCTTTCTGAATAATGTCTTTTTACCAGTTGAATATTACGTTTTCCAAAACAACCTACGGCCCACCCTATCCCCATATTGTGCCTATAAAGACTCCAGGCTCAGTCAGTAGAGGGAAGAGGCCTCTTGACTTTGGAAAGAAGATGGCTGGACTTTGGAGAAGAGACGGGTCGACTTTGGAGAGAAGATAGCTGGACTTTGGGGAAGAAGAGACAGCTTGACTTCAGTGAAGATGGCTGGAATTCAGTGAGAACTATCTGCCCTTCCCCTCCCCTCTCCAGCTCCCGTCTCCTCTGAGAACCATTCCCACCGCTCAATAAAATTCTCTGCCTTCACCATCCTTCAAGTGCCCATGCGACCTCATTGTTCTTGGATGCTGGACAAGAGCTTGGGACCCACCAAGTGCGGATATCCAAAAAGGCTGTCACACCAGCCCTTTGCCCTCACTGGTGGAGGGCAGCTGCCCCACATGATGAGGCAAGGGTTCAGCTGAGCTTTTAACACACAGCCATCCACAGACAGTGGAACTAAAGGAGAGCTGTAACACCCCCTCTGGTGTTTTGGGGTCATAGGCTCCCCCACTAGTATGCTGCCACAGGTCCTGCACAGAGCTTGCTCTCACTGGCGCCTGGAGCAACTAGCTGGTCCTGCATTAGCTCACTCATATGCTCGCTTTCACAAGGGGTTGAGAACAGTGGGCCAAGTAAACATTTGTCCCTGTCACAAATCCAATGAAAGGGCCACGAAAAATCTTGCATCAATTTTTAAATAAGCTGGGCACGGTGGCTCACGTACTTTGGGAGGCCAAGGTGGGCGGATCACCTGAGGTCAGGAGTTCAAGACCAGCCTGACCAACATGGTGAAACCCCGTCTCTACTAAAAATACAAAAATTAGCTAGGCGTGGTGGTGTATGATTAACTTAATCCTTAGGAACTAGAAAAAATGTAAAGCTATTCATGTGGATATGTATATGAATATAGAATTTATGATAATTTCTCTCTTAATTTTTTATTTCAAAAATTATTAAGATGACCCTAAGGGAATATTTTATTTCTTTATTTTTTTTCTTTCTTAAAATCGGCCCTCTTCTATGTACCATAGTATCCTTGTACTTTACCTTACGATTGTGAAATTCACTAATGACTAATTTCAGAGAATTTTGAGGCTCAGCATAGGCCACTGCTTACTCTTAACACTAATTTAAGATGTATCATCTGCTGAATTCCTAAGGGGTGCTTTTTTAAAATACTAAACTAGAAAATACCTGTAAATGACTTTCCACTTCTTGTAAGACCATGAAGCACACTCTGAAATTTCTAGTTGATGTCTTTGAATCTCAGTGGGGGCTAAGACAGTAGAATTTTATATCCTGTCACTTTTATTGGAAAAAGCACTATTTAAAATGAAAGAGGTGTATAAAAGTAACTCCAAGGACAACCATATTTCCAAAAAGCTTACTTCAAATATAACAATACAGATAAGTTGAAAGTAATAGAAAAAATAAGACATACCATGTAAACATTCATTTTGTAAAAAGAAATCAGAAGTGGCTATAAGAAAAAGTAGACCTCAGAGCAAAAAAAAAAAAAAAAAAAAAAAAAAAAAAAAAAAAAAAAAAAAAAAGTACCGAAACAGAGAGAGATCCTAGTGATATGGCTAGAAATCCTACAGCTATTAAAACGAGAATAAGGGAACCCTACCAGCAATTCTTTCTAAAAGTAGAGAAAATGGATACATTCCTTAAAAAAACACAAACTACCAAAGCTCTCCCAACATGCTGTGGATTACCTGAGCAGTCCTAAATATTAAATAAATGGAATCTATGATTTAAAAGCTTGTAAAAAAATAAATGTCCTGGCTCAGATGGTTTCAGTAGTTAATTTTTAGAACAACTTTGGGAAGCATTTTGGCTTTTTGCAGTTCCTTCAAAGATTAAACATATTAGATTATGATCCAGCAATTCAATTTGCATGTATATTTGCAACAAAAACATATATAAATAAAATGCATATGTGATATATATACACACCTACACATATATATTTACATATGAAGTTCCTAGCAGTTTTATTTGCAATAATCAAAACTCCAGGAAAAAGTTCAAAGCCCAGCATTTTCAGTTTCTTTAAGATGAGCTACAACTCCAACTCCCCACCCTCACACATACACAGTGACTCCTTAGGGTTCTACTCAAAATTATATAACATTGCTTAACAGAATTTGAAAACCTGTGCTATAAGGTAACTTAGGTAAATCAGCATTCACTTCTAATTTAGCAAAACATTTTGGAAAACGTTCCTTGTTTGTTCTTTGTTTTTAAATATGTTTCTTTAATGGAATAGGATTATTTAACAGTTTTTATTTTTTTATTTTCATTTTATTTTATTTAGTTTTTTGAGACGGAATCTCACTCTGTAGTCCAGGCTGCAGTGCAGTGGTGCGATCTCGGCTCACTGCAACCTCCACCTCCTGGGTTCAAGCAATTCGCCTGCCTCAGCCTCCCGAGTAGCTGGGATTTACAGGCATGTGCCACCAAACCAGGCTAATTTTTTATATTTTTAGTAGATGGGGTTTCACTGTGTTAGCCAGGATGGTCTCCATCTCTTGACCTTGTGGTCTGCTCCCCTTGGCCTCCCTAGGTACTGGGATTACAGGCATGAGCCACCATGCCAAGTCTAACAGTTTTATAAAATATAATTTTGCTCCTGAATTTCTACATTATCCATTAAATTGCATTATGAAATTTAAAATTTATTTAAAATCTTGGAACAAAATGAATTACTTAAGAAAAAAGCAAAACTTAAAAAAATCTTAAGGCCAAATAACTGAAAAAATTGAAAAGATGGTGGAATAAATATTTAAAATAATGCTGTGATTCTTGCAGTCAGAATCCTCTTTTCTAAATAGCTATGTGGCAAATGGTTAGTTGTTCCACAAGATCTATCATACATCTCTCTATTAGTAAGAATTTTAACTGCCTGCCTGCTCAGATAATGTTCCCTAACCTCCCTGGGAGCTGGTAACACTTAATAGAAATGCTGTGGGTAAATTCTGGGTCACTCAATTAAAGTAAAATTGGTTTTCTCCTACTTCCACTATTACTTCCTGAGTGGGGCCTGAACAACACTGTGACAGTGACACAGCTTTGACCATGTAGCAAGGATAACACAAAAAAGGAAGGCTGGGTAAAAAAAGATGAAAGGAATCATTGTCCTTGATGCAGTATTGCCATCCCACCAGGCTCTTCACCAACACCTGGTCTTAGGTAGAAGGAGAAGGAGGCAGAGAGATCAAATGTGGAAGGAAGGAAGAGAGAGAGAGAGAGAAAGAGAAGGGCAGAATGAGGGAGCCAGAGAGAGACAGTTCCAACATGCTAGGGATGCAAAATAAATTATGGAGAAAACAGATATAATATTATTCAATTAATAACCATATGAGAGAGACATATACTAATAAAATTAATTATATAATGATTACAAAATCACAAATGTGATAGGTACATAAGAGATGTATGATGCTATAAAAACCTTTCAATAAAGAAAATTGAACTAATTAAGAAAGCAGGGAAAGTTTAACTGGGGAAAGGACTATTGAGTAGAGATTTGAATGATAAATAAGAAATGCCTGAATAATGAGAGACTGGAAGACAGCTTAATTCAAAGGAAATGACATGTGCATATGTCTTCAAAATAAAATATAGGAATATAATGTGTAACTGGAGAAGAAGGTCAGGGCTAGAGAGTCCCGTAGGGCACCATCAGCTAGAAGTCTCTTCCATACCGGTTTCCTTCAAGTGGAGCTCCTGGTATATTTCTAGCCTTTGTTCATTATTGTCTTAACTCTCAGGGGACACGGAATGACTTCAACTAATTAGAAAATTTGGTGACGATAAACTGTTCATGTTGAACTCTGTTCTCCCCTTTCCGTTTTGGTAGTGAATCTGCCATCAAGGTTGAGACTTCTCCCCACTGACCTATTCCCTAAGCTTTTTTTGAGAAGGTTTCCAAGTAGGGATTCCACCTATACGGGTGGCTTGGAGGTAGTGAAGACTGTCTATTTCAGTTTATTTAGAAAGTCTACTTGCAGCTCCCCCATGCCATGATTAGATTTTCTCCCTCACTTTACATTTTATTAGTAAAATAAATAGATAATTTTGAAACCTTTAATCTTATTTCTCAAGATTTTGAGAATCTAGAGGTTTAGCCTAGGTAGACTTATTAATATTACACTAATAACATTATCAAGGGATCAGAAACTTTAGGTAAAGTTTATTTCTCAGTCATGCAGTCTCTTGTGTTTCTGAATGACTCTCCAGAGCAGCTGTCTTTTCTGTCAACTCATCATTCCAGGCTGCTTTGATTTCTTGGCACTCCATATTAACATGTGCTTTCATTATTGCAATGGCAGAAGAAGAATGTATGGATAACCATTCATGACTTTTAAATCCTTCTGCTCAGAAAATATATATGTCAACATAGGTTCACATTATCTTGGCCAACACAAAGCATATGGCCATGCTCATCTCCAAGGGGCATGTTCCCAGAAGCAAAATAAAATCAGATATCTCAATGAGCTCCAGTGAGGCCTGCACAACCTCTGTTTTGAATCATTTTTACTTAGCCCAATTTAATAAGATTAAACTAAAGCAAAAGCTGGTCAAAAAATCAATTCTAAGCATACCTATACCAAATCCTAAATTTAAACAATGGATCTACCACTTAATATCCTAGTGCCTTCTCATTTCATTCATTATCAAAAGTAGAATAGCAAGAGAGATTTTTTTTTTTTTTTTGCTCTGGTTCTCTAATGCTTACAACGAAAGGTCTTTTTTAAATGTAGGAGTATACAGTTTGTAAGAGCATTGTATATAGTTTTATTATACTAAATTATATAGAAAATATGTGAGCATGTAAAAGTATCCAAATCCTCATTCATTCTTTCCTTAAAAATATAATTGACCCCTCCAAAAGGACCCTAAAAAGATTTTGGTGCAAAAAAAATTTCTGATATTTTAATCAATGTACCTCATCCAGTCTCTGCCTTAAAGATGTAATAAGTTTGGTCAGGTTGTCATGACAATCACATGGAAAAAGATAGCAGAAATGACTCACAAGCTGTCTGTGGAAATCAATACTGGATAATAGCCATTATGCCTATGTGGAATTACACTCATATTGAGTAGCATGACAAGATGCAGTGAAATAAGAGGAAGTATCTCCAAAAATTTAATTTCAAATATATTATTTTGGTGTACACATAAAATATTACTCATATATTTCTGAAGTTCCTAATATTGTTAACTAAACTATGTCAATCTTATAATAGCTGTAGTAAGTAAAGGTTTTCCTTAAAACCACTTCAAGTAACAATTTTTTGATATATTAAAATTAGTTAAACTATTCACTCATTTAATCTATCAGTGTTTGTAGATGTGTGTTGATGCCCTGAACAATGCTATGTGCCGGAAAACAAAAAAGAGAAATACAAATAAGTGATTTTTTTTTTTCCTGAGGTGCTAACAACGTAGACATAACAAACATGCGGCTCCAAAATAAAGATCTATAACAGATATTGTCCCCTCCCAAGAAAAAAAAACAGACAAATCTAAGCAAATAAAAAATATTATTTACTACCATATGTAGGAAATGCATGGAAAAAATTTTTCACTTTTACTAAGGAGTGACTTTCATTTCACTCTAGTGCTCAATTGAATCTCAAAGTGACTCAACTCCTTCTAATTAAAAGGATAGCATTTTGATTAATAACTATAGAGCACATTGAATGGACTTCTCACAAGATATTTACAAATTAATGTCCTTGTTTTCCTTTACGAGATAGTAAAGATAAAGTATATATTTTCCCATATTATGTATGTCTTCCAATAAGATGATTAGTTATGCAAAGCAATCCATGGAGGACCTATCTTCTTTTGGTGTTTTCCCTCCTTCTTAAATTAATCGAAACATGTTACTGAATATAGGTCAATCATCCTGTGATCATAGCAACCAAAATCACAGGCTAAAATTAGTGAAGTAGGAAAATAAAGATTGCCAAGTTATCAATGTGATGTTAAGCCAAAATACCTGCTCTGGATTCCCTCCTTCAGAATGTCTTTATATGAGAAATGTTAACCTATAATTAATAATTAGCATAAGTCATAGTAGTAGAATTTTCTGTAATTCAGAGTTAAATAAAAACCATGATAGAGTGACTGTCAGAAGACTATTACAGGCAGGCGTGGTGGCTCAAACCTGTAATCCCAGAACTTTGGGAGGCTGAAGTGGGTGGATCACTTGAGGTTAGGAGTTTGATGCCAGCCTGGCCAACATAGTGATACCCCATCTCTACTGAAAATATAAAAAATTAGCCAGGCATGATGGTGAGTGCCTGTAATCCCAGCTGCTTGGGAGGCTAAGGCAGGAGAATTATTTGCAGTGGAGTGATTGGAGGCAAGAGGTTGCAGTGAGCCAAGATTGCACCACTACACTCCAGACTGGGCAACAGAGTGAGACCCCCATCTCAAAAAAAAAGGAGAAAGACCTAAGAATTCTTACGGAGGGATCTGTTTTATTTTGTCTAAGTTTTTAGTCTCCATTAATTTTGATAGGAGAAAATAAATAGCTAGATTTATTTATGTAAATCAAGATTAAATTTCTCCTTTATTTTTCAGGCTACTTCCATTTTGCAAAACAAAATTAAAGGAATGAAAATATGCTCCATGTTATTGCCATGTAAGAACATTCAAACTTCTGAGCTTATGGTTGTATTCCCACTATAAATTTACGAACAGTGAAAGGCACACATACACACACACATTTAATTCACAGAAAAGGTCAGTTAAAAATCAGTTTTTCATAGCATATGAGAAATTAGCCATACATCTCTTGAAATAATGCACACAACACATATTTCAAAAGAGAGCTTTTTAAAATATTGTATTAGATCAGAGATATGCATTCATGGTCCACGGCGGAGGGGTTAGATCCAAATCTTAGTATTTGACTTATTGTTACCCTTTTGATACATGAAGGATTATTTTTCTCTTATAAATTTACTGTAAGCAAATTTGCCAGTCTAAGCCATCTGTCACTTACCAAAGAAAAGATATATTATTTTTCACTCAAAAGTTATTTATAACAAAAGAAATACAAATAATTAAAGATAAGTTCTCAGTTTATGATATAATTTTTAGCCTCGTTTAGTCTGACTGCAGCTTCTTGTCCTTGCTGCAGTCATCAAGGGTCCAGCAACTTTCTGCAAAACTGTATCTAGGAAAGTCAAATTACAGGTAAATTATTTCACATCTGCATTCATTGACCAAGGCTATTATAATAATTTCTCTTCTGGCTGTTACATAATCTCTGATTTCTTGTTATCTTAAAATATCCCTCACCAATTATTCATTGAGTAGTTTCACAAAGGAATGCTGTTGCTTTTCAATCAAGGAAAGGGGTGAGAAAATGAGCAATTGGTTGGATTTGGGGCAGCATAGAAAGTTTCTTGGCGATTATTGCCTTTATCACAATGGTGATGTGTCAAGCAGATTTGGTGTCACAAGGTGAAGGGTATCATCCAAGGAACAGCATCCTTTTAAATTGTGAACCTGGTCTATATCCTGGCTTATAAAGGCCTACTTTTTAAATGTCTAGATATATGTGTTATTGCAGGAGTTTGGTTGCCATATATCAAATATATTTGTGCATATGTGTACCAATTAGCTATCTTAAGCAGGGTTTGAGGACTATGATACAAGGAAGTATGGACTCTAGGAGCCTTGACTATATTCCCATAGATCTATTTATCAGCATGAATGTGTTTCTCATAATAGTAACTCTCAAAACTAAAATCCAAAGAGTGACTCTATACCTCATATGATCAGCCTCCTCTTATTAAGTATATGATAAGGTAACATGTCAAAGTGAAACTTGTATAGAGAGATAACTTTTAGACAAACCATAATAGTAAAAAGTTTTAAACAACAACTAAAAAGCCTCAAGAGATTTCACTGTATTTTTCCCACATCTTTTATTTTCAGTTGCGTAAACGTCTCTAATCACCTACAATAGGCATGAGAGTGGGTGGCAAATTGTCAAATAACAACATCAGTGAAGCAATTTCTTCCGAGAAACTACAGAACTGTACTGAAATAGACTGAAGGCAGTATTAGTGATGGACATATATGGACATAAGTAAAACAAACTTGGTCCCAAATTACTGTTCTTTCAGGAGTTCTACTTACTTTCTGACTACAAGGAAGAAATTTCATAATTATGAGCTGCAACATCAATAATGTAGACATTTCAATACCCCAAAAAGGTTTCTGTGAAGACTACATGAGCAATAAATGTAAAGTATCTAGTATGGTGCCTAATGAAAACTGTATATTCAATAACATTCACTCCAGCCTGGGTGACAGAGCAAAACTCTGTCTCAAAAAAAAAAAAATATATATATATATAATATATATATATGTGTGTATATATATAATATATATATGTGTATATATATAAAATATATGTGTATATGTGTATATATATGTGTATATATATATGTGTGTATATATATGTGTATATATATGTGTGTGTATATATATGTATATATATGTATATATATGGGAGCTCTTGTTTAAATTTGTGTGAATGTGTATATATTTATATATTATATATTATATTAAATTATGAAATATATTACCTATTATATATTATATCTCTAATAAAGAATATATAATATTCTTTACCATATGTAATTTATATATTATACTAAATATATTATATTAAATTATATTATATAATTTATGTATCTCATATACATTATACATACATATGATATATATCATTTATATTATACATAGTATATATTTTTTGTTCTTTTTCTGTGAATTTGCCAATTGACTCATTTGTGGTGTACTATCAGCTTTTCTTATATTCTCACTCTCGACATTTTACTTGTGATATTTGTATACTCTTTGGCTTCAAACAAGACTGGCTGCTCTCTAGGCTGATGCACAGTTGTCTTCTGGGGCCTTGAATTTACTGATTTCCTGGGTTCCATCCACTGTTTCTTGGAAACGTTTTCCTATTTCTTGGTTTGTACCTTAATTTTTCTGGGGTATTTCTGGTAACTTTCTTTTAAATAAGGTGCACTGGAGGTGTTTTGGGGGTCCCACAACAACCCCATGTGTGGTGACCCTTCAGAAGAACTTACAGGACCAAGAGGCAGTTGCACTTATGGCTATGGGTTTTTAAAGCAAGGAGAAAAGACACCTCAGGTAAATCCTAAAACAGGTCAAGAATAGGCTTGCAAGTTTTCTCTTCCAGTTCAGATGGTGTTGGGGCTGCAAGGACATGCTCCTTTCTCCAGCAACAAAATGCTGCAACACTTGTACAATGTTTCTGCTCAGGCAAGCTCTTGAGACTCATGCAAGATACAGGGTTTTTAATGAGGTTGGTTACCTAGGAACTCTCCATTATAATTACCAAATTCCAGACTCCCAGAAGAAAAACAAGCATTTACCATAAATCGCATTTTTGCATAAACAGTCTGAATATGTTGATACAGCAGGCATACAAAATAGTACCCCAGGCAGACACAACAACCTTATCAATTAGTAACATAAGGAAAATTCCAAAGCCAAGTTCCCAAATGTCAGCCAAGGGCCAACCCCACAAGCATGTTCTTGTAAAGAACAATATCAGACCTACTGTGTTAACTCTTTGCTGTACATTGGCAATTTCCAGAAACTTTGCATGTCTGGAATATTTTTATCTGATATTTTGTCTGGGTGTATATTTCTAAATTGGAAAATTTTTCTTTTGAAACTGTTTATGGTAGACAAAATGCTAAGATGGTCCCCAAGATTCTTAACTCTTTGTGTACTTACCTTGTATAATCTTGAGGATGAGTGGGACTTATGAGTATGCTGAGATTTCACTTCCACAGTTAGGTTGTCTTATATGGCAGAGATGAAAGTATTTTACAGATGTGATTAAGGCCCTTATTAAGGCCTTAATCTTTATAAGGCCTAAATCATTGGACTTTGAATTAATCAAAAGAGGGGTATCCTGGGTGGGACTGACCTTATCAGACAAAGCTTAAATCTCAGGCCTTCTTTGAAGGTAGAGATAAAAAGGAGTGAGATGTTCTCATCCTGGCCTTGAAGGAACAAACTGCCATGTACTGGAGATGTCCACCTGGCAGGAAACTGCCTCAGTTCTATGATCACAAACAACTAAATTTTGGCAACAACTGTTGGAAAGAGAAGTCCAAGTTTCAAATTAGAGCACAGCCCTGGGCAATAACTTGATTGCAGCCTGATGATCTTTCAGCAGAGTACTCAACATGGTACCCTCCTGACACAATGAAACTGCAAGATTAGAAATGTATGCTGTTTTAAGCCACTACATTTGTGGTAGTCTGTTATGCAGCAATAGAAAATATTGCTATTCCTTTGTTTTTAGTATTCTCCATGTCTTGCGAGAAGTCAATCAGTCTGTTTCTTTTCTCTAAGTAAAATTCTCTTAATTCTGGAAACTTCTATCAAACTCTGTTTTGGCATTCTGAAATTACAAAGTATACAGCTATCCAAAAAATATATACTGAGATTATTAGGTATCATGTTCTATTTTAATTGCCAAGGATCAAGTGATGAAAAACAACAAAGACTCTACCATCGTGGAGGTCATATAGGCAAAAAGTAAGTTGTCACCAGCCAGGCTTAGAAGTGATACACATTATTTTTGTCTATGTTCCATTAGACAGAGGTCACTTCCATGCCCAACTAACTGCAAAACAAGTTAGGAAATATAGTTTAGCTGTCTACCTCAGGCAAAACAAAAACACGTTTTCAGTGAATACATAAAACTCTCAGCCAGAGAAGATGAGTGCTATGGAAGAGCACAAGCAGCTAAGAACAATAGAAGGAAAAGGGATGAAGTTAACCAATTAGTATAGGGAGTTTAGAAAAAAACTGTTAGAGTCAGTATGATTTAGGGCTTTCTATGGTCTAAGTCATAAGGAAACATAGGTAGATATTCTAGATAATAGAAACAACATATAAAGATGTCTTGAATTAGTTGGCTATATCACCTCACAACTTAGTGGCCTACAACACTTAAAACTTATTATTGCTCATGAGTCTACAGGTAAGTTGGGAAGTTGTTTGATTTGAGCCTGACTCAGCTACACCTTTCTGGATTACACAGTTAACTGGTAGTCCAGCTAGGAGCTGGCTAATCTAGATTGGCTTCATTGACTTCTCTAATGCTTGGATGGATTTAGGCTGGAACAATGGGCCACATGTCTCTCATGATTCAGCAAGCTACCAGAGGTTTATTTGCATGTTGGCTGGACATGGTTCCAAGAGGGAGAATGGAGGTATGTAAGTTTCTTTTTTTTTTTTAGTATTTATTGATCATTCTTGGGTGTTTCTCAGAGAGGGGGATGGGTCATAGGATAATAGTGGAGAGAAGGTCAGCAGATAAACACGTGAACAAAAGTCTCTGGTTTTCCTAGGCAGAGGTCTCTGCGGCCTTCCGCAGTGTTTGTGTCCCTGGGTACTTGAGGTTAGGGAGTGGTGATGACTCTTAACGAGCATGCTGCCTTCAAGCATCTGTTTAACAAAGCACATCTTGCACTGCCCTTAATCCATTTAACCCTTAGTGGACACAGCACATGTTTCAGAGAGCACGGGGTTGGGGGTAAGGTTATAGATTAACAGCATCCCAAGGCAGAAGAATTTTTCTTAGTACAGAACAAAACGGAGTCTCCTACATCTACTTCTTTCTACACAGACACAATAACAATCTGATCTCTTTTTCTTTTCCCCACATTTCCCCCTTTTCTTTTCAACAAAACCGCCATCGTCATCATGGCCCGTTCTCGATGGTCGCTGTCTCTTCGGAGCTGTTGGGTACACCTCCCAGATGGGGCTGCCGGGCAGAGGCGCTCCTCACTTCCCAGACGGGGCAGCCGGGCAGAGGCGCTCCTCACATCTCAGACAGGGCGGCCGGGCAGAGGTGCTCCTCACCTCCCAGATGGGGCGGCAGGGCAGAGGCACTCCTCACCTCCCAGACGATGGGTGGCTGGGCAGAGGCACTCCTCACCTCCCAGACGGGGTGGCTGGACAGAGACGCTCCTCACCTCCCAGACGGGGTGGCTGGGCAGAGACGCTCCTCACCTCCCAGACGGGGTGGCTGGGCAGAGACGCTCCTCACCTCCCAGACGGGGTGGCTGGGCAGAGACGCTCCTCACCTCCCAGACGGGGTGGCTGGGCAGAGACGCTCCTCACCTCCCAGATGGGGCAGCCGGGCAGAGGCGCTCCTCACCTCCCAGATAGGGCAGCCAGGCAGAGGCGCTCCTCACCTCCCAGATGAAGGGCGGTCGGGCAGAGGTGCTCCTCACCTCCCAGAGGGGGTGGCGGCCGGGCAGAGGCACTCCTCACCTCCCAGACGGGGCAGCCGGGCAGAGGTGCTCCCCACTTCCCAGACGGGGTGGCAGCCAGGCAGAGGCGCTCCTCACATCCCAGACGATGGGTGGCCGGGCAGAGGCACTACTCAATTCCCAGACAGGGCGGCCAGGCAGAGATGCTCCTCACCTCCCAGACGGGGCGGCCGGGCAGAGGCGCTCCTCACTTCCTCCCAGATGGGGCGGCCAGGCAGAGATGCTCCTCACTTCCCAGATGGGGCGGCCGAGCAGAGGCGCTCCCCACTTCCCAGACGGGGTGGCAGCCAGGCAGAGGCGCCCCTCAGTTCCCAGACGGGGCTGCCAGTCAGAGGCGCTCCTTGCCTCCCAGACGGGGTGGCGGCCGGGCAGAGGCGCTCCTCACATCCCAGATGGGGCGGCCGAGCAGAGGCGCTCCTCATCTCTCAGACAGGGCGGCGGGGCAGAGGTGCTCCTCACCTCCCAGATGAAGGGCAACGGGGCAGAGGCGCTCCCCACTTCCCAGATGGGGCGGCTGGGCAGAGACGCTCCTCACTTCCCAGACGGGGCGGCTGCCGGGCAGAGGAGCTCCTCACCTCTCAGACGGGGCGGCTGCCAGGCAGAGGCGCTCTTCACCTCTCAGATGGGGTGGCCAGGTAGAGGCGCTCCTCAGTTCCCAGATGGGGCAGCCAGGCAGAGGCACTCCCCACCTCCCAGATGGGGTGGCCGGGAAGAGGCGCTCCCCACCTCCCAGACGGGGTGGTGGCTGGGCAGAGGCACTCCTCACATCCCAGACAAGGCAGCTGGGCAGAGGCGCTCCTCACTTCCCATTAGGGGCAGCCGGGCAGAGGCGCTCCTCACTTCCTAGACGGGGTGGCGGCCGGGCAGAAGCGCTCCTCAGTTCCCAGATGGGGCAGCCGGGCAGAGGCGCTCCTCACATCCCAGACGATGGGTGGCCAGGCAGAGACGCTGCTCTCTTCCTAGATGGGGTGGCAGGCAGAGGCTGTAATCTTAGCACTTTGGGAGGCCAAGGCAGAGGGCTGGGAGGTGGAGGTTGTAGCGAGCCAAGATAACGCCACTGCACTCCAGCCTGGGCAACATTGAGCATTGAGTGAGCGAGACTCCGTCTGCAATCCCAGCACCTTGGGAGGCCGAGGTGGGCAGATCACCCGAGGCCAGGAGCTGGAGACCAGCCCAGTCAACACTGCAAAACCCCGTCTCCACCAAAAATACAAAAACCAGTCAGGAGTGGCGGCGCGTGCCTGGAATCCCAGGCACTCGGCAGGCCGAGGCAGGAGAATCACAGGAGCCCGAGGCAGGGAGGTTGCAGCGAGCCGAGATCATGGTAGTACAGTCCAGGCTCGGCAAGAGAAGGAGACCGTGAGGGAGAGGGAGAGGGAGAGGGAGAGGCGGTATGTAAGTTTCTTGAGGCCTAAGCTCAAAACTGATCTGATGTCACATTCATTACACTCTTCTGGCCAAATAATTTTGCAAGCCACCTGCCATCCGCCCCCATCTGAAGGGATGGAGGGATTGATACCACCTCTTTGTGGAAGAAGCTTCCTACATCTTAATGGACACTAGGGATTGTGGAGAACATGACTGAAGTGAGCAAGCCTGAGTGAAGTCAAAGAGACAGTTAAGGGAATGATTACATAAAGCTTTTGCAGGCTTTTTTTTAATTGATTACTATGAGTGAGAAAGTAAATTTTTTGAATATTTTGGTGTTACAAGAAAGGAACTGAAAATGTCTGTCCTATGTTTTAAGGGAACAATCTGTCAACAATGCAGATAAAAGGTTGCAAAGGTGGAGGCAGATTGTCAGCAGGCAACTAAAATAATCCAGGCAAGAAATGATGATGAATTGATCCAGGGAGTTAGTGGTAGATATCAGGAGAAGAAGACAGACTTGAAATATATTTTAATGTTAGCACCAACAGATTCACTGGTGGGATATGAAATAAAAATGGGAATCACAAATAAATCCAAATGACTGGAGTTGCTTTTTACTGAAATGGAGTAGTACACAGGAAAAAAAGTAGGGTTGAGGAAAGAAAGAGGGGTTCAAGAGATATTTTTAACTTGTTAAAGATGTCTATTTATATCCAAAGTGGAGATAAAATTAGCAGTTTAATGTGGACCAGGAGAGATCTGAATTTGAGCTATAAACTTTGGAGTCATCAAAGTGCAAAAGGTATTTTAAACAATGAGTTTGGATGAGCTCACCTAGGGAGAAAAGGTCGTGTCAAGGAGGTATTGACTGAGGCCTGAGATATTGCACTGTTTGGAGATACAGATGAGGAGGAAACACAAGAGAAATGGCCAATGAAATAGAAATAATTCAGAACAGGAGAAGCCAGTGGTGAAACTCTCAGTCTGAGGCTAAGGACCTGAACCTAGGGGAAGCCACTGGCATAAGTCTTGGAGTCCAAAGGTTAAAGATCCTAGAATTTCAATGTCCAACAGCAGGAGAAGAGGGTGTTTCAGTTCCAGGAGAAAGAGACAGGTAATTATTAGCCTTTCCTCTGCCTTTTTTCTTTCCAAGACCCCAGCTAATTGGGTGGTGCTCACTCACATTCAGGCAGGATCTTCCCCACTTAGACCACTGACTTGCATGCCAGTCTCCTCTGGAAACAACTTCACAGACACACCCAGAAATAATGCTTTACCAATTCTTTAGGTATTCCTTAATCTAGTCAAGTTGATACCTAAAATTAACCATCACACTCCCCCATCTTGGTTATGAAGAACTAGCAGCAAGTAGAAGATGCAGAGAAAACGAATAAGAAAATCTTACTCTCTTTCCCACTGCAAGTTTCCAAGCCCTTGCTCAGACCTGAGATAGAGAGATGGAAGAAGCTTTGAATTAGATATGATTGAAGTTTTAAATTAGATTATGTGGAATTTATTTTCCATTTGTTTATTAAATAATATATGCACATAGTAAAGATTTTAAATGTACAGCTAAGTATACGTCAAATTGTAAGTTGCTTTTACATTCTTGTCATAGAGACACTCAATTGCCCTCCTATGAGGAAACCATTTTTAAAAGCAATGAGACTAGACTAATGAAAAAAAAGAGCTAAATAAACATCAGAAATGAAAAATGAGACATTACAACTGATGCCACAGAAATACAAAAGATCATCAGAGACTAAATATGAACAACTATACACTCACCAACTATAAAACCTAGAGCAATTGATACATTCCTGGAATTGTACAACCTCTCAAAATTGGACCAGGGAAGAAATAGAAAACCCAGACAGACCAAAAAATAGTAGTAAGATGGAATCAGTAATAAACATTTTCCCAAGAAAAAAAGAGCCCAGGACCAGATGGATTCAGAGCCAAATTCTACCAAACATACAAAGAACAACTAATGCCAATCCTCCTGAAACTGTTCCCAAAAATTGAGGAGAGAATTATCCCTAACTCATTCTATGAGGCCAGTATAACTCTAATAACAAAACCAGGCAAGGACACACACGCAAAGAAACTACAGACCAATATCCCTGATGAACATAGATGCAAAAATCACCTAAAAAAATACCAGCACACTGAATTCAACGGCACATCAAAAAGATAATACACCATGATCAAGAGGGAGTTTTATGCTAGAGATTCAAGAGTGGTTCAATATATATAAATCAAAAAATGTGATACATTACTTCCACAGAATGAAGGAGAAAAACAATATGATCATCTCAATAGACACAGAAGAAGACCTGATAAAATTCAGAACCGCTTTATGATAAAAACTATCAACAAACTGGGCATAAAAGGAACATACTTTAAAATAATAAAGGCCATATATGGCAAACCCACTGTCAAACTTATATTGAATGGGAAAAAGTTGAAAACATTTGCTCTACGTGCTACAACAAGACAGGGATGCTCACTTTCATCACTTCTATTCAACATAGCACTGGAAGTCCTAGTCAGAGCAATTAGGAAAGGGAAAAAATACAAGGCATCCAAATGGGAAAAGAGAAAGTCAAATTGTCCCTGTTTGCTGATGATATGACCTTATATCTAGAAAAACTTGAAGAATCCACGAAAAAGCTCTCAGATTTGATCAATAAGTTAGTAAAGTTGCAGGATACAAAAGTCAAACTACAAAATCAGTAACATTTCCATATACCAATAATGATCTAGCTGGGTGCAAAATCAAGAAGGCTATGCCATTTACAATAGCCACCAAAAAAAGAGATATTTAGGAATATATTTAACAAAGGAGTTGAAAGATCTCAAGAAGGAAAAGTACAAAACACTAATGAAAGAAATTGTAGATGACACAAATAAATGGAAAATAGCCCATGCTCAGATATTGGAAAAATTAATATTGTAAATGACCAAACTGCCAAAAACAATCTACAGATTCAATGCAATCTCTATCACAATATCAATGTCATTTTTAAGAGAATTAGAAAAAAATCCTAAAATTCATATGGAATCAAAAAAAAAGAAAAAAGAAACTGAATAGCCAAAGACAATCCTAAGCACAAAGAACAAAGCTGGAGGTATCATATTACCTGACTTCAAATTGTACTATAAGACTGTCATAACCAAAACAGCCTGGCACTGTGTAAAAATGGACATGTAGAGAAATGGAACAGAATACAGAACCCAGAAATAAAGCAATATTTTCATAGCTAACCAATCTTTGACAAATTCAGTAAGAACATACACTGGGAAAAGGACATTTTTTTCAATAAATTGTGTTGGGAAATTGGTTTTCCAAGTGTAGAAGAATGAAACTGAACCCCTATCTCTCACTATATATAAAAATAACCTCAAGATGGATTAAGTACTTAAATGTAAGACCAGTAACTATAAAAATATTATACTGGAATAAAAGATAGGGAATACTTTTAAGGACATTGATCTAGGGAAAGAACTCATCTGTAAGACTCAAAAGCACAAGCAACAAAACTAGACAAATGAGAAAATTAAACTAAAAAGTTTCTGCATGGCAAAAGAAATAATCAACAGAGTGAACAGATAATCTTCAGAATGAGAGAAAATATTGTAAAATATGCATCTAACAAGGGACCTAATATCCAGAATATAGAAAGAACTCAAGCAATTCAACAACAAAAAATATTTCCATTGAAAGTGGGAAAATTATATGAATAGAAATTTTTCAAAAGAAGACACACAAATGGCCAACAGCTATATAAAAAAATACTTAACATCGCTAATCGTCAGAGAAATGCAAATGAAAACTACAATGAGATATCAGCTTAGTCAGAATGGCTAATATTAAAACATCAAAAAATAACAGATGTTGGCAAGAATGCAGAGATAAGGGAACTCTTATACACTGTTGGTGAGAATGTGAATTAGTAAAATGTCTATGAAAAATAATACAGAGATTTTTCAAAGAACCAAAAATGGAACTTCCAATTAATTCAGAAATCCCAGGCAAGGAAAAACATTATTATATACAAAAGATACCTGCACTTGTATGCTTATCACAGCACTATTCACTAGCAAAAATATGAACTCAACCTAAATGCCCATCCACAGATGACTGGATAAACAAAAGATGGTATATATGCACAATGGAATACTATTCAACCATTAAAATAATGAAATCATGTCTTTTGCAGCAACAATAATGTAATTGGAGGACATTTTAAGTGAAACAAGTCAGATACAGAAAGACAAATACTGCATGTTCTCACTTGTAAGTAGGAGCTAAATAATGTGTACACATGGATGTAGAGTGTGGAATGATAGACAATGGAGACTTGGAAGGGTACGGGGGGGTGAGGAGGACTGAATGATGAGAAAGGACTTAAAAATCACAATATATGTTACTCAGGTGATAGATACATACCTGAAAAGCCCTGACTTCACTAGTATGCAATCTATGTGCATATAACAAAATGGCACTTGGACTTCATAAATTTATACATATAAAAAATAATGAGATTCTTGAGCTTTGTTTCAGTGATTCTTCATAAACACAGAGACAAATGAAAATAATAGCATGCCATACACATTGTTCAGAGCCTTGTTTTTTCGCTTAAAAATATATTTTGGGCCGAGCACGGTGGCTCAAGCCTGTAATCCCAACACTTTGGGAGGCCAAGGGGGGCAGATCACAAGTTCAGGAGATCAAAACCATCCTGGCTAACATGGTGAAACCCTATCTCTACTAAAAATACAAAAAATTAGCCAGGTATGATGGCGGGTGCCTGTAGTCCCAGCTACTCGGGAGGCTGAGGCAGGAGAATCACTTGAACCTGGGAGGCAGAGGTTGCAGAGAGCCGATATCATGCCACTGCACTCCAGCCTGGGCGACAAGAGTGAAACTCTGTCTCAAAAAAAAAAAAATTTATATATATATATATATATATATATATATATATATATATATATGAGATCATTCATTATCAGCAGTTAATAATCTATATCATTCTTTCTAAAAGTCTTTGTCTTTTGAATGACTTAATTTATCCAGCCTTTTGTTAAATCATGTTTAATTTGTCAATTATAAACAAGCTCTACTTCATAATGTTTCACATATGTAATTTTATTCACATGCAAGTTACCAGTAGAATAAATTATGAAAAAAAGAAATTGCTAGATTGCACATTTAAAATTTTGATAGATATTGCTAAATTGACTGTCATAGACATTTTTCTGATTTATATTCAGCAACATGTAAGTGAACCTATTTCTCACTCTAACACAGACTTTTTGTTCTTTGATGATCTGAAGAGACAGAACATAGTATCAGAGTGTAATTTTAATTTGCATATCTCTTCTTGTAAATGAGGCTGAAAATCTTTTAATGTTCAAGAGCCATTTGTATTTTTAGTGTTCTGTTTATATCATTCATTTTTCTTTCTATGGAGCTAGATGTCCTTGTAAGAAATATATGTGCCGGAGTGTAAGAAATAAACTTCATGAAAATTCAGATGCATGATACATTGATGAAACTTTTAGGAGTACAGTCATCTGAGGCATGCTGGCACATCCCCACAAAGGAAAAAGACATGTTTTCATCCCTCCTTCCCATAACACCTACCACTGTGAAAAGTCAAAGAGCTTGGTGAGCCTCTGAACTTAGGAAGACATGCTACACTCAGGAATATTTACTGGGTCACACAGAAGGCTGCCAATTTAAAGTAGGACCCAAGGCAGTAAAGAGATCAGTGGCAGTCCCATGCTCTAGTGTAAGCTTTACTGCCTCTTTTGCCACATGGCCTAGCAAATAAGATAGTAGTTTATGTATCTGTGGTGGTTAAAAATCATAGGTGAAGTCTTCTGTGAGCCCTCATATGATCACTATAGCACTTACTTCCAGAGTTTTAAAGCATGTTTTCTGCAGTCAAAAACTATGCTTGGTTTGGCAAAACACTCTTGGCCTTGTACTACACCCTAGTAAAGATAGAGAACCTGACAGTGAGATAAGACATAGTAACCTGACATGCTCATCACGATCTATGCACAATTAGATCCACTGAATTACAAAGTCAGGCAGGCACAGAAGCAAGACTTTTCATAAGTGGAAGTCCTGCATCCTGGATTAGCCTCTAACAGATGGTTCAGACTTGACTACATGCAGTGCTGGTACCCCAAAGCCTTTCTCTCAACTCACAACCACAGTTTGTGGAAAGGTTTCCAATGACCAATAAATGGACAAGGACATGTTATAGGTCTAATCCCCAAGACGATAAACGAGATCTATTTGCCCTAGTAAAAATTGGGCTGCTTCCATATTAGAGCCTCGGTGAAGAGGGTCCTTGAAGACAGTGTTGAAAAAATCCTTCCAATAGGCAGAGACATGGGTTCTCCCTGGAGAAAGCCATAGGTGAGTTATGTACAATGAATTCTGGTGAGTGGTGAGTAGACTTGCTTGTTTGTTCAGAAGCCTAGAAAAAAAAATTAAGAACTGGAACTGGTGTTATGAAGTTGAAGAGACCACAAACATCACCAGTTGTGTCTCATATCAATGTTGCTTAGAAAGCATTCACATCAGAGGATGCTCTCAGTGAGCAGGTAGAGTTAATGACTTAGTCTTCTTCTGTCCTTAGTAACTCTAGTGTTCAGATAATTGAGTTAAGACAGTGGCCATGGTGGCAGACATCAAGGATACATGTGGTATCAATAACATGGCTCTTTCACATAAAGACTAACCTAGATACTATCACTACTGAGTGCCCAACTTGCTATGGGCAGAGACTGATGCTGAGCTCCTACACCAGACACCAGGAGCCTGTTGATTACATCAGGCCCATTCCACATTAAGTGGTATAATAATTCTTACATAGCAAAGTGATTCATATTCTAAATATGGGCTTGTCTTCTAAGCCTCTAGTATCTCCAACAGCAATACCACCTTAGGGCTTACACAATGCCTTCTGCATTTATATACCTCACACAGATTGTCTTAGACCAAGGCATGCAACAATGAACTCATTACAATGTGTAACATCATTCAAATACAACTGACCTGAAAGGATGGCTGAATGGAATACCGAACAGACAGCTAAGGCTCAACCCAGGCATATCTTGCATTGTTGAAGTGCTCTTCTACAGGATAAAACATAATCACTATACTGATGACCAGTATATGCTGCTGTGTTAATAGAATATGCAGGTCTCAGACCAAGTAGCAGAAACACCTTGCCTAAATATTTCTAATTTGTTCTTCTCTTCCATTTATTCTTAGCATATGATAGATTTGAGATTCTAGTTTCTGGTGATGGTAGTGGGGTAGGAGGGATAGATAATTTGGCTGAGAAAGACAGTAAGGGTTTTTCTTAGACTATGACTAATACCAAGGAACCAGAGAATGAAGAAAGGAGTCATTGCTCTTCCTGGGATAATCGACCACATTTATTAGGAGCTAGGGCTGCTAATACACAGAATAAAGGGAGAAATACATCTGGAATTCAGTAGATTCATTGAATATCTCTTGATGGTTCCAATTTCAGCAATAACTGTGAATAGGGCAATTCAACAACTGTAACCTGACAAAACAAGGCAACTAACGCTTCAGAAACCATGAGGATGAAGGTCCATGCTATTCTACAAGGCAAACAACCAGGGGAAGCTAAATGCTACCAGCAGGTATGGTGAATGTAGAATGGCTTATGGAGGCAGAGATGATAATTTGTAGTCCTGAGAGAGCTGCAGCAGTGAAGACTGTACCTTATTTTTTAATCATTGTTAACCATTTTATTGCTTCTTTCAAGGATGAAGTGAGAGTATCTCCTTCTCAGATATTCATATAGTACCAGATATCATAGAGGACACTAGATATGAGTAGTGAAATGGATTGATTTTTGCACTTAATTTATGAGTCTTCCCAGATTTATCTGGCCACACCTGCCTTCCAGGTTTTGACTTGCCCATCTATTAATGCCTGTGGTTATCTTATCATCCCCTGAGAGGATGGCCAGCTTCCATTCCTCTGGCCATAATAGGTTGAAAGAATTCCCACATGTAAGCTCAACCAACTGGATCCATGAAAACTGTTTCCTCTTATTCCTCCCAGAGTCAAAATGAAGTGTCTGCATCATAAGACATGCAATTTGGTTTGCCCAGATACTTCTTGATGGGGTCATGTAGCATAAATCAGAAGGGAAGAAAAGTAAATATCCCATGAGCCTAATTTGTCCAACAGGGAAAGAAAGATTAGAAAGAACCAGCAGATCAATTTCTGTTTCTCTTTCTCCTTGTCAGAATGTTCTGAGGTATAGTATTCTCAGACAGCCTTTCTGTAGATGCCCTATACTTTGAAACAACCGGTTATGTTTTCTGTGAAACTCAGTAGTTCATTATCATGTATTTTCTTTTTATCATACTCTAGACCCAAGTTCTCTTGTTACCCAAAATACACATGACAAAGTATTAGCACATGTTTTCCCCATTAGGTTTTATTTTCTATGGTACTTGGACTAAGAAAAAGTCTCTTACTATAATTTCAGCTATATCTACACTCAAATGGTTAACTCGTCTTTCATTTGTAGAATATATTTTTTTATTTTCATAGCCATCAATTATTTTGTCCTCTCTTTAGGAAGCTTTTCTACATCTATTTTGTCTTCTCATACTAGAAATAATTTTACTTTTATTTGTTCTTTATATTTTTATTCTTGGATACATATTTGGTATGTTTTTACCTACTTGGTAGCAACATTTTTGTTCTGATGATGTTCCTAATCTATTTGGTTGTGTGTGTGTGTGTGTATGTATTCGTGTTATTTTCCTACTTTTATTTTGTAATACCTTTGCAGAGCTTATGTGATGGTTCCCTTTTTCCCTTTTCTTCACTTTGTTTTAAGAATTTAGTTCTCCCTCGTGTTAATGAGAATCCAAGCTGGCATGTGTGTTGAACATATTTCAATTACTGTGTATTACATATGTTATTTTAACCCATACTTCTCATCTGAAGCTCAGAGTATTAATAGTGAACTAAGCACAGTGCAGAATTCATCCCACAGCACCTTCCTACTTCACCAACAAATTGTTTAGTGCAAAAATTGTGCATGAGGTTTATCTCTTGATTCTGGAACCATTGCTTCTTTAAAATCTAAACTAGGGTCTGTCCTAAAAAAAGAAGCCCTGTATGTCTGTATTACATTGGAAAAGAGTGTTCTTGAGTCACTTTTTTAAGATCTGCAACTGGAGGCAACTTATTTATACAGTGTCCTGAATATCACTTCATTGATTTTAGAAACATTTCATTTTGTTTAGCAGTTCTATGTTTTATATAGTCCTGATTTAATTGAATATACAGCCCTGTTTTCTATTCTCCTTACTGCCTTGGATATGAGAGTGAAAGCCAAAAACAGCTGAAAGTCCATTCTCTAGAACTTACTTTTTAATAACATAATCTTGGTTGCTGAAAGTTCTCTTTTTCAGATGGAATGTTTGATTGTGCACATTTGGGGGAATCTGGAGAGATTTAGGTGAGGTGGCAGAAAGCCCACTTTCAAGTTGCTCAATCCAAAAGATGCCAGAAAAAAGAAGAAAAAGCAAACAAAACAAAAAGACAAAAATCTAAATAGTCTAGAGATCATGTGTAACTCCTGGTATTTGCATACCATCTTGTTTCTTATATGTGTCTCTCATTTGCTCTTTCAAATAAAATACTGTACAGTGACCAAGACATGTTTTACTATTTCCATTTATTATATTAATATCTCTCATTTATTAAAAGAAACCAAACTTCAGAGAGCTTGAGTTGCCTGATGTAATTTATTGCTGATGACATTAATGATACTTTTTTGAAAATCAAAAGTGACAGTTAAAAGAATAATATTTAAATATTCATGATTAACTATTAAAAGACAATGAAATTTGAATGTGCAACTACTCAGCAAAACAACTTTTCCAGGAAAAGTAGGGAAGTAAATGTGATAGTTTTGTGTGTCAACTTGGCTTGGCTATAGCACCCAGTTATTTAATCAAATACTAGTCGGGTGTTGCTGTGAATGTATTTTGTAAATATGATTAACATCTATTATCAGTTGAATTTAAGTTAAAAAACAAAATTATCCTCATCCATTCAGTGGAAGGCCTGAAGAGTAAATATACAGCATCATAAAGAAGAAGGAATTCTGCCTCATGACTGCAGCATGAACACCTGTCTGTGTTTCCAGCCTGGTCGACAGATTTTAGACTTGCTAGTTCCCACAATCTTGTGAGATAATTCCTTAACATAAAAGAAATATACCTCTAGTTCTCCTTCTATCTCTCTCTATACTGTATATGTATATATACAGTATACACATATGTATACATATATGTATACTGTATATGTATATATACTATACATGTATGTATATTAGATAATGTATATCTCCTTATATATTATATATGTGTATATATGTATACAGATATATATATATGCACATATATAATATAAATGTGTGTGTGTTTATATATATAATTGGTTCTAGTTCTCTGGAGAACCTTGACTAACACAATAAGATATATTCATACTAAGGTGGTTATAAGAGAATTCCACAGGATGAATGCCTGAGAAACTTGTGCCACTGGGACTCTGGTCCTGTTACACATGAGCTCTGCACTCAACCAAAAAGATCCTCCAGGCCACCATGATTACAATTAAAAAAAAAACCTCCCATAGGAACATGTTTATATTTTGAAGAATTGGGAATAAAGAATTATTATCTTACATGGTAAGAATCTCTAACAATAGAGACATCAGAGGTATAGAAATAAATTATGATGAGACAGTATATAGATTAAACTGAAAGTCAAGGATAATCTAGGAATATCAGATAACTGCCCACATTTAATGACTAAATGAGCAAATATGACAAAGTCAGAATTTTTTAAAATTAGGCATGTCAAATGTATTATATAAAGGAGAAATTGAATGTAATACTTATATGATAAGGATAATTATATTATGAATGTATAGAATCAGTTAATTTTATAACAATAATTAATAATTACTGGTCCAAATCTTTGCCTTTCCCGGGTAGCTCTGGAACTGGTAGAGCTGAAGTGGAGAAATCAGGCAAGTGTTGAACCTACATGTTAAGACACTGTTCAGGTGAGTCTTAGAAAAGCCCTAAAATGAGTGAAACCAAATACGTTACCCCAGGTAACTAAGAAGTAGTTGACATAGTTTAGCAGGATTAACACATAGACAAAGGAACCTTATTCCAAATTGTCAGGCGAAGATGGAGTGAAATGCAGCATGGACATTGCAATTTTCTCAGGGCTTAGTTAGTATTTAGAAAATGCACAGATCCATAAACTCACAGGAGATCCTGAGACATCCAAGACTCTAAGTATCATCATTTGAAGATTATGATGAGCATTTTGAGTGACTCCAAACTTTATATAAGAAACCTAAAGTTAATTACAAAGTGACATTAGAACCAAAAACAAATGTGATGTGAATAAATTTTCTTTATAAATAGTGATGGCATTCTTCATTTACTTTTGTATTTTTTCAAAAAGCATTAAACTCATGAGAGCTGTTTTAAGCTGAAAAAAATAATTTTAGTTTCAAATTAGAAAATTTGAATTTTTGCAGAGAATATTATAACCCAGTTTTGTTCAACCGTAAGGCAATATACTTTTGGACTTTTCTGACTAATATAAGATAATGAAAACTGTGGATATTTCCAGTTAAGTTGAAGTGTCGGGAAAATCTAATTCTTCTTTGGGATTCTTTGCTGATTTTCTTATTGAAGTGTTATTTGTTTTTTGCTACTGACTTACCACAGCATGGCACCTTCTAGCCTGAGGAGGTTAAGTAAGACAATCGTTCTTTAAGATTCATTTTTAAGTTTGAGATACACATCAGTGGATTTCAAATTCTGCAAGAGAAGGTCTCATAAGGTTTAAAGTAGAGGAAGATTATTGTTTCAGGAAAAAATTCGATCACCTGGAATTTTATTTTAAAAATTAGACTTCTAGATTCAGAAGCTGTTGGGGGTAAGGGAAGAATACATTATTAACAACAAAGGTATCAGATATTGCTCCTGCTGAGGACATAGTCCTATAGTTTCTCATCCAAAGCTTGTTAATTGACTGAATCTTGTTACAGAGGGGAGAATTTGTGGTGTATTGTCACCACAGGACATTGATAAATCCTAACTATTCACTTAAGCACACATAAAAGAATCAAAATGTGGAATTTCTTCTAAAAAGACCTCAGATAGTACACTTCATCTTAGCCCTGGTTCACTGATCTTAAGGGAAGCCTCAAGACTCATGTTCTCAGCTGGTTTTCTGTTAGTTTCTAGAAATGATATTTTGATAGAGACCTAGATTTGTCTTCACTTGAACATCTTTAAAAAAATTAACCAACAGTGATTTCAGCTTGAAAGGCTAAAATCATGAGTATTCTGAATTACAAAAAAGTTTTCTAAAACAAACCAAAGATTTATAGAGTTTGAATTATTACCACTAATGTCACAATTATTGCATTCATGTGTAAAAGTTCTTTCAGGCCAGGCTCAGTGAGATGGATTGTCAGTTTCAGTTCTCATCATAGTCCTAAATATTTAGGTGCAGTACTGTTATCATCTCCATCTTATGGATGAAAAAATGAAGAACCAAAGAAGTTAACCAGCAAAAGTTTGTAGAACTGGGTAGTGGAGTTAAGCGAACTCAATTTATGTATCACGAAAGATAGAATTTGAAAATATGTCTGACTGCTGATTAAGAGCATTATGATATATTTCCAATTTTTAGAAAGACAAGCTAAATGTATCTTTTACCTGAAGATCTTTCTTCACTTATAGAAAAATTCATAATGTCTTGCCCAGTAATTTCCACTCCTCTGTACTCTTGTTGCAGGTGGGATTGTCTGATACTTATTTTTCTAGGCTCCCATATGTTTACATGCTTTAGGACACCCGATTGTTTCTGCTGGATAATTGAAGAAAGTTAATTTCGTAGAAACACTTGTCTACTATGCACATAGTATATGTTGGGCTTTCCTAACTCTGGCTTCACCCCTAAATACTCATTCATCCCAATGTGTGAGTGTGTAGCCACATAAAATTAGATAATCTATTTGAAATATATTTCCTTGGCTTTAAACTAGGGATACTAATAGAACCTCCATACAAGTTTGTCATGTGGATCCCATGAGAAAATAAATGTAAAGTGCTCAGATCAGTGACTGAAATATACTAACTAGGTGCAGTATCAGCAACATTAGAAAAAGCAAGGGTAGCAGTGGTGGTGGTAATAGACATGGTGGTAGTTGCAGATAAAGTATCTGCTTTAGTATAGTATTTTTGGTTTCTAATTTTAAAAGATAAAAAAAGATCATGGAGCAAAAGTGAAAAGAGGGATAAAGTATTTTATTTTGTTTTTCTTATTTAAAGGGAATAGAGAACACAAATGTAGTTTACTGTAAATTTCTCATTGTTTGATAATCTTATTCAATCTGTTTCCCTGGGGTGCCCTCAGGTACAGAAGTAAAGAAGGATTTTAAACTACTTAAAAATAGGGGTTAGGAATTGAGAGAAGGACTGTTCAAAACCAAGATTTGGTTGTGAAAGAAAGTAAAAAACAATATTGCTGTTCAACCTCTATTCAGGTGAATATAGTGATAACAAGGGGATGGTTTTAAGTTAATGTGTTCCCAGTGGAGTTACACTGTTGAGTAGCATGTCATATAACAATTTTCAATTTTGAAAGTGCTTTATTTATATATTATCTCTTTTATTCTTTGCAACAACAGCTGAGAGTCTCAGCAAAGATTGTATAATCATTTTACAGCAGAAAATTCAGGCTTAAAGCATTGAGTCATTTACTCAATATCAAAGAGGCAAAACATACCTGACTAGTGCTATAAAATTTTTATCCTAATGCACACTGATTTTTTTTCTATATTGTTTTATACTCGTCCACTCATATTATAAGATTACGTGATTAAAGAATACTGCCTCATACCTTTTCTACAGTAGACCAGTTCTTAACCTGAAAAAAGATAGGATAAATGCAAAAATACATCTAAGGTGACATCATCACTAGATATTAAAAGCTCTATTTTTACTTTCCTGAGAAGTGGTGAGTGTTTTCCAACTCTCACATGTTTCTGGTTCCTAAAAATGTAACCTAATGTATATCAATGGCTTAAATAGATTTCAAATATATTTAATTTTTTTATTAATATAAAAATATAAGTATAATTAAATAGATTTCAAAAAGAAGTCAAATGCATCTTTACAAATCATTATCATGTATCTTGTTTCTTAGACTCTATCAATAAAGGACCTACTGAAAGATGAAGTACAAAAAACCTGACTTTCAATGACTAATTAGCATACAATTTTAACTTTAAAATATCAATTGTGTATGTGTGTGTATGAATGTATATAAATAAACTTTTTATAGTCAGAATTTTTTCATTTTCCTTTTGAGTCAATTTGTTTTTCAATTAAAAAGAGTTTATTTTTGGTACTATCAGAAGTATCGCTAGAATATACAATACAGAACTTCTATTATAAGCATGATAGACATATCTATATGAAATCATCTGTGAATCTAATCAAAGTATTAATCTTCAAATCTAATTAAAATTTTAAACATTCTACAGCCTTCTTATATTTTCTTTCTTTGTACGTGGTAATGGGGAGCCAAAATGTGTACCCTGATTTGGGAGTGTCACACATTTTAAGAAACCAATGTGACTGTATTTTCTTCTGGAAAAAAATAATTCTAATACTGAAAGAGTGTTGTTAATTGAAAAGTTAATCCATGTAACTAATCCCAGAAACTACCTGGCAGATCCATGGCTATTTCTAAAAGACTTCAACCATTGTTTAATGCTTCCTTATGTGAGTTTTGATAAATTATTAGGTAATATATCTGCTGACACTGAAAGTGAAGAAGTTGCCTTTTCCTGTGCTATATTTTCTTCAGTCATGGTAAGAACTTGTTGCTTAAAGTGTCAACATTTACCACACACTGATTAGAAAAGGTGTTTCTCAATTTTAGTTGCATCCTTGTGACTGCCAAAAATATGAAATAATATAAATTCTACAGTCATATTTCCAAACATTTCTTGATTATTTTTTCGTTGTCATATAAAACCATAAGAACAATAGATTTTAAAAATGATCTACAGCCCTGTCATCAATTGAATCAACTTGACAACTGTTTTTGTTTCAATCTTATTCAAAAGAATAAGAAATTAAATAGCTATAATTATAAAGAGCTCGTTAATACTTTTCTACATTTTTGATCTTTTGAACAATTCAGTTCTCGAAAGATAGAAGAATCTTTTAAAAACAAATTCCAGTGAAATAGTAAAATTAACATTGTTTTGGGTTTATATGTGGTTAATGTTTAATAATAAAATAAATCTAATTGGACCCTAGCCTGTTTCCTTCATTTGATTTTTGCCTATATTCTGGCATGATGTGCCATGCAGAAATATAAGGCTTTTTCATTTCAAAATAAAAATATAATTAAGCATCACTGCTCAGTAAAAGAAAAGCTGTAACTCCAGCCATACCTATAGTGGCAATAAAATAAGCAGTTAGAATACAAATGCATCCATTTTATAGCAAAATAAAATAAGGATTCTCAAGTGACCATGCAGCAGTGGTGAGCTGTATATCTCAACTAGCATTTCAGCAGGTCAATCAATCATTAATTAATTTTTTTATCTTAACTGAGGAGCCCTTTTCTGTTGACAGACATCTCGGGAGATTCTATTTTCAATTTGACAGAATGCCAAGTATCCAAATAGATTGTTTATCTGAATTCAGTACTCAGAGGCTTCTGTCTGAGATGCAGAATGCATTTTTAACATCATAGTTAGTAAGAGTATGTTGTCCCACTTTAAAAATGTTTGTTGCCTAGGCAGTCAAGTATTTTCAATCAAAGTTAACCTAGAACATTAATTATTTTAGTATGTGTTTTTTACTAAATTTGTCCAGGCTTTTATTTCTTCCTCATGAGCCACCAAATGCTAACGCAGAGATTTAAGTATCATGTATAACATACTTACCCAAGCCTCCAGAATCTGAAGTTATTCTACAAATCCTTTAGCAATCAGAGTCTCCATGAAATTATCTTAGTTTCTTTCCTTTTTTTGAAGTATTCTTGTTCTGAGTTCCCATAGGTTTAAAAATTATTTTCTAACTAATACACATTAAGAAATGATAGACAGATCAGTGATTAAGAGCATAAAATTTGGAGATATATCTGTGCTGGGATCCTAGTTCTTCTACTGCCTGGATAGATAAACTCAGGCTATTGTGGCAGATACTATTAATCTCTACTGATATGTAGTTCTCTTCTTCTCCTAGGCAATAGCAGAAGATTGTGATTCTTATCCCCTTGAAGATAAGAATGAACTTGAACCTATCTTTGACTAATGAAACATGAGTAGACATGATGTGTATTACTTTTTAGTGGGAACCTTTTAGAGCCAGTGGTTGATTCTTTAGGAGCCCACATGCTTTGGGCTACAGGCTTTGGAATCTCCCTTAGCCTGAATAATTGGATTGCCATAATGAGGACAACTGCCCTGTAGAATCACCAGAACCTGTAGCTTTCTTTAAATAAGCAAGATAATATTTATTGTACTAAGACACTTGGATTTCAGTGTTATTTGTTATCACAGCATAGCCTTCTCTGACCTGAAAGATACTGTAGGCTACTAAAACTTTCTAGTCTTCATTTTCTCATCTGTAAAATGATGATAAAAAGACTTAACCCTCAAAGGGCTAGTGTGGCTATTAATTTAAACATTTATATTTCAAATACTTAAGAAAATTGTTTTATAAAGCAGTCAAGAGTAGCTACCATTCTATCATTATGTATCATTTTATAGATAGATAGATAGATAGAGATGATAGATAGATAACTTTAAGATGAAGGCTCTATTATCATGCCTGTTAATATTCTGAGTATTAAAAATGCCCTCATCTTTCTGAGCTCTATTTTGAATGATCTACCACTTAGGAGCTATCTCTGTCTTGTTCCTAGAATTTCTGAAATATTCTTCAGCCTGATTGACACTTTCAGTATGTTTAAATAAATAAAATTTTGTTTAGCCCAGTGGAAATATTGATTGATCCATTCATTCACTAACTAAATAAATGTAATTGAAAAAAAATATGTGCAAATTAGTTCCAGGTGCATTAATAGTTTCAGGTGCATTGTCAAGTTTACTTTTACCATTGAAGAAATTTTCTACTATGTTGCCTCAGTTTCTCCACATAAAAAAATAAGGGCAGTAATAAGATTTAGCTTCTGCCTATTTCCTGAGTAACTCATGATAATTTATATTATTGTAGATAGTGCTAGTAAGTGAGGATAAGAGTGAAAGGAAAAAATCTACTGCTATTATGAGAGAAAAGTGACTGTAAGAAAGAGACTATTAGGAGGAAATGGATACATCTGATGGTGATGTTCTAGGAAATCACAGTACTCCCAAAATATAGTATTGCCAGAGAGGAGTGGGCAAAAATATCATGGTAAATCGAAGGAAAGGAAATTTAAGAATGGTACATGACCTGTCGGAGCAACATGTGTTTGTTTTGGATCCACATGCTTTTTATTTAACTATATATTCTTCCAGCTCTGAATTTATACATAAAAGATTTGGTCAAAATAAATTTAACACGTATGTGAAAATTAAAATATAATAATATGCTCCACATCATAAACATAAATGAGAAGCAGAGTGTGGTTGGATGAAGAGAGGAAAAAAAGTAAGAGAGATGAAAAATGAAAAATGTAAGATAAGTGTCCAAAAAACAGAATCATATAAGACAAAATGGACAAGAGCAGTGATTAGATAGATAGATGATAGATAGATAGATGATAGATAGATAGATAGATAGATAGATAGATAGATAGACAGACAGATAGATAAACTGATTTAGACCTTAGTTGTATCACTATTTTCACAATAATACTAAATAATATACTACTTCAAAACTCAGTCTTATATTAGCATTATTTCCATACTCACAAATATTTTTTGCTGGGGAAGCTCTGTTTCAAATTGCAAGTTTAAAAGTCTGCTAGAGTTGACAGATAAGGCTGGCTTATCCGGGTTTGGCACAAGGCTGTGGGTTTAGTACAATCTGCTTTAATATTAATCACTTTAAATTCAAAGCTACTGAAGTCATGATTTTTGTTGTTGTTGTTGTTAAGAAGATATTGCCGGCTCCCACAGGGGTAAATGGTAACACATAATGCCTCTTACTAAGGCCATGGCTGAGAACTAACACATCACATTTTTCTTTTTCCTTTTTTTTTTTTTTTTTTTTTTTTTTAGACAGAGTCTAGCTCTGACACCCAGGCTGGAATGCAGTGGCGGGATCTCAGCTCACTGCAACCTCTGCCTCCCGGGTTCATGCCATTCATCTGCCTCAGCCTCCTGAGTAGCTGGGACTACAGGCGCTCGTCACCATACCTGGCTAATTTTTGTATTTTTAGTAGAGACGGGGTTTCACCGTGTTAGCCAGGATGGCTTTGATCTCCTGACCTCGTGATCCACATTCCATTGGTTGTCAAAGGAAAGTCATATGGCTAAGACCAGCATCATTGAGTTAAGGATATGTCCTTCTTTTATGTAAGTTAGGGGCCAGTGTGAATATTTGCTGAGCAGTAATATAAACTACCGTATGAGGCAAAACTATTATTTAAATGTGCCACCATATGTACCTGAGCATACATTCAATTTGACTCAAAAGAAAAAGAAAACTGGACAGGATTACAAACTATAGGAATAGAATTCACTTCAGACTCACAGTAGATAACACAATGTCACAACTATTCATTCTTGAATACATAATAAGTGTTGATGCTGGATCCTGGCAGTTTTTTGTTTGTTTGTTTGTTTTTGTTTTTGTTTTTGACAGAGTTTTGCTCTGTTGCCCAGGCAGGAGTGTAGTGGTGTGGTCTTGGCTCACTGCAACCTCCGCCTCCCGGGTTCAAGTGTTTCTCCTGCCTCAGCCTCCTGAGTAGCTGGGATTACAGGCACCTGCCACCACGTCTGGCTAATTTTTTGTATTTATAGTAGAGACAAGGTTTCACCATGTTGGCCAGGCTGGTCCCGAACTCTTGACCTCGTGATCTGCCTGCCTCGGCCTCCCAAAGTGCTGGGACTACAGGCATGAGCCACTGTGCCTGGCTGCTCCTGGCAGCTTTTAAGCAACAATCCTGCCTTTTTCCCTTTGCCCCACTTCTGGACAAGGTGATAAGGAACCCCAGATATTCCATCCATGGTACCAGGAGAAAATTAAAATGTTTACCCCAGTTCCTCTTCCTAACTACCATTAAAAACCTGAGGGCCTTCCTCACTCAGCTATTTTTTAATCAACTTGGAAAGCCTACCCTGCTGGCCTTTGAAAGGCTCACTGTGGCATTTTTGCACCGTCTTGGTGCATCTGTGACATCCATCATGATATTGAAGCCAAGTTTTAGATGGAGATCCCTTCTCTATCTACTGTTATATTATAACTAGTGGTTTTTCAAAGTACAGTCCAAAGACTATTTGAAAATTTGTTAAAAATTCAGATTCTTGATCCCTACATCAAACTAAATGAATCTGAACTCTGGATTATAAACAAGCTCCATCAGTAATTTTAACACAAAATAAAGTTAGAAAAATATTGGTGAACAACTGCATTAAGGTAAATCTTCTCATCTGTTCTATTTCAATCTTTTTTGTTGATCACATAAAAGTTGGAAGAAAGCCTTTGTGAAAAGTCTTGCCCTTTTTCTCAGTACAGGAAGCATAATGATGATTTCAAATGATGAACGACACTAGTTCTACTTACCTCTTTGTAGTAGCATTTATAACAATTATACTTAATAACTACTCATAAAATGTATATTCAAAACAAGTTGTCTTCAATAGAGTTTAACCTCCATGAGGGAAGAAATCACGTTTTTCTTGTTCACTACAGAATTTCTGTGTCCATCATAGTGCCTGGTATATAGTAGTTCACTTAATATGTACTAACTGAAAGAAAAAACAGAAAGAAGGAAAAAATGTAAGAGCATGAGAAAGAAAGAGAAAGAAAAGAAGGAAAGAGGGAAGGAAGAAAGAAAGGAAGGAAAGAAGAAAGGAAGGGAGGGAAGGGGGAAGGAAGAAAATAAGGAAGGAAGGAAGGAAAGGAGGGACGGATGGAGGGAGGGAAGGAGGTGGGGAAGGGGGAGAAAGAAGAAAGAACAGAAAGACAAGATTAGATGGTTTAAGATTTTATCTACTTAACAAAAATAGGTATAAATACATTCAGTCTTTTTCAGTAGAGGCTAATATTTTGAATAGTAGTTTTGATAAGTAAGCCTACACTGCGTTGGTATTGCTGCTGTGTTTGTATCACCTTGACTTTCATTTTCGATACTCTTTCACTTATTCAGAATAGTGTCCTTGTGTTGATGAGTCACACAAATTTCCTTCAAATTTCAGCATATAGGTCACTTCCTAAAAGTGGCCAGCCTTGGCACTGTAACTTAAAGTAGCTATCGAGGCATGCCGTATATCACTCTGTTTTACTTCTCTATATTGCAGTTATTGCTTTATCAGAATTTCTCCATACTTGTTTATTTACTCTCCATCACTCCCTATTCTTCCCGCTCACCACTAATGTAAGTTTCATAAGAGAGCAGAGGCTATCGTTATTTATTTCTCTATCCCTAGCACCAAAAACAGTACCTGGAGCTCTAAGTTAATATTAATATTGAGGGAATGAATGAATCAATGAGGCAAAATAGATAGTTTGTGTTTTATTATTTCAGTGTAGATTCTTGAAACTAATACCAAGAAACATCAGCTTGATGGGACTTTATAAGAGCTAAATTATTTGAACAAGACAAGTACTTTTGAGTTTCAAATAGGCTAAGAAACTAAAGGACCTCAAGATCTGAAATTAATTGTAAAGCCCATGTTGATGAGAAGAATGCATGATAAATGAAGTTTCTATAACCCATAATAAAATAAAATTTAACCAGCTGGAAAGAAGAGATAGCCATCAAGTGGAAAATGACCAGATGATAGATCATTAGGGCCCTGATGCCTGCAGCTGACCCTGGAAGGCCCAAGATCAGCATCAAGGACCACACAGCCTCCAACCAAAAAACACCTTAAGTAACCCATACTTATAGTTTAATGGGAGTCGAGTAGAATGAGCTTCTAGAGATCACCCAGTTCTTTTTCAAAGGAAATATATATATATGTGTGTGTGTGTGTGTGTGTGTGTGTGTGTGTATATAAATGTATATGTGTGTGTATATATATATAAATGTATATGTATATATAGGTGCCTAGGCATGAATAGCAGCCAACATCATATGCATATAAAGATCATCCAATGTATTTTCCTGTAGCAGTGACACATATCTATTCCCCCACATGTTTAGTTTCATCCAGAATTCTCATTTCAACCTCTTCTATTTCAATGACCCAGGCAAATATACGTGCCGTAATACTAATGCTGATGATTAGACACTTTAGGGGAGGGGCTTTGTATCATTAATTAGGACTTAATTAAACCACTGTAAGATCTTCACCAAAGTTTGAAAAACAGCAAAACATCACTTCTACCCTTTGTGCATGTATACAAATTAGAGAAATAATAGAAGTAGATCTGATTGATTATACCAAAGCATTTCATACTGTCACTGCTAGATGCTAGCATTTGAACACACAGAAGTCCTAAGGAAAGAGGTTTTTGATTTTAGCTTTTTTGGCAAAAACTGGCAGAGCAAAAGCATATAAACTTGCCAAGAGGTATGGAGTCACTTGAAATTTAGTACAATAAACATCACTGAAGGAAAGACTACATGACTTGTGGAATCAGTGAAAGAATGGGGAAAGAAAAAAGTAGCATACGATAAAAAAAATTAAAGAAACAACAAACAAAAACACAGGAAAATGCAGAACAGAACAAACAGGTTTAATGTTTACTGATGCAAAGGAAATAAGCACACCATAAAGTTTATTTTGCTAAGAGCAGTGCGATCTACATCAAAGGTTGTTATAGTTAATATTTTCAGTGGTCAAATATTAGGAATTTAAGTTGAGTTCCTTTGAAACCAACTGTGTAGCAATAAGGGACTTTTCTTGAGAACTTACTTATGCCATTAATTATACTACCATCTAATATGATATTTTTTGTGTGTGATAATATAACTAAATTCAAAAAGGGAGTAAACATTAGGCAAATTCACTAAAATAAATATTGGTAAGCAAATGAATATTCAACCTCTGCCTTAAACTTGAAAAGATGTTGATGGGCCTATCATGCCTCTTTGAATCAATAAATATCTAGATCATATGCAAAATGGCGCTATGCTTCTGACATTCTGGTGATAATTATTTTGCCAGCAAAATAGAATTGAATCTTAATAACAGCCATCTTTTTAGAAACTTCAGCATTTTTTTCCAAATATTAATTTTATGAATGGAATTAAACCTAGAATTCAATGCACTCCATTTATTCTAATATAAATCCCAAATTGGGTTATTTGAAAACATCTCGAATGTATCATTATAAGATTGTCTGGTATGTGAAGGTCACAATTAAATATTTTAAGGAATGATCAGTCTTATCACTTAGATTTGCTGATAACCAACTCCCTGATCTAACCCCTGGCACAGAAAACTCCAATGCCAGAAAAATAAGAAAACGCTGAGAAACCTTTGCTTGAACTACTTAGCAGATCTCATTAGGCAACTCTCAAATTCCTCCCAGCTCACAGGGTTAGAAAATTTAACTCTATTCATGGAAATTTCTAATTTCAGCACAGATTAAGTAATTTTTGGCACATGTTGGTTTTTCCTTGGCAACACACTGAAAAAATTCAAGCCCAAAGCTCAGTTCACTTTTTCTCAGTTGCCTCTATGTCTCTTCAGCAATCTCAGCAGCAACAGATTGGCATATATTTCTACCCTATTTAACTCTTGTTTCTATTACCAATACCTCTTAGTTTCATATTTAACTTTTTTGTTTATTTCCTGCCTTATTCCAATAACAAGACTTAGAAAATATTAACAAAAAAAGCAACTTATGTTTCAAATATGGAGCACAAATGATCACATTTCTCAAAAGACATTCAGAAATCATTTTGCATATAATGGAATTTTGCATAAGGGAGTTCATGATTAGAAGATGATTTATGTATTTAAGGAGAATTTCTAGATCAGTGCAGAAGCAGAGATTCATAATAAAAGTTCTGAAATTAGAAAGTAGCATTCCATATCAATTCAGTATACTATAAATAAATATACACTTGATACTTATGCATGGATTTGAACTGCACAGGTTTACTTATGTGTGGATTTCCTTCTGCCTCTGCCACCCCTGAGACAGCAAGAACAACACCTCCTCTTTCTCCTCCTCTCCAGCCTGCTTGACGTGAAGGCAATGAGGATAAAGATCCTTTTATAGTGACCCACTTCCACTTAATGAACACTAAATATATTTTCTCTTCCTTATGGTTCTCTTAATAACATTTTCTTTGCTCTAGCTTACTGTATTGTAAGAATACAATATATAACACGCATAACATATAATACAAAATACGTGTTAATTGATGTTATTGGTAAGCTTCGTAGTTAACAGTTGGCTCTTAGTTGTTAAATTTTTTTGGGAGTCTGAATTTATGCAGGGACTTTCAACTGCACAGGGGAGTCAGTGCCCCTAACACCCTCGTTATTCAAGAGTAAACTGTATATGATAAAGAAGAGGATTTTCAGAACCTGGAAAAAAGGAAAGTAAAACTTGGCCAGATAATCAAATATTCTCTTCATGATAGTAAGTGCTTATACAAGTTACTTAAATATAAATATTTTATGACTTACATAAAAATCCTAAGATAGTCTTTGTTGTTACTAAGTGTATTTATAGTGAACTGTGTAGAAAAAAAACATTTCATTGATATTACTGTTTCAGTCACTTCTAATTTTGTTTAGTATATATAAAGTTCCAAATTAAAATATAGCATTCTCCCCCACTGTCTTCCATAATTACAGATATATTTATTATCTGGATGGATCTTGCCTGATTAATGCAATTGTGCACAGTACCTAGGAAAAGCTAACTAGGTAAGCTGAACAATGGTGATTTAAATAAATCCATATAAACGTACTAACCTCCAAAAGTATATACTGTATTATAAGTTGACTGTTTAAAAGCTGTAATAACCTATTGGCATTTTTTCTCTCTCAGCAGATGGTGAGCTATTTTAGAAAAGGGCTGATGTGAGTTGATTATAGTGTGTTTGTGTGCATCACCACTTAGAATAGTATCCCATGTGTAATGGTGCTCCATATATTTTTGTTAAAGAATTGAAAAAAAGAATTAAAATATATATTGTAATTCCTCAACTGCCAAGTAGCTTTAACATTGATAGAGCTCAAACCAAACAAGACAAATTTTGATGCTTAGGTATAATAAGATACATTTTGGCTCTTAATTTGCTTTGGTAGTACATAAATTGATTGCCATTTAAATGGAAAAATAATAGTTTCAAATATCAGTCTCTAGAGAAACAGATTTACAGAATTCTAACCAGGTGGAACTCTAAAGAAATGAGTTGAAATAGCTCCATGGTAGAAATATAATTAAAAACTAGTATTAACTTTTGTGTGTATCACACATTAGGGAACTCTAAGCAATAAGTATGTCAAAAATAAATAAGATCTAACATCCATTGAGATTAAAGTAATAAAAATCAACTTCATAAAAAGAGAAAAATGTATTAAATCTCTGACTATATTTACAAATAATTGTTATAAAGTATTATACATTTCATATTATAAAAATGTGGAAAACAAATGGAAAATGTATGCGAGATATTTATATCTTATCACAAATAAATCGCTCTTCAGTGCTTGAATACTCACTCATCTTGCATATTATGTGAATTACCTCAGCATCTGCATGGCAAAAATTACTGTGCTTTCAAATCCAAACAGCTAACGATTGAAAAAAGACTTTAAGAGCCACCATTTGAACATTCAATAATGTTTCGTTTGCCTTAACAGCTGATTCAGAATGCAACAGACTCTATGGAGTTGATTCAGGGTTAGAAATGTGTAACAGACATAGTGATTAGAGTAACTGCCAGGTCATTCCTGATCTGATCTCTATGTAGATATATTCTGAATTAAAGATGTGTTCAGAATAATATTCAAACTTGTTTTTGTTATATTAAATCTATCATTAGATATCTAGCAGTTTTGAGTTCTACATTTGCAGAAAAAATATTTTAAATGCAAAGCAAGTTTTTCAAACATAATATGCTCTTACAATTCAGTAATAATTCCACAAATAATCCAATAAAAATGGACACAATATTTTAATAGTCACCTCATAAAACATGATATACAAATGACTAGTAAGCACATGAAAAGATGTTAAATATCATTAGTTTTCAGGAAAATATTAATTAAAGCTACAACGCAATGCTTTTAGAAACCTATTAGAAGAGCCATTAGTAAAAAGACTAACAATGACCCATTAGACAAGGATGTAAAACAACTGGAATTCTCATAAATTGCTCCTATAAATTTAAAATAGCATAACCATTTTGGAAAAAATACTGTGGCAGTTTTTAAATAAAATTTAACATACACTTACAACCCAGAAATACCAGTTCTCAGTATTCAAAATAAATGAAAACATGCTCATGTAAAGATGTATATACAAGTGTTGATAACGCCTTTACTCAATAGCCCAAACTTGAAGTAAGTAAAATTTCCATCAAGAGGTAAATAGATTTTGTTAAAAACACATGGTGTAATTATACACACTATTCACTAGTGAATACACTACAATGAAACACTATTCACTAGTGAAAAAGAATGAACTACTCTGTGCTTTTAAATACATTATGCTGACAGCAAGCAGCTAGTTACAATAGAAGACATAACATATGAGTCTTGTAGAAAAGGTGGAATTAATCTCTTCATGGTGTCAAAACAGATTTCTTTAGGACGGATGGCTGATTTTTTGGGAAGGGAATTTCTTGGGATACTGGGAAATGTTCTACACTTTAATTGTAGTGGTGATTCCACTGGCATATACATTTGTCAAAACTCAACAAAATGTACACTTAAAGTGGAAGAATTTTATCTTACATAAATTATTTTTCAAGAAAGTTTTTAAAAAATTATGCTATTTTTTGTGAAATAACAAGTGTTACTATAACAATGTAACAAATATCACATTTATAATTTGCCAAAGGACATAGCTGAATGTATACATTAAGGTAAAAATGACAATTTAAAATAAAAACGATAATAATGCTAAGAACATTCTTGAAAACTTCCCATGAGAAGTAAAGTAAAAACATTTTGGTGTGTGTACAATACTAATGACAATAAATGCATTAGGACATTAACTTTGACCAGATAAAAAAACTAAGGAATGAAAGGTTTATAACTGAAAAATAAGAATTTTACTTACCTCCTTATATTTGCAGAGATATTTAGTGTTGCATCAGGATATAAATCCAGATCACTCTGAATTCAAAGCCCAATGTCTTAATCACAGTTTACATGCCCGGCTTTGGCGAACTTATCTTTGCTCTGAAGTCAAAGTATCAGCCATCTCTGCACAGATGTTCATAAGTTCATATCCTAGACATCCTTAAATTCCTGACCATTTAAGTGGAGAAATGCCACAGAAAACGTGTCTTCTATAAGATTCAGAGTAGCAACGATTTTCACCAGCTTTCTCCTTGAAGAGTTGTCATATATATTTCCAGTGAATCTTAAACTCTTTAAATTCTGTAATAGTTTGTTCACTCCCCAAATTTCTAGCTTGTAAGGTATTTCAGGAGAATGAATCAAAAACTGGATGTTATCTATTTTGTTTCTCTTTTGTACAGCTAAAAGAGAACTAAGAATTTTTTGAAAGAAACAATTTTTTAAATTAAGGCAAAGAGAATGACTGATTTTTTTTAAAAACAAATCTATTTTATAATATATAAAATGGAAGCATATAACTGACAGAAACACAAATACCACATTTCCCATTAGGGAATTCTTTCCAATGAGAACCATTATCCTTTTTTTTCCCTTTTATTCATCTCTTTCTGCTTTCATTGCTCACAGTTGGGAAAGTTCCAGTCACTGGATTTTATTTTCTTGAATGAAATTCAACTCTCAGTTGGTAAGGCACTTAACTGTCCAGGTATAAGTCCAGAACTGAGAAAGGTTAAAGGTTATTTCCTCAGCCCTAAACTGTGTAGAACATTCAACAACAGTTTAAAGTTCTTTGAATAAATTTTAAAGCACCTTGGAAAACAGCCCCAAGAGTGTCTTTAATTACATTGTGGAGGCCTAAAATGTCTAACCTTTACTACTTGTTCAGCCAACATTTAAAATGATAGAAACTGAGTTAATAAAAAAAAAATCCTGTCTAGACTATTACAGCTACTTCTTTTGATATGACTCCAAGCTTTCAAGCAGAACATAAAGTCTTCACCAATTATGAGGTCATCACACTAGTGAGTAATGTTGGCACAAACATATGTTTAAATTTTAATTTATACATTTTCCCTTACAGAAGAACTTCCTGTGATGTTTGTAAACTAAATCCAACTATCAGCCATTTACAGAAAAAGTAAAGAAATTATTTGTATATACATTGTAATGTCCCAAATCTCTTTAAAACTATGTGAATGACTCAAAGAATGTGAACTTCAGAGACAACTAACTCCAAAGACTGCTCCCTCTACTTCCTTGTTCTCTTGGTTCCTGGGACCTAATGCTATGTCTGCTACACAGTAATTTATTAACAAAATACTTGTTGAATGAATGAATGAATGAATGAATGTGTTTTCCAAATAATTGGGCATTTACACATTTTAGCAACAATATTTTTCAATACTTTTGTCAAGCAATTTTCAAAGATGGAAGAAAGCATAAAATGTTTATGAGTGAGGCAAAAATGGCAGGCATGTAACCCTAGCTACTTGGGAAACTGAGGTGGGAGAATCACCTGATCTCAGGCATTTGAGACCAACCTGAGCAACACAGTAAGACCCTGTCTCCAAAAAATATATATGTTTAAGTAATTTGTGCAGGGGCACAAGAACATGCTTCTTATACAGCTTATAGAACCAGGAGCCAAAGAAGCCCCTTTTGGTTTGTTTTATAAATCACCAGCCTTAGGTATTTTTTGATAGCAACACAAATGGACTAAGACACATCAATCTATCAACCCATCTATTTTTTTTAATCTATTCACTGTTCAAAGCACATTTAGGTTGCTTCCGTGCCCTGGCTACTGTGAATAATGCTAAAATAAGCATGGGAGTGAGTGCAGGTATCTTTTCACAATCTTGTTTTCAATTCCTCTGGATATACACCCAGAAATTGATACAGGACAGATTTCTGGGTAACCTTGGACTGACCCAATTCTCTCACTTTATCCTTTGTAGTTCTCAAGAATAATTATTGGCCAGGCACAGTGGCTCGTGCCTGTAATCCCGTCATTTTGGGAGGCCGAGACAGGAGGATTGTTTTAGCCCAGGAGCTTGAGACCAACCTGAACAACAGAGTGAGACCCCTGTCTCAAAAAAATCAAAAAAGAACTCCAGAATATGTTTGGAATGCAGCATCCTGAGATAAGGAGGGGCTGACCAGAAGATCATGGGCTCTGCTAAGTAAGCTCTTAGAAACAGGATGTCCTTCAAAACATTAACCGAGTTTGTCATGTTACCCCAGGGGTATAAAATACAGAGCAGGCTGCTTTTCGGGGTTTCTTAGACACAGTGCAAGTGAGAATGCACAGACAAGATTCCATCTACTTAGGCCACTTTCCTGAGCCTTGGGGGTGCCACTTATCATGAATTCTAGGCTTCTGCTGAACCTCACTTCCTATGCATAATAAATCTGCTTCATGTGACTTGTTGTGTGGAACAGTGGTCTGTCTCACTGGACTCAGGCAAGTTGGCAACCAATGAGCAGTGAAGCTAAATCACAGTAGGATTTCTGAGTCATATCATAGTTATATTTTCAATTTTTTGAATAACTTCCATACTGTTTTCCATAGTGGATGTAATAATTCACATGCCCACCAAAAGAGTACAAGGGATCCATTTTCCCCATGTCCTTACTAATACTTGCTATCATTTGTCTTTTTTGTAATAGCCATGCTAACAGGTGTGAAGTGATATCTCCTTGTGGTTTTGATTTGCATTTCCCTGATGGCTGGAGACGCTGAACACCTTTTCATATGGCTGCTGGCCATGTGAATTTTTTCTTTTGAGAAGTATCTATTTAATTCTTTCTCCATTTTACAATCAGGTTATTTGCATTTTTGGTATTGAGTTGGACATATTTGAATATTAACCACTTATTGGACATATGGTTTACAAATACTTTTGATTCTGTAGATTGCTTTGTTGTTTTCTTGTTTTCTTTGCTGTGCAGAAGCTTCTTAGTTTGATGTACCCCACTTGTTCATTGTTGCTTTTGTTACCTGTGTTTTTGGTGTCATATCCAAAAAATTATTGCCAAGACCAATGTTAAGAAGGTTTTCCTCTATGTTTTTGTCTAGGAGTTTTATAGTTTCAAGCATTAAATTTATTTTTTAATGCATTTTGGGTTGATTTTGTGTCTGGTGTGAGATAGGAGTTTAGTTTTATTTTTGTATGCTCATATTCAGTTTTCCCTACATCATTTGTTGAAGAGACTATTATTGCCTTATTATGTCTTCTTGACACCTTTGTTAAAGTTCAATTTATCATAAATGTGTGGCTCTTTATTCTGTTCCATTAGTCTATATGTCTATTTTTATTAAAGAACCATAGTCTTTCAAATACTATAGCTTAGTAATATAATTTGAAGTCAGAAAGTGTGCTGCCTTGAGCCTTGTTCTTGTTCATGATTTATTTGGCTACTTGTGGCTTCATATAAATTTTAGAACATTTTTTTCTATTTCTATAAAATATGCTATGGAGATTTTGATGGAGATTGCATTGAATCTGTAGATTGTTTCAGGTAGTATGAATATTTTGACAATATTAATTCTTTTGATCCATAGACATGGGATAATTTTACTGTGTCTTTTAAAATTGCCTTAAATTAACGTTTTCTAATTTTCAGTGAACAGGTCTTTCATCATCTGGGCTAAGTTAATTTCTAACTATTTTATTTATTTACATGTATTGCTAATGTAATTGATAAGGTGACTTTTAAATAAAGAAGGTAATATTTCCGAATTATTTTAGCATAAGTGATTGTTGATGATAATACATGATGTGCATTTTCCTATGTTGTACAAACTCAGATATAATAACTACGTTTTTACTGCTTGCAAGTTAACTTACAAGTATAGTACCGTACTATGCTATGGAACTGCATAAGTTAGATAACATAGGTTTTGTTTGTTGAATGAATATTGGTAAAGAGACACGATTATTTTCCTATATATTATCCAGTAAGACTTACAATAATAAATGAATATGAATGACTGAGGCACTTGTCTTTACAGAAGAAGATGGTGTTGCAAACTGAGACAGAGTAAGGCCAAAAATAGTAAGTCTTAAAACTATGATATATACAGTCGGCTCTCGGTATTCCTGGATTCTGTACCCACAGACTTAATCAAACACAGATCAAAAATTTTCTATTAAAAAAAGAACAATACAACAATAAAAATAATCCCAGTAAAAACAATACAGTATAACAACTATTTATATAGCATTTGCGTTGTATATTAATTAGGTATTATCAGTAATTTAGAGATGATTTAAAGTATATGGGAGGATGTGTGTAGGTAATATGCAAATATTACACCATTTTATATCAGGGACTTGAGCATCCACAGATTTTGGTATCTGCCAGAGGTCCTGAATCTATAGATAGTAGCTCTTTAGAGTATGCCCTTTTGGAACATGACTTAAATCCAAACACGTTTAAAATGCTTGTCAAACCACTATATCTTGTTGACATTACCAGTAAATCAAACCTCACTTGGTGTCAACAGAGAAAAGCCAGGCTGACTTTTCACTTAAACAAAATAAAATGTTGGGCATCAACAGCTATCCATATTAAGCACTTTTATTTGTTGCTGACATAAAATAAAATAAATACTTAGGGATAAATAAAAACACATTCTAATTGGTTTTATCCTTCCTGCATATTTTCAATAAAAGAGATGCTGTCCTGAGACAATATCATTTGGTATTTTTGCTGAACTTTTCTTTTCTGCATATCTAGCACAATGCCTGACATAGGTAGGAATTCAATATTTTTCTGTTGTATGTAGAATATTGAGAAATGTTTAAGAAAACGTGCATAAGCTTGAAAAAAATGCTTATCTGCTTGAGCTTTCAGTATTACTGTGTATATTCAACCCATGAACCATGGTATTGAGTCTCTGAAAATGAAATATTATCACATAAAAGATCCATTCCAGAATTTTCAACCTTATTCTTAAAATAAAAATACGATTATAAATGTATTTGTGTCTCTGTTGCTCTCCAAAGTAAATCTCAGCAAAAATTGTAGCCTGGTATCAGGTAAGGAAAAGCGGACTAATAAAGATAAAGAACATGTACACTTTCACTAAGAATTTCAGAAATTCACTGTGGCAAATACTTGAAATGATAATAAATATTTAGCCAAAATAAATAGAGCAACGAAACAAACAGGTACATTCTGATTCACAGTGTTAGTAATACAAAAATAGCAGTCAATACTAAAACCTATGCAGATGAGTTGAAGGACACTGATTAGAAGAGGTATTAATAAGGTAATTTTCTATTCAATAGTCATTTTCTTCTTCAGCTTTTTATGGACAAATTATTATTTTTTTAAAGAAATGCAGTATTTAAACTCTGCCTGGGAAATCATGAAACTCTGAATCTTTAACTCAACCTTTATTAGAAAAAAGACAAACAAAAAACAAGTGTGCTAGCGCTGGAATTCTTTTACAAGAAAAGCTTCAGAGCCAACATGGTTATAGATGCCCCATCAGTAGCATCCTATCCTATCTAGATCTCTTCCTGTTCACAATGCTTGATAACCATAGCATACACATTTATCATTAACGTAAGTGTAAGATACAGTTTAGAATAAGAAGGAGGTTTACATTTTAGAGACAGTTCTATCAAAATGAAATTCTTTAAGACCAGGAATGTAAAGGATTAAACATCAACTAACTGGTGTAGGTTGTCCTTAATGTTTTACTTTTAAGATCACAGAAGTAAAAGTACAACTGCATCTTTATTGTTAGAACAAGGTTGAGTGTTTTATAGTGGATCTCATGTCGTAATATTTTATATTCTGAATCTGAATTCTTTGGTTTTTAGGTTAAATATACGAATTGACATTAAAACTTTAGGAAAAAGATGCATTGTTTTTCCAACACTATGCTTGCTTTCTTAAAATTGTCTTGATATTTTATACACAACATTATGGAGTAGGGAAAAGGAAACAAGATTCGGAGAACTTAACAAAATATCCAGCACGTAATAAATTGTAGCTTTTAATAATATCAGTTTGGAAAAGTCAATAAGAATTCTTTGTTTTTCACAGATTGTAGGTTGGTAAGGTTTAATGCCTATAAGAAAATTTTGATAAGTCTGACTTCTTTGGAGCATCCCATACATCCTATACATTAATACATTTGTAGCTGCACTGATTTTCTGAACAAATGACCTTTTTTTGTCATTGCTGATAACAACACACGGGTTATAAGTTAAAACAGCAAATTGTATGTCTGTCTATGTTTTAGAGTGAAATTTGAAAGGTCAGATACACATCTTCATCATCTCACAAGCTATTGACCCAGGACTGAAGCAATGGCTGCTGGTATAAGACAGGAATGAGTTGCAGAAGCCATGCTAGATGGTTTCCCCAGAAAGAAATTAATACTAATACTTTGCATGTCTGACAGCATTGATCATAATCACAGTATTATTTCATATACTGCTAAGAAATATAGGTATACTGCCAGGTAGTAGTGGGAAAATATATTTAGAATTGATGAAATACAGTATCCCAATGTGTTATGTTGTTCGCAAATGGGCTACAAAAGCTGAAGGAGCTTCTCTAAAGTATCATGTCCTCTGAAGCATCCTTTTCCTGCCCAAGAAAACTTGTTTCCAAATCAGAAAATCAGTGAACAGAGCACTGCATTGCCTCTGCCATGACTGGGTAAATACTCCCCTGACTGAAGAAAGCTGCCAAATGATGGAAGCAGTGAATGCAGATCTATGAATTCTTCTACCACAATGTGCACCAAAAAACTAGATGCATTTCCCCTTCTTATATTTCTACTTTCTTCATTTGGAATTCAAATACCTCTGCAATGCATCTGATTCTCAAAATGAAATAATGTCTGGAAAACTAGATGCAAAAGATCTTGGGATATGTAGTTCTAGCTGTCCAACTTCTACAATGCAGAAAGAAATAATACCGAAGAGGCGGGACCAAGATGGCCAACTAGAAGAGCTGCAATCGGAGGCTCCCATTGAAAAGAACCAAATCCTGCACGGGCAACCAAAGTATCCAGACTCCGTCATCAGAACTGACTAGGCGGCTGGCGTGAACCACAGAGAGGAAGGAAGAGCAGTGTGGTGTGGTGGCCCACTTGAAGGCCACGGGAGGCAGGGGACCCCCCACCCCTAGCCAAGACAGGCGGTGAATAAGCGTGCTACCCAGCCTGGGAAACCATGCTTTATCCACGGAACTGTGCAATCCACAGATCGGAAGATGCCACTCGTGAGCCCATGCCATTGGGGCCTAGGGTCCCAAACACCCAGCTGCGCAGATTCTCAAAAACACTCAGCTAGAATATGCCTAAGCCTGCGGAGTTCCTAGGGTGAGGAGTGGCCACCACCACAGCTGCAGCTGCCTGCTATCTAAGCTGGCTGAGCTCCTTGTGGGAGGGGTGGCAGCAAACACTGGGACTGCTAGCTGCCTAAATCACTAAGCTCCCAGGGCGGGGGAAGGGCAGCAACCATCTCCATAGCTCCAGGCGGCACTTCCACCGAGCCAGGGAGGCTGGATGGCTTGGTCCTAAGAGGTATTCCCACAGCCCAGCACCACGGCTGTGGCAGGCTGTGGCCAGAGTGCCTCTTCAGGCCTGACTCTGACCTATCCCTCCTCACTGGGCGGGGCCTCCCTGCAGGTACTCCAACTCCAGCCAGGGGCTCAGGGACAGAACTCTGATCTCCCTGGGCCTGAGCCTTTAGTGGGAGGGGTTGCCGTTGTCTCCACAGACCATCAGACTTAGTCTTTCCTCCTGCTAGTTCTGCGGAATCCGGGCAGCCCAGACAAGTGGGTTTCCCCCGAGCACGGCATACACCCTCCACCAAGGGACAGCCAAAGTGCTTGGTTAAACAGGTCCTCCTGCATCTCTTGCCACCCAACTGGGTGAGACTCTCCAGCAGGGCTTGTCAGACACCCTATATGTGAGCATTCCTACTGGCATCAGGTCAGTGTCCCTCGAGGTCAGGGATCCCAGAGGAAGGAGCAGGCACCCATCTTTGCTGTTCTCCAGCCTCCTCGAGTGTCATCTCCAGGTGCAGTAGTGAACCAGATGAGTAGGACCTGAAGTGAACCCCCAGCAAACTGCAGCAGTCCTACAGAAGAGGGACCTGACTACTGAAAGAAAAACAAACAGAAAGCAACAACAACATCAACAAAAAAAAGTCCCCACAAAATCCTCATCCAATGATCAGCAGCCTCAAAGATCGAAACTACACAAACATGAAGACGAGAAAGAATCAATGAAAAAGCACTGAAAACCCAAAAGGCCAGAGTATCTCTTTTCCCAAGGCGCAGAACTGGACAGAGAATAAGATGGAAGAATTGACAAAAGTAGGCTTCAGAAGATGGGCAATAACAAACTCCACTGAAGTAAAAGAGCATGTTCTAACCCAATACAAAGAAGATAAGAACCTTGATAAAAGGTCAAAGGAGCTGCTAACTAGGATAACCAGTTTAGAACATAAATGACCTGATAGAGCTGAAAAACATAGCATGAGAACTTCGTGAAACATACACAAGTATAAATAGCTGAATCGATCAAGTGGAAAAAAAAGAATATCAGAGACCAAAGACCATCTCGCTTAAATAAGGAAGGCAGACAAGTTTAGAGGAAAAAGAATGAAAAGGAAGAAAAAATATCTCTGAGAAATATGGGACTATGTAAAAAGACCAAACCTAAGATAGATTGGAGTATCTGAGACAGGGAGAATGGAAATTAATTGGAAAACACACATCAGGATATTATCCAGGAGAACTTCCCCCACCTAGCAAGACAGGCCAACATTCAAGTTCAGGAAATACAGAGAACCCCACTAAGATACTCCATGAAAAGATCAACTCCAAGACACATAATCATCAGATTCTCCAAGGTGAAAATGAAGGAAAATATGTTAAGGGCAACCAGAGAGAAAGGCCAGGTCACCTACAAAGGGAAGCCCATCAGACTAACAGTGGATCTCTGTGCAGATACCCTACAAGCCAGAAGAGAGTGGGGGCCAATATTCAACATTCTTGAAAAGAATTTTCAACCCAGAATTTCATATCCAGCTAAATTTAGCTTCATACATGAAGGAGAAATAAAATCCTTTTCAGACAAGCAAATGCTGAGAGATTTCATCACCACCAGGCCTGCCCTGAAAGAGCAGTACTGAAGGAAGTACTAAATATCAAAAGGAAAAACTGGTGCCAGCCACTGCGATAACACACCGAAATATAAAGCCCAATGACACCGAAGAAACTGCATCAACTAGTGTGCAAAATAACCAGCTAGCTACCTACAGAACTCTCTACCCCAAATCAACAGAATACACAATCTTCTCAGTGCCACATGGCAGCTATTCTAAAATCGGCCACATAAATGGAAGTAAAGCACTCCTCAGCAAATGCAAAAGAATTGAAATCATAACAAAGAGTCTCTCAGACCACAGTGCAATCAATTAGAACTCAGGATTAAGAAACTCACTCAAAATCATATAGCTACATGGAAATTAAACAACCTGCACCTGATTGACTCCTGGGTAAATAATGAAATTAAGGCAGAAATCAATAAGTTCCTTGAAACCAATGAGAACAAAGAGACAACATACCAGAACCTCTGGGACAAAGCTAAAGCAGTGTTCAGAGGAAAATTTATAGCACTAAATCCCCACATTAGAAAGCTCGAAAGATCTCAAATTGACACCCTAACATCACAATTAAAAGAACTAGAGAAGCAAGATCAAAGAAATCCAAAAGCTAGCAGGAGACAAGAAATAACCAAGATCAGGGCAGAACTGAAGGAGATAGAGAAACAAAAAAACCTTCCAAAAATTGATGAATCCAGGAGCTGTTTTTTTTTTGAAAAAATTAACAAAATACATAGACCACTAGCTAGACTAATAAAGAAGAAAAAAGAGAAGAATCAAATAGACACAATAAAAAATGATAAAGGGGAATATCACCACTGACTCCACAGATATACAAACTACCATCAGAGAATGCTATAAACAACTCTACTCAAATAAATTGGAAATTCTAGAGAAAATGGTAAATTCCTGGACACATACACCCTCCTAAGACTAAACCAGGAATAAGTTGAATGCCTCAATAGACCAATAACAAGTTCTGAAGTTGAGGCAGTAATTAATAGCCTACCAACCAAAAAAAAAAAAAAAGCCCAGGACCAGATGATTCACAGCCGAATTCTACCAGAGGTACGAAGAGGAGCAGGTACCACTCCTTCTGAAACTATTCCAAAGAATTGAAAAGAAGGGACTTCTCTCTACCTTGTTTTATGAGGCTAGCATCATCCTGATACCAAAACCTGGCAGAGACAAAACAAAAAAAGAAAACCTCAGGACAATATCCCTGGTGAACATCAATGCAAAAATCCTCTGTAAAATAACAGCAAACTGGACGGGCATGGTGGCTCATGCCTGTAATCCCAGCACTTTGAGAGGCAGAGGTGGGTGGATCACTTGAGGCCAGGAGTTGGAGACTGGCCTGGCCAACATGACAAAACCTTGTCTCTACCAAAAATATAAAAATTACCTGGGCGTGGTGATGCATGCCTCTACCAAAAATATAAAAATTACCTGGGCGTGGTGATGCATGCCTGTAATCTCAGCTACTCAGGAGGCTGATGCAGGAGAATCGCTTGAACCTGGAAGGCGGAGGTTGGAGTGAACCGAGATCGTGACATTGCACTCCAGCCTGGGTGACAGAATGAAGTCCTGTCTAAAAAAAAAAACAAACAAACAAAAACTATACTGGTAAATTGAACCCAGCAGCACATCAAAATCTTATCCACCTTGATCTTTCAGCTTCATCCCTGGGATGCAAGGCTGGTTCAACATATGCAAATCAATAAACATAATCCATCACATAAACATAACAAATGACAAAACCACATCAATTTTCTCAATAGATGCAGAAAAGTCATTAGATAAAATTCAACAACACTTCACTTTAAAAACTCTCAATAAACTAGGTATTGATGGAACATATCTCAATATAATAGGAGTTATTTATGACAAACCAACAGCCAATATCACATTGAATGGAAAATAGCTGGAAGCATTCCCTTTGAAAACCAGGAAAAAACAAGGATGCCCTGTCTCACTACTACTATTCAACATAGTATTGGAAGTTCTGGCCAGGGCAATCAGGCAAGAGAAAGAAATAAAGGATATTCTAATAGGAAGAGAGGAAGTCAAATTATCTCTGTTTACCAATGACATGATTGTATATTTAGAAAACCCCATCGTCTCAGCCCAAAACTCCTTAAACTGAATAAACAACTTAGTAAAGTCTCATAATACAAAATCAATGTGCAAAAATCACAAGCATTTCCATACACCAACAATAGACAAGCAGAGAGCAAAATCATGAATGAACTTCCATTCACAATTGCTACAAAGAGAATAAAATACCTAGGAATACAGCTAACAAGGGATATGAAGGACCTCTTCAAGGAGAACTACAAACCACTGCTTAAGGCAATAAAAGAGAACACAAACAAATGGAAAAACATTCCATGCTCACGGATAGGAAGAATCAGTATTGTAAAAATGGCCATCCTGCCCAAAGTAATTTATAGATTCAACACTATTCTCATCAAACTACCCTTGACATTCTTCACAGAATTGGAAAAAAAACTATTAAATTTCATATGGAACCAAAAGAGAGCCCATATAGCCAAGATAATCTTAAGCAAAAAGAACAAAGCTGGAGGCATCACGCTACATGACTTCAAACTATACTACAAGGCTAAAGTAACCAAAACACCATGGTATTGGTACCAAAACAGACATATAGACCAAAGGAATAAAACAGAGACCTCAGAAATAACACCACACATCTACAACCATCTGATCTTCAACAAACCTGACAAAAACAGGAAATGGGAAAAGGATCTCCTATTTAATAAATTGTGCTGGGAAAACTGGCTAGCCATATGCAGAAAATTGAAACTGGGCCCCTTTCTTACAACTTATACAAAAATTAACTCAAGATAGATTTAAGACTTAAATGTAAAACCCAAAGCCATAAAAACCCTAGAAGAAAACCTAGGCAATATAATTCAGGATGTAGGCATAGGCAAAGATTCATTTTGAAAACGCCAAAAACAATTGCAACCAAAGCTAAAATTGGCAAATGGGATCTAATTAAACTAAAGAGCTTCTGCAGAGCAAAAGAAACTATCATCAGAGTAAACAGGCAACCTACAGAATAGGGGAAAATTTTTGCAATCTGCCCATCTGACAAAGGTCTAATATCCAGAATCTACAAGGAACTTAAACAAATTTACAGGAAAAAAACAACCCCATCAAAAAGTGGGCAAAGAATATGAACAGACACTTCTCAAAAGAAGACATTTATGTGGCCAACAACATGAAAAAAGCTCAACATCACTGATCCTTAGAGAAACGCAAGTGAAAACCACAATGAGATACCATCTCATGCCAGTCAGAATGGTGATTATTAAAAAGTCAAGAAACAACAGATGCTGGCAAATGCTGGCAAGGCTGTGGAGAAATAGGAACGCTTTTACACTATTGGTGGGAATGTAAATTAGTTCAACCATTGTGGAGGAAAATGTGTCTGTGGAATAAAATGTGCCTATTACTCAAGGATCTGGAGCCAGAAGTACCATTTGACCCATCAGTCCCATTACTGGATATATACCCAAAGGAATATAAATCATTCTACTATAAAGATACATGCACACGTATGTTTATTGCAGCACTATTTGCAATAGCAAAGACGTGGAACCAATCCAAATGCCCATCAATTATAGACTGGATAAAGAAAATGTGGTACATATACACCATGGAATACTATGCTCCCATTAAAGGGAATGAGATCATGTCCTGTGCAGGGACATGGATGAAACTGGAAGCCATCATCCTCAGCAAACAAACACAGGAACAGAAAACCAAATACCACATGTTCTCACTCATAAATGGGAGTTGAACATTGAGAACACATGGACACAGGGAGGGGAACTACACACACTGAGGCCGTGGGGAGTGTGGGGGGAGGAGAGAGAGAGTATCAGGACAAATAGCTAATGCATGCGGCGCTTAAAAAATAGATGACGGATTGATAGGTGCAGCAAACCACCATGGCGCACGTATACCTGTGTAACAAACTTGCACATTCTGCACATGTATCCTGGAACATAAGGTAAAATAAAAATTAATAAAAAAAGAAGAACAAAACTGTGCTGAATTTTAAAAATACAGAACTAATTCAAGTATCTTCTGAACATAGAACTTTGACTAGTTTCATCATAAAGAAATAGAACTGCAAATAAATCTTAAACTCTTTATAAAAAAAGATAAGTTATACAGAAGGTTGGAGGTTGAAAAGGACACTGAGTGAGCCATACAGAAGCTTGAAGGTGAAAATAGATGTTCAGAGCCATATTCAATTCCTTCTATTCCATTTTTACTATCAAGCATATTGCTGATTTTGGAATAGAGTTTAGGATCCATAATAAATCAGAGATCCCTAACCCCTGGGCCACAGACCGGTACTAGTCCATGACCTGTTAGGAACCAGGCTGCACAACAGGAGGTGAGCAGCAGGTGAGTGAGGGAAGCTTCATCTGTATTTATGGCCCCTTCCCATCACTTGCATTACTGCCAGTGCTCCACTCCCTGTCAGATCAGTGGTGGCATTAGATTCTCATAAGAAAGTGAACCCTGTTGTGAATTTTGCATGCAAGGGATCTGGGTTGCACACTCCTTATGAGAATCTAATGCCTGATGATCTGTCACTGTCTCCTATCACCTCGAGATGGGACCAACCAGTTGCAGGAAAATAAGCACAGGGCTCCCACTGATTCTGCATTATGGTGAGTTGTGTAATTATGTATTACAATGAATAATAACAGAAATAAAGTGCACATGTTTGAATCATCCCAAAACCATTCACCCACCCCCAGTCTATGAAAAAATTGTCTTCTACGAAACCAATGCCTGGTGCCCAAAAAGTTATGGAGCACTGTAATTAGTAGAATAATACACTCCTCTCCAGAGCCACCCACATCTTAATCCTTAGATCATGTGAATATGTAAATGTTACATGTCAGAGTGAAATTAAGGTTGCAGATGAAATTAAATTTGTTAATTAGCTGGCCTTAAAATAGGGAGATACTCCTGGGTGCTCAGGTGGGCCAATGCATTTTTACAAGTGGAATAGGAAAGCAGAAGAGAACCAGAGGGAGATGTGGTTATAGATCACTGGCCATCTGCTTTTCAGATGGAAGAAAGGGGTCACAGCCAAGGAATGTGGGTGGCCTCTAGAAACTGAACAAGCAAAGAAATTGATTCTCCCCTAGAGCTCCAAAAGGAACAAAGCCCTGTTGACCCTTTGATCTCAGTCTGGTCAAATTCACTTTGGACCTCTGACCAACAAAACTATTAGATAATAAATTTGCATGTTCTAGAAAGTCACTAAATTTGTTGTAATTTGTTACATCAGCAATAGAAAACTAATATAGGAAGTAAGCAGCATAAGCCTTTGCTTAGTCAACCTTTCAATCTACGTTCATCAAATAAGTACTTACTTTGTATCATAGCCTTGTGAGGAATAGAGACAAGTAAACATATACTACAATTGTTTTGCCGAATCCCTGTTAACCTCGATAGGGAAGGCACCAGGTACAAGAGGCTGAAGAAGAGACCCAGAGTCAGCAAACAAGACATGGGGTTATATTACAGGCCTACCTACAGGGGAAGGAGTCCAGTGGTGGGGAGCTGGACGAGATATCTGCCTTACTACAACTCAGAGTGATGGGTTGAACAAAGTAACCACATGCCCGCTAGCAGTGAGTTGAGCAGGAAAACCACAGTCACTTGCAAACAGCATGCAATTTATATAGCGTTTTCACTTAACACACTCCCCTTAAAGACCTCCACATGATCACCGTCATTTAAGGGCCTTGATTCCCTATATGGCACGTGTTTCACAAGACATGTGGGGTTGGGAGGGAGGCGGGAGGGGCGCGAGGCTCAGATGTTCTTCATAGACAAGAATGAATCTCCAGGTTGGCCACTTCCGGTTCCCTAGCTCAGAGCGTAAATTTAGGTGTGTCTGTTATATAGGGTCATTCTAAGGGTATGCCTAAATTATTGCTATCAGGGGCGTTTACTCTACAACAATATATTGTGATTAATATTAAAATAGAAAAAGTGTAGACATGAGAGGTCAGGGAGGTTTATGGGAAAGTCGTATCTTTATGCACATAAGGCTGTACAGTATTACTGGTACTTCCTGAGTTCTTATAGAGGTAAGGGTAGGATTTGGGATTGAGTTGTGCTGCCAAAAGCAGAAAAACTGCCAGTTTCATACAGTGGTTAAGCTTTCAGATATTGAATTAAATGATCTGAGAATAATATTATCTTAAAGTGTGTAACAGGCTTTATAGCTTCTATTGCATCCATGCTCTAGCAAATAGGGGGACTTTTCTACAGCTTTTTAAAAGCATTGAATGATTTGCCAGACTAAGTAAAAAATATTGATAGACACTATTACTTACTTAGAAGCACCTGTGGTATGCTTAAACCTGTGCTTCTGGGCCAATGCTTTGTAAGAGAGGATATTTCAGTCAGTGTTAATACATTAGGATTCTTCCCTAGTACAAACCATTTCAGAAAACTTCAGTCTATAATTGCTACTCTATAGCACTGTCATTATGGCCCTTACCAAGGAGTCCTCCCACCTCAATTTTCATAGATGGGAGGATCTGAATGAAAAGGGAGGAGAAGAATTCAATCGAGAGAGGAAACAGACTGTAAATATAAAGCTATTAGCAAAGAGGTTTTCTAACTGAATCAGTGTTAACTTCGTTTGTTCTTGCCTGTTTTTGAAAACCCAAAGGAATTCTCTGAATTTGATAAGTGGTTATTATTATTATTATTGATGGATACTTATACGTATTGTCATTGGTATATCTGTTTATTATAGATTCATAAAATGTACCATATATGGCAATTATTTAGCATAAACTAATAAAATGTAGAATAATCATGCATGCTTTTTTGTACCCATATTTACCACAGATATCCAAAATCTTAAACGTAAAGACTGTCAAAGCTGGGAAGTTTACCCCTTGTAGTTGTTAAGAACCTTGTCTTTGGACCCAGATTAACTGGGCCTGAATCCTGACTCAATCCCTTTCTCTCTGAGTGACCTTGGGGAAATTTTTACTTGCTTCAATTACCTTACATGTAGTATGGTATTAGAAGAAAAAAAAAAAACATGCACATGGCCAGCAGGTATATGAAAAGGTGTTCAACATCACTAATTATCAGGAAAAAGAAATTCAAAACCACAAAATCACTTCACAACTGTTAAAATGACTTTTTTAAAGATGTACTGATAAAGATGTAGAGAAAATGGACCCTTTGTACACTTTTGCTGGGAATGTAAATTAGTGCAACTATTATGCAAAACAGTATGGGGGTTCCTCAAAAAATTAAAAAGAGAACTCCTATATGATCCAGCAATTCCACATTTGAATATATATCTAAAGGCATTGAAATCTGGATCTTGAAGAAGTATTTGCAGTCCCATTTTCATTATTGCTTTATTCACAATAGCCAAGATATGGAATCAATCTAAGTGTCTATCAACAAATGAATGGATAAAGAAAATGTAGTATATACATACGATGGAATATTATTCAGCCTCAAAAAAAGAAGAATTCCCTGCCATTTGTAATATTTTTAATCCTAGTGGTCATTATGCTAAGTGAAATAGGCCAGAAACAGAAAGACAAATACCATATGATCTTACATATATGTGGAGTCTAAAATAGTCAAATTCAAACAAGCAGTAAGCAGGATGGTAGTTGACAGAGGCTGAGGGTGAGGGGATACAAAATTTCAGTTAAACAAGATGAATAAATTCTGGAAATCTGCTATACAGCATAGTGCCTAAAGCTAACAATGTTGTACCACACACCAGGAATCCCCAACCCCCGGGCCACAGACTGGTACCGTGGCCTGTTAGGAACTAGGCCACACAGCAGAAGTTGGATAGTAGATGAGCAAGCGAAGGTTCATCTGTATTTACAACTGTTCCCTATCATTCATATTACTGCTTGAGCTCCGCCTCCTGTCATATCAGCAGCGTCGTTACATTCTTATAGGAGCATGAATCTTACTGTGAACTGTGCATGTGAGGGATCTAGGTTGGGTCTCCTTATGAGAACCTAATGGCTGATGATCTCTAACTGTCTCTCATCACCCCAAGATAGGACTATCTAGTTGTAGGAAAACAAGCTCAGGGCTCCCACTGATTCTGCATTATGGTGAGTTGTATAATTATTTCATTACATATTATATTGCAATAACATTAGAGACAAAGTGCACAAGAATTGTAATGTGCTTAAACTATCCTGAAACCATCCACCTCGACCCCTGGTCTGTGGAAAAATTGTTTTCCACAAAACCAGTATCTGGTGCCAAAAAGGTTGGGGACTTCTGCTGTATACCTAGATCTTATGTTAAGTGTTCTTGTCACACACAAAGGTAATAATAATAATAATAATAATAATAATAAAGAAGGAAACTTTGGAAGGTGATGGATATGTTTATGACCTTGATGGTGGTGATAGTTTTGTAGGAGTATACTGATTCCCTAACTCATTGAGTTGTATATATTAAATAGTATAGACTTTTATGTCAACCATACCTCAATAAAGGGTTTTAAAAAATAATAGTGTTTACCTCAAAGGACGGTTTGAGGATAATATTGACTTTCACTTAAAATTTTGCCTGACATGTAATATGTGTTAACTATTTATTTGTTAAATAAATACAATAAAAAATGCTTTGAAATTTCCTTAAGATTATATAAGGTATTAAAATTCTACAGCATTTGTGTTCTACCATTTTATGTTTAAATGCATTCAAGGTATTTTCTCATACATCTCTTCAGTCTTTCATTTAACATGATGAGTTAGTAAACAGTGGCACATAAAACTGATGCAAAAAAGTCTGAACCTCACAGAACTCACAGTTTAGTGGCAGATGCATATATTACACAGAGGATTACAAGAGTAATGAGTGCTGTGAAAGAGAAAGCACACAGGACATGTTATCAAATGCATGATATGGTTGAATGAAATACATTTTAAGCAAAGGGTAAAAAATTCAGCAGTTCATCCAAAATTTTGTCAAAATTCAAACATTGGCTATTCTCTGAGGACTAAATCATGCTGCGTACATGACATGATATTAAGGTAGGCACCATGCTGAAGTAGCCTTCCGCCAAGAAGTCCTTATATTAAAACCAAATGTCTCTTCTATATAAGTCAGTTTCCTCTAGTACAGACTTTGGATGCAGAAAAGATACTAGTATTGTTAAAATAAATCATGACTCAATTTTATTTTTCAGACATATTCCATTCTTTTTAAAGCACTTTTGGATATTTTATGGGACCAGACTTTTAAAGTAGCAACTAGTAAAAAAAAAAAAAAAAAGAAAAGATATTTGCCTGAAGGAAAAATAAATATGAGCAAATAAACAATTCAACCTATATATTTTAACTATAGAAAAGGTCATAAAATTCAAAAATTCCTCATGGACCTGTAACTGTTAATAATTGAAACTGTGGAATATCAGCGATGGTTTTTAAGAAATTGGTATTGAACTTTAAGAACAAACTATCCTTTTCTCTTCCATCAAGTAGATTGGACAACAAATGCCATTAAGTACAAATATAATTAGGTCCACACTATAGGAAGTCACTTCCAAATCTCTCACCGTGAAAGAAAAAGAGCATCAATAAGGAGTAGCATTCATCCGTTCATATCCATAGGGCCTGAGAGTTAAGTAGAAAAGCAACTAAAATTACTATTCTGCACAGTTGTGTGATGCTGTCTCTCACTAGGAGTACGGATGATCAGGAAAGATAAAAATACTACCTTCACTGGGCGATGTTCATCATCAAAGAGCAGAGAACTTTCTAGCTGGTTAAAGCCAAAAGAGATCACTGCAAGGTGTTAAATGGTTTACAGAGTCATGAGGAGTGCAGGGGTCGGGGGGGAGGAAACAAGATTGTGCTTTCCAGAAACACTCCCAAAGGTACAATAGAGAATGAACCATCAAAGAATCCATCTTGTCTATGATCAGGAAGCCACATACTAAATTGAGAAGCTAACATGAAAGCTGTTTCCTGTCAATCCACAGACCGCTATTGCAATTAGAAAGCCCCTTCCATGACTGAGAAGCTGTCATTGTTGCTCTCAGCTTCAGAAACATGTTATAACAGTTATGTTCAAAAGAGATGTCCCACTTGCTCCTCTGGATGCCTACGATGCTGCTTACTGGATACTGGTACCTCTGCTAATCATTCTACAGACAAATAAATATATAATTTAATAAGAAAATTAAAAGTTTCCACAGCAATACCTAGAAGAAAATCCTCAGAAGCAGCAATTGTTCAGCTTTCACCTCAGTTTTCACCTCCTGAAATATGTGCAAATATTTCCAGATCACTCTGGAAGCTTACCTGCAAAGAAATCCAAGAAATATGGTTTTCAGTTTTCTCACCTTGACAGTTCAGAAAATTTCACTAGAAAGAACTTGGAAAGGATGTCATAAATCAATTCACATCATATTGCCTATTATGAATTTTGATTGAAACACCTATAATAACTAATATTTATTCTTTGGTGCTTCTTAGGAGACTGGTATGTTTAGTCCAATAGATCAAACCTCTGAGCAATTAAAGTCATTTACAATTCATTCTTGTGAGAAACCAATAGATTTGGATGAGTTTTTTGAGGCCAGGCCAGGAGAACTTGTCTCAAAAAAGTCATCCAAATCTATTGAGTTTCTCAAGACAGGTAGTGAAGATTTAGATAAATGAGAAATGGCTAGAAATGCTAATATTTCTATTATGGAATAGTTCCTAGGTGAGACTGCAAATTAGCTGAGTAAACCTGCTCCAACAGGGTCATGGAAATATCCCAATTTCTTCCAACTTGTACCTCTGCTATCTTCTAGGGATTGTCCTCCAAGCATGGCCAAAGCTGAGTTTCAGGCACCTCCTATTTTTATTTGTTAAAAAGGAAATAAATGGTGAAGAGGCTCTCACTCTTAATAGCTTATCATTCAGACAAGAAATGACGTACATCAATTTCTCTCACACTCCATCAGCGAGCATTTAGTAACTTGACTTCTCCCAGCTGCAATAGAAACAGATGTATATTCTTTAGCCGGGCAGCTTTGCACCTAGCCAGAAATCTTTGATCCCAGGAAAAAGAGAAAACAGATAGATATTAATGGAAACACAGCATGTAAGCACATGGGAATAAAAAGAGTATTGTTTCCATGATGGCACTCAGTTCTCTGAACTTCTTCCAGATTTTATCACCTATCCAAAAATCACATATTGATTGACCATCAAAATTTATTTTTAATAATCAGCTGCTACACTTGTTTAGATTATCCATTAATTTCTTTATTGGACCTGACTGGAAATATAGTTCATGATTAGAAGTTGTTACCAATCATTAGAGACATTTTTTTCTTTTTCTTTTGCTGGGAAGCATATGGCAGTAGGCAGATTCTCATCACCTGATGTACACACTGTATTTCACCCTCCCCCCTTGAGTGTGGTTGAGAGTGGATATGATGGATTTTACTCTTCTCATTAGCTTACATTAAATGGTCAAGTCTAAGGCATCCTGCAGATGCAATTAAGATTCGAAATCTGTTGGTTTTCAGTTGATAAAATAGGATATCATCTTGGATAAATATTATTTAATCTGAAAAAGCTTTTAAAAGGGGGACTGAGTCCTTCATGAATAGAGATTCTCCTGCTGGCCTTCAAGACACAAGTTGTCATGTTTTGAGAAATGGGCCTCATGTGGCAAACCCCAGAGGGTAGCCTCTGGGAGCTAAGAGTGGTCCTGGCCTACAGCTAGCAAGAAAACTGGGACTTCTATCATATAACCAGAAGAAAGTTAATTTTGCCAACAACCGCTGAGTTTGGAAAGAGACCTCAAATGAACCTCAGATGAGTCTGCAACCCTGATCAAGTCCTTGATGATGGCTTTGTGAGACCCTGGGCAGAAGACCCAGATAGACTATTCCCAAATTCCTGACCCATGGAAAATGTGAGATGATACATGGGTTTTATTTTAAGCCACCAACGTTGTAGTAATTTGTCATGCAGCAATAGAAACCAATATTATTCAGCTTTTAAAAAGAAGGAAATCCTGCCATTTGTGAAAACATGCTGAACCTGAAGGATATTACACTAAGTGAAATAAGCCTAATACAGATGGGCAAATACTATATGATTCCAGTCATATGAGGAATCTAAAATAGTCAAACTCATAGAAGCAGAGAGTAGAATGGTGGGTGCCAGGGACTAAGAAGGGGGAGGAACCAGAGAGGTGTCTGTCAAAAGGTACACACTTTCACTTACACAAGATAAGTAAATCCTAGGGGTTGAATGTACAGCATAGTGCCTATAGTTAACAGTACTGTAATATATACTTTAAAATTTGCTATGAAGGTAGATCTTACATTAAGTATTCTTACCACAGAAAAGTAAATTAAAAACATAGAGAGTGGGAAGAAGGTTTTGGAGGTGAATGAAGATGCCTATGGCATTGATTGTGGTAATGGTTTCACAGGTATATGTTTATCCCCAAACTCATCAAATTGTGTACATAAAATATGGACAGCAGTTTGTATGTCAGTCATACCTCAATAAAGTGTTTTTTCTTAAAGAAGGCACTAAAATAAACTAATACCTACACCAAAAAATTTTTTAAAGACCTTCAAACATGCTTTATTTACACATGTTATTTTTTAACTCAGAGGTATTTTATTAAAGTCAATAAACGAATAGATAATTAGGAAAAACAACTTTTTTCTTTAATACATTTTTACCAGTGTCATATTTCAATAAATTTTTAATGTATTTATACTCCTTAAATATATTAATACAAAAGCCTTGGGGCTACACATTTAGATCAATCAATTTGCAGAAAATGTGTAATACATTACCTAATTGACAGACCAAATTCTTATTAAGTTAACCTAATCAGGCTTATTCTCTGTCAAAAAAAAATTCTGATATCATTTTTAAATTCAAATGTAGATATTGAAATGTGACACCTTGGCACTTATCTCACTTATAAATTCCAATTCTTAGATAAATTCACAATCAGCTAAGGCATGGTCTTTGCCATGAGCTTGTTTCATAGATAAATTAATGTACCATGCTATTCAACATTTCTTTCCAATGCTCCTGCTCTTCCCTTTAAATAAGCCTTTCCCTCAGGCTTACAGTGAACCGATACAGTGCCCTCTGTATTGGCTCACTGCAACCTCTGCCTCCTGGGTTCAAGTGATTAAATTATTTGACTGTAGTCAGAAGATAGAAGAGAACATATCATTAAATGAAAATTGTCATCACTTGCATTGCCCACTCTGTAATATACCTGATTTAATAACATCCTAACATAGTTTTAAATACCACATTTTCTAACACAGCTCTTTGCCCTTAACAGAAATATGTTATATAAAAAGAAGTGTTGATTAAAAGAGGTTACCTGAAATCAATATATTGAATTGTCTACCTGTTCGATGCCCCATAAAATTTTGCACTCCAGAGTAAAGCATCATTAAGATTCAGGATGGAAAAGAGTTTTTCTTTTCTTTTGTAAATGAGAGAAAAAGAATATTCAAAAGTATACCTATGATCCATTCTCAGATTAATTTTATGAGTTTTGTAGATTTTATAGATACAAAATTTTATTCTTGTTAAAATATCCATGTCTTGATACCCCAGTTTCATGTCTACCAAAAAGAAAAAACAAAGCAATTCTACACACTAATGTGGATTTAATATGTAGATTATAATGATTATCATTCTATACCTTATTTATTCTCCCTCAATAGTCACTGAAAACAAAGCCCATTTTGTGGCAAGTAATCTTTGTATCATTTTTATGATTAATATTCCATAATAATACCCTGATCAACTTTAAACAAGTTAATTTTTGTTAAATTTTGATTACTTTAATCAATATAACACCACTGACCCAGACTTCTGGGTATACAAATCTGAAATTCCACTCTTCTTTCCATCATTCTTATTTCCCCTAACCCCAAGATAATGGCTGCTAACCTAATTTGTTTTTCTTTTTTTTTTTTTTTTTTTTTTTGAGACAGTGTCTGGTCCCGTCACCCAGGCTGGAGTGCAGTGAGTGATATCAGCTCACTGCAACCTCTGCCTCCTGAGTTCAAGTGATTTTCCCGCCTCAGCCTCTTGAGTAGCTGGGATTATAGGTGTGTGCCATCATGCCCAACTAGTTTTTGTCTTTTTAGTAGAGATGGGGTTTTGCTATGTTGTCCAGGCCAGTCTTGAACTCCCACCCTCAGGTGATCCACCCACCTCAGCCTCCCAAAGAGCTGGGATTACAGGAGTGAGCCACCACATCCGGCCTAATTTGTCTTATTATCTTTTCAGTTTATGTAAAGATACACCCATAACCATTCCCATTACACCCAATTACTATAAGAATACTGCCAAAATCCAAATAATTTTTGTCTCATATATGCATGTTATTATTCCTTCACAGGACAAAATGCTGTGAGGTGCTTTGAGAAGATGTTGTTTCTCTTTCCACATCTCCATAATGCCACCTTGAGATTATTTCTATGAATAATGAGGTGCTGAAATTCTAAGTTGTCTTGCTTTCTTTGTTTTTGATTTAGCTGTATTGTAACTGCCTGCTAATATTATTTTTTTAGTCCGATCATTTTCAGTTAACTTTTATTTCCCGTTTTTCTTTCATAAGTTTTTATGCAAACCTACAGTGCATATTCTTAGCTCAATATCTAGTTATTTCAATATATGACTTTCTTTTACACTTGCTTTCTCAATCAGTTAGCAAAAGTAAAGTTAAATTCTACAGCTTTTCAGTTAATATATTTTTGTAACTATTGAAAAATGTCACTTGTTTTAGTTTGCAAAAATGAGTTGGCTTTAAAATAATTATCTACTGCTATAGATGCATTTAATATTAAAGAGTGCTGTAAATAGAGTCAGGAGACTTGTCAAATCACAACATATATTATGCCTTATGTAAGCTTGGGAAAGAGCCACTCAACCTATCTATGTCTTTCATTCTCCATTAATAAAATAAAGTAAGAGGATAATCTCAAAGGACCTTAGAGCTCTGATGTTTTCTAACTTCTGAATATATAATTTTCTCCAAAGCATCAAATTCAAAAACCATTCCTGATCCCTTTATCATTAGTTAGATTTATATGTTCAGAATTTATTGTGCAGACATGTAGACTTTTACTTACATTATACACAATTTCAACATCCTACATTTATTAATGCAGAAAATATAGCAAACAGCATAAAGCTTAGACATACTTATATATGTGTTTCTTTTTATTTTTTTCTTGGAAATTCCCCATTGCCCTGACTTCCCTGGTTAAGAGTTCATAACATTGAGGTCTGAAATTTTGCTTCATTGCAGAATCAGAATATCTGCAATCTGCAATGTTTGTTTACCTTTATATAACCCAATCTTCTCTCTGTAGTAGATAAGAACTTCCTATAGAGAAAAATCCACTTCTCCAACAGAGAGCCCAAATGATTTCACACCTACAACATGCAGTGTGCTGTATGCCATGTGAATGTTGTTTCTGCTTTGTTCAATCCCCATGACCAAAGCTTGTTTGGGGCTCCTTTGCTGAGTCAGTTTGCATGAATAAACCATAAAGAATGTTTTGCTTATTCTACCAGTAATTTCCGCATTTCCCAAAGCATGTTGAGAAATTTCCAGTATAATTTCAGAAAAAAGCTATATGGTGCGTGGTTGATTTAAAAAAAAAAAACTTAAGACTAGAATTGATGCAGAAGGGAAGAGAATAAGATTGGCACAAAGAAAAAGGTTACTTAAGAAAAGACTTCAAAGGGAAGAGTCAAATATTTTCGGGATTGATTCCTACTTGTTCCACATCAAGAACCAATTCTTCCCACTGGGCTGCAGAAAAGCTTTGCTGCGAGATCAGTGCTTAATGACCTCAGAGCTGGGAGCTCAGCAAGATAGGAGCTAGAACAGTTACTGTACCATAGCAAAAGAATTCCTTCCTTTCAGAAAGGCAGCTGAGTTACTGAAGTATATTCACGATATATTTTTAAGTAATAGAAATATTTCGATATATAACAATTATATCTATTTAAGGACATGATGAACACATTCTGCTTTATAGAAATTACAAAGAATTGTCAATACTTTGGCCAAAAATATAAACGTATACCTCAAACTGTTTCTGAACGTCTAGCATTAGTAAAGGAAGCATGAGCCCTTTATCTTCACCCCATGCAGGCAGTAAAATTGTAATCTTAATTTTGACAGGAAAAGGTTTGCAAGGATCCCATCAGCAGTCCTCATTTTGAAATATGATTTCACATGATCATCTAAAGACTCTTACATTTAGAAATAACTTCCAAAAAGAGTATTTGTGCAGGACAATGAATGGAAATATGGACAGAGGAAAATAATTAAGGCTAGTTATCTAGTCTGTCTCTCTTATGTTACACAGAGAGGAAACCCAAAGAGGTGAAATCACTTATCCAAAGCGACACAGCAATATAAAAGAGATAAGTATAGATATTTCTCTTGTGGCACAGCTGTTTCTCAACTTCAGGTATAAGTTGTAACGTTTGAAATGTTACATTGTATGGTAAGTGGATATGCTGTGATACAAATTCCTCAAGTGAGAAAAGATCTTTCTTAGAATTTACAATATCTTCTCTTTACACTTCCCCAAGACTGAATCCCTTCTGCCAGCCCTCCAGCCAATCATGATTATGTTAAATATGCTCTCAGGTTATATGATCTCCAAAGTTACCATGTTGAGACATGAGAGTCTTTAGAGATTAAAGTGGTGGAATTTCAAGGGTAGAGTTGGTAGTAAGAAAGAGCAAGAACAGGCCAGGTGCAGTGGCTCACGCCTATAATCCCAGCACTTTGGGAGGCCAAGAAAGGTGAATCACGAGGTCAGGAGTTTGAGACCAGCCTGACTAACATGGTGAAACCCCATCTCAACTAAAAGTACAAAATTTAGCCAGGTGTGGTGGCACACACCTGTAATCCCAGCTACTCAGGAGGCTGAGGCAGGAGAATCGCTTGAACCTGGGAGGTGGAGGTTGCAGTGAGCCAAGGTTGCACCACTGGACTCCAGCCTGGGTGACAGAGCAAGATCCTGTCTCAAAAAAAAAAAAAAAAAAAAAAAAAAATATATATATATATAGTGCAACAAAGTGTAATACATAACTTTGCCATACATCATTTTATAAAATATATAATTATATGCAATATGTAAACCCCTGACTTTTGTGCAGTTAGTTTGGAGGACAAACATTCTATATTTAGTCATATTTTATTTCTCCCCACTTTGCACCTCTACCAATTATATGTTGAGTTATCAAAGCACAATATTCATGCTATTGCATGTGGCAGCAACTACCAACAATTTGTCAATCCTATTTCATCACTTTTCTGGGCACACTGCTATGTTTCCCAGCCTCTTTTGCATTTGACAGGGAGGATGGGCTTGAGTTCCACCCAATAGAATATGAGAAAAAATGATATGAATTATTTCCAGGTCTTTGCTTAAAAAATAATTTCCTGGCCAGGTGACTGAGCAAGACTCATCTCCAATAAATAAATAAATAAATAAAAATAATAATTTCCCATGTGATTTTCTGCACTTTTCCCTTTTTGGTTGGCTTGGTGAAAATGAACACAATAATCTACATCATGGTAGAACCACAAGATAAAAAGAAGCATCCCGGAACATGACTTAGAGGAAAACCACTTGCCATAAAGAATACTCAGTTTGGACTTTAGATGAGTAAAATATATATTTCTGTTTGTTCGCTTGCTTGTTTGTGACATTATATACTTCAAAGTTTATTTGTACAGGTACTAGCATTACATGAACTGCTATACTACCTAACTGGTGAGAATCACATTTCATTTCCATATAACTTGCCTTGCCAGAAAAAGTACATTAAAAAAAATAATAACTACTGCCTAAATCTAAATAATAGTCTATGTAACCAAGACAGGTTAAATTTAGTGATTCCTACCTGGAGTTTCTGCTTTCCCTGGGTTGGGGTTGCTCTCCTACCCTTTAGCCTGTAATTGACAATAATCACTCCTTACAATGGCAGATGATCCTGATGGGAATATGTTATGCTGTGAAAAATGTCCAGCAATGTTCAGAAATATCAATGTGTTATATCTTCTAAGACATCATTTGCACTTGTAAGATCCTTTCAACATGTTAATTCAAAGAATTTTTTTCTCCTTGATGTAGGGATGCCAGTCACTATGTCAGTAGTGGTAAGAGGACAAAAGGATGAATGCCATCGTTTTCAGCAAGAGATTGGAAGGAAATAGAGGATCTCAGCCTCTTGAGCCATTCTCAATGGATGGATATGAACACCAATTAGGCATCAAGTCAGTGCAATCTGAGACACTGCAAGAATGACTTCTGGTTTTCTTTTCCTACTTTTTGAAAGTTTTTGAAGTCTGTCATGCTGGACTTGTATTACATCTTAATTTTTTTTTCACTTACTATAGATCTCTATACTCTCTATTGTTTAGCTATTACCTTAACATTTACCCTGTGAACCCATGGCATTTGAGGCTACCAAAGTGACTATTACATGATAAAACATATACTTAAAGGCAATATTTATCAATTGTAAAACCAATAAATCAATAATTAAACCTTGCCGACTTAGACTTAAAACTGCTTAATTTAGTCATATCTCTACCCACAGCATAGGGATTCCAACAGGGGTTGAAAGTAGAGTTGACAAGCATTTCCATTCTCTTCTGGGACAATCATTCTTACTACCAACTGTGACTTTGACCAGTGAACTTCAAAATCATTTAAACACTCTCCAGAGTCTGAGTGAGCCAAGAATAGTTTCACTTTAGGAAAAAGTCTGTATCCTTAGATGTGAGTAATTCTCTGTGAGCATTTTATTCACGTTAGTGTATTTAAAGAAAATCTTTCTGAACTGATGAGTTTTCCTAATTTTTTATTCTGATATTTTGATGCTAAAAGCTCTTAATTTTAAGTTTTCATGGGAGGCTACCTAATTTTTATATATATTATATGCATCAGTAATTAGAAAGGAATAGAAATTTTTACCCTAATTGAGAAATATTATAGACCTAACTAAATGAGGGTAAACTATAAGCAATTTGGGGAAACTATAAGGATGTGATTAAATAGTCACTGTTTTCAGAAACCCTTAACTGCATATTGGAAACTTAACACTTGTTGGGAAAATGAGGTAGTAAATCAACCTGTCAGTGTGAGTACTAAAGAAAACAAAATATGGTTAAGAGGCTCCCTTTAAAATTCAGATACTCAGTAGTTCTGCAATTTCTGATTTTAAATGTTTCTGCAAAATAGTTTATCTGAATCATTAAACTATTATTCCGTGTTCAGCAACCATAGAGAAAATATGCTGTGTGGCCAGGTTAAACCTGAAAGTGGTATGATTCAAAACTTGATATAGGCAATAGGTATGTAAAATGTAGGTATTCTAATATGAGAGGGCATATCGAAGTAATTTTCTTGCAGCACACTGACAAAACAAAGCAATGGGATTTGGCCATGGACATTTCATTATTACCAAACAGACCTGGGACACTACCTTATAGTAATAACTTTAGTATTTAGCAAAGGTGATTTATAAATAGGACAACAACAAAATGAGAGGAATAGAAATCATACAGATAAAACAGATAAACAGACAATCTGATTTTGTGGGTCTCAGAGCAGAGACTAGTGTTGATTCAGTTTCAGAGTAAACGACCTCATCGCATTTCTCTGAACTGTCATGATTGTCATAAATATACTGTGTTCTAACACACTCCATGATTTAAGGTCTTCAAAGTAACAGAGGCAAAATAACCTATATGCTCTACCATATTTTCCTCAATTCTAGTGTTCTTCAAAGAGAGGATGTTTTCTCTAAATCTAATTTAGAGTAATTCTGTATGGATCGCTAAACATTTCTCCAGGCAATTGGAGTAATGTGTGTCTAGGGCTAACTCAGAGGGATCTTTTGTGTCTCTTAAAAGAAGCTAACTATACTCTTGTGAGATGATAATCACCATCATTGACAGACAATTTCTAAGGTTTGAAGGGATATTGAATACTCAAGGGCTCACATTCTTTTTGATTCATGAATCTCTTCAGGTACAGGGAACTTAGTATTTTTCAAGAGTGCAAAGATGCCTAGAGACATCTGGGAACATAAGAACATCATTCCTGATGTTGTGCTCATAGTTACTTGAGCTTCATCTCAGAAAATAAATTGCCTGGTGCAATATGTCTTACAATTTGGTTCCTAAATCAACTCAACAAACTAGTTCTTTATGGATGCAAAAATAATCTGAATTTCTTTCATGAACCTAAACATGCCTTTAAAAATTTATATATCATTCCTTTCATTAAAACCTAATGAAAATAACAATTTTGTCTATTGTAAATGGCAGGTGATTGCACCAGATTTGGAAATCACTTTATATCCTATTATCTTTGTAAACCCCATAATGACTACTAATAAACAACATAAAGAATTTTCAGGTATAATTTTGCAAAAAATTTTAATGATTTTGGACTTCTAGGCCAAGTCTGCAATATAACCCTTCATAAGATTGAACTTTGAAACTCTGGTTGTCATCTGACATATGCAGACAGAACAGAAATATAACCCCCTTTCTAAATGTTTACATTGTCTCTCTGGTACAAATTAGCTTGTTGGAAACTTCAGCAATCACTGACATAAGGATCCTGCTATTAAATAAAACTGATACTTTTTTTTTTATTATACTTTAAGTTCTGGGATACATGTGCCGAACTTGCAGGTTTGTTACAAGGGTATACACGTGCCATGGTGGTTTGCTACACCCATCAACCCATCATATACATTAGGTATTTCTCCTAATGCTATCCCTCCCCTAGCCCCCCATCCCCCTACAGTCCCCAGTGTGTGATATTCACCTCCCTGTGTCCATGTGTTCTCATAGCTCAGCTCCCACTTATGAGGGCAAAGGATATGAACAGACACTTCTCAAAAGAAGACATTTATGCGGCCAAGAAACATATGAAAAAAAGCTCTTCATCACTGGTCATTAGAGAAACGCAAGTCAAAACCACAATGAGATACCATCTCACGCCAGTTAGAATGGCGATCATTAAAAAGTCAGGAAACAACAGATGCTGGAGAGGATGTGGAGAAATAGGAACACTTTTACACTGTTGGTGGGAATTTAAATTAGTTCAACCATTGTGGAAGACAAGTGTGGCGATTCCTCAAAGATCTAGAACCAGAAATATCATTTGACCCAGCAATCCCATTACTGGGTATATACCCAAAGGATTATAAATCATTCTACTATAAAGAAACTGAGACTTTTTTAAATCAAATAAACAACATTTCATAAAGCAACACAGGATTTTATATCTTCCCATTCCATTAGATGCTATTATGCTGAATTGGAACCTCATTCCAACCTGTGTCAATATTTTAGGGTTGAAATAGTCTGAAATATAATCTTTACTGTTCTCCTGTTGAGATATCTATATATTTAATATGTTCACATTCTCTGTCTTCACCTATATTAATAATATGAAAAAGGAAAAGAAATGGGGCTTTAGGAAGAACTTCACATCACACGTCAGAGTAAACATCAAATCAAGTTGTCATCATCAATTTACTAATAAACTCATTTAAGAAAAAATATTCAGCTGGAGAGCAATGAATCTTATTGTCTTTTCATCTGATCCATATTTCTCCACCTGAGACATCAAATAACCAGGGAGTTCTTGTAAAATACCTCAGGTACATTGTTGAAAGTAATTTCCTGCTTTTGTGGGATAACGGAAACATAAATGTAAATAAGGTAGGTTGAAAGTTCAGTTTCTCATCAATGCCCGAATAATTTGTTCTAATAAAGCCCAGTAAAACTTAGCTTGTAATGCCATCAAGGTAAATATATTCATGAAGTACTCACTTGCTAAATTTTTAAACATGATACATTATCTCAGCTTTAACTTTTAGTTGTATTTCAATTATCCATTGCTGTGTAATAAGCAGTCATCAGACTTAGTTGCTTAAAACAGAAACTCACAATTTGTTAATTTTGGCTGGGCCCAGGAGGATAATATTCTGAGTCTTGCCTAGGTTTCCTTATTTGACTGACAAGGCCTATATAGTCCAAAGTGACATCACTCAAATATGGGGCAGTTCAGTGGTGCTATCAGCTGGGTTCTCCTCCGTTAGTCTCTCTGGTAGCATAGATCAGGTTCTCAGTTGGCATTGGTGCCTTTTTAATTTGGCAAGCCTAAATTCACTATCATTTACCAAGTGTCTGTTAAGTCAGTGTCAGAGAGGACTATACAAGGATATGGATATGAGGAGACTTAATACATTTAGGGTTCTTTGATATAGCAGGCTACCCAGTTACATTTCCTGTTCTAAACATTTTTTCAGATACAACAAACAATCATTTTACAATTTAACTTGTAGATGAATGAGTTTCCTGGGATATAATTTAACTAAACAAAGTCTTTCATCCTAAAAATTTTATGACCTCTTTATCCATCTTAGGTTTTAAGATTGATATAAGAGGTATTCTGGAATAGAAATCTAAAGTTAAGACCAGAGCCAAGAGTGCAAAGATAAGGCTTTTATCCAAAGGAAAATCAAGCAATTGCTATGTCTTGCAAAGGCCAGTGAGCAGACACAGGGGAGAGAATACAATTGCCCCAAATAAAGACTACTTTTGGAACTCAGTGATTATATATGTGTATATATATATATGCATATTATATATATGTATGCATGTATATATATGAATATATATAGAAACTGAAAACTGAACACATCCCATATACACCATATACATGAAAGTGAACACACACACACACACACACATACACACACATATATTCAGTTTCAAAGAATTGTTATGGAACCTGAGGAAGAAACTAAATGGAATATGATGGTCACATCTATGACAGCCATGGTACTAGAACTAGTAGCAGTTCCTCTAACGTGATAATTGACATAGTAAAAGAAATAAGAAACAAAGCAGCAAGAGAGAGGCACATTTTCCCTAAAGCCAGGCTGAATATGTGCTAACAAGGAAATTTCTGCTGTCATTATTTTATTCTGACTCACTCTCTCTGTGGGATGTTCCAGAGTTACCACCTACAGAAATTCCACTTTCCCTTACTGAGGTTTTCTTTTTATTATTTTCAGTCCAAATATTAGTCATTTTGGTAGATAAGGCAGAAACAATTAACAATTGAATAATTCTTCAAGAATCTTGTTAAAAGGTTTCCAAATCATGAATGTATAGTTTTATTTTGTTCACTAGATTTTAACCCACATACCTCATTTATATAGAAATAATGCTTATTTGGATATTCAGTAAATTTCTTCATACAAAGACAAAAAATCTATAAAATGCACACACAGAAATATATGTACATGGTTTACCATTATTTTCTAGATCATTCAGAAGTCACTATTAATTAAAACATCATAGATCTGTGGCAAATTTGGGGCCACTTCTCCTAAGACAGGATTTTTAAAATCCTTCAATTGTCATAATAATGAGAAGAAGTCTGAGAGCTGGAGTAAGGGAAGTTGGTGCTCAGAAATATTAACTACCATTTATACAGGATATCCAAGAGAACATTTATGAGATAATCTTAAAGTCAAATGAGGCTAAAATATTAATACAGGTTATTTAGCAAAGTTTTCCAACAGGAAGAAGGAAAAAAGCTGTGAGCAAAAAAACATACAGGATATGGAGGAGCAGGTTAAATGAAGCCATTAAAGCAGAAATTGAGAAGAATAAACAGGAGTTAGAAGATGAGAGCAAGCAATTGCAAGTGGAGTGGGCTGAGCTGGAATTACGGTATGGAAAATGACTGAGAAAAACCCAAACAAATGTTTGTATAATAACATGTACATAGGATAATATAGATTTCATCAATGTATATAAATAAACTACCTGCCATTATGGCTAATTTCTTAGCAAATTATTCATAAAAGTTTATTACTTTGTGAGGCATTACAGACACCAAAACTAACGACTTGGCATTTCCATGGCCCAATTTGTCTAAAGAACTATCTTTTACACTTTACTGTTTTTTAATAGGCAGTAAGGTGCCCAAAAAGTCTTTTATATCAAGTTCAGTAGGTTGATAACATTGACTATAACTGAGTGTTGCTTTGCTTCTACCCTCAGGTAATTCTGAAAATTTTCTCATGCCTCTTTATGAAAATGGAGAGACCTCACAAGAGATGCTAATGAACAGCTCACCCCACCCCATCACAGGTTATAGAGTATTAATTCCCAAATTACCCAGACCTTTAGTTCTGAATGTGAAAAAATGGTTTAGGCTAAAATGTTCTTGACTACTGACAAGCTCAAGAATTCAGAGGAGGTAGTAATAAGGGAAAAGTAATTAATACATAACATCAAAACTTAAGCACACCACCATAACACCTGATTTTGGATGATGCCAAATACTTAAAGTTTTCCCTTTTTATTTTCTGGGGAGTGGTGCTTAGCATACAAACCTCTACTAACTTCTTGGGCTTGAAAATAAAGGAAAGGACTGCCTAATGACAATAATATCTTGACTGCTGAAGAATTATGTCAATTAACAAAAATTGCTTCATAGGAAAAAGATGAATTGTTTCCTCAAAGTCTTTTTTTAAGTATGGGTGACCAAAACCATCCCATACTTAGAAGATAATATTACACTGTTTTATACAAGATATGCTGTACTTGTTACAGAAGATTCACGTTTAATAATGCAACTTTTAAAAATCTTAGCGAGCTATAACCTTATGACTTAACCCAAATACATTGAAAACCCCTTGTATTTAGACCTACAGGGAGGTGGTTTTGCTTTCTGTACCATAGCACACATAATTGAAGCAAACATATTCCTTCAAACATAATACTCCTACATAATAGAAAATGTTCTGTATTTTCTGGATGAAAAGGCATGAGGTCTTGTGTATTAGCAAACTGAAACTGTTAACTATAAAAAGAGTCAAAAATCAAAGGGGGTCTCATGCATTTATAAGGACATCAAATCAATCAGATTCATCAGAAAAGAAAACATTCCTCAGAGAGTCTGTTCTCAAGCTGATGTTTCTTCATTGAATTTGGTTCTAAACTACCATTTTTGTTGAATCCTCTGTGCTTTCAGAATGCTGAAATGTAAATTATTTTTAATTTATGAAAGAGATTATTTTTATTTTCTCCTATACATTGTTTAAGTAGCACCTTAAAAAATAGACAAATCCATCCAGAGTCAAGAGAACTCAACTCAATTCTCTATCACTGTGAAAATAGACTATGTTCTTCATTACAAAAGCACTACAATAACTACAAAAATTATACCTCCTGGAGTATATGATATTTACATATCCTTGCAAAAGGGGAATAGATTAAAATATGTTTATAAATGTCTAAAACCTTAAGTCAGTTTAACATAGTATTATAAATCAGGTTTGTGGGTGATATTTTGCCTGCTTCTAGACTTGTGAGCAAGTTATTTTTAGGTTTCTTATATTTAAAATTCAGAAAGGAAATGATTGGGATTGCACTCAAAGAAAGGGGACATTTCAAAACTTCTTTTTTTTTACAATATCAAAACATAACATCACATATGTAAAATGGGTTTGTGGCTTACGACCAAGTAAAATACCTCAATACCCCACTTTTCAAGATAAGTAATATTGGCCTAAGAGTATCAGTCTACAGGAATTATAAAAAGTTGTATTTATACCCTGAGGTTATACCCTATAATGTGCAAACATTATAGGATAGACAAATGGATATAAGGTTTCTTTCTGTGTTTCCTTATGTATTCAAAATGGGAAAACTAGATGGAAGACAATTCATATTTATTTAGAATTCTAAATGATGTTAATTTCAGAACCTTCAATGTCAGAGTTACTTTGTATGAATAAGTTTACCTAATTTTCCACACTATGCATATCTAATAGATATTACTATTGCACAGATGAGAAAACTGCATCTCTGATTATTATTATTTATTCTAGTCACAGTGATAAGAAAGGGCAAAATATCACAATATAAGCCCAAATAGTTCTTAGTTTAATGGAATATTCTTTCCACTGGACTTCAACTTGTTTGTCTTATTTATCTATTCATCTAAGATCAGTTGAAAAAAGAGATATGCAGATGCAATATTTCAGCTAATATGTCCAATCTCCTATTTGAAATCTCCTGGGTATTTAACAGAAAACTCAAATTTAGTATGTCTGAATTCAAGCTCACTGCTGCACATGTTCACACTGAAACAAAGCAATACAAAATTCCTTCAACAGATTTTCTCATCTCAATAAATGGCACTACACTGTGCCTGCGTGACTCATGTCCAAAACCTAGAGGTCAACCTAGGTTCTTTTTTTTCCCCATCACTCTCCATTTCCAAGATTTCCATTTCTTCTGTGAATACTTCTCAAAGCCACACCCATCTCTCTGTCAGAATATCACAATGCATCGCAAATCTGCCTCCCCACTTGTCATCTCCTCCCTAAATGCTCTATTTTCACAGTAGTCACAGTGATTTTTTTTTAAAGCACACAAGATCTTGACTCTTTATTCACTACCTTCTGCTTTAACTCCTTGATTGTCTTTCCACTGCTAATATAAGGAAAATTTTCCAACTCCTTTTTAATGACCATAGATCCTGGCTTGATGTTTTCTGCCTGCCTCTCCAACCACATGTCAAACACGTCACTTCTTTTCCTATCACACCCAAAACATTTTTAATTATTTCCCCAATCTTTGTATACGCCAACCCTTTTTTGTCCTCTAGAATTTTGTGCTTGTTGCTCTTTCTTTCTAAAATAAACTTTCTGTGGCTTTTTGTACAATTAGATCATTGTTCTTTGAAATCTCAGCTAAGAAGTTTTCTGAAATATCTTAATTAAAGTTCCTTCCCTGGGTACGAGCAGTCTCCTCACTTTGTTTATTTTTATTGTAATATTTAATTATTGTTTTCTATTTGTTCAATTTCTTGTTTCTTGTTTCTCCCTCAGGTCAAGACCATATTCAAATTTGTATCCTCAGCTCTTATCAAACTACTAGGTAACTACACACCTATTAAAACAACTAAGCATAAAAATTAGTGACAACAAATGCTGGCAAAGATGAAGAAACTGTATCATTCAGACATTGTTAGAATTGTAAAATGGTATAATACTCTGGACATAACTTATCAGTTTCTTTAAAAACTAAACATATATTTACAATATGACCCAGCAATTGCACTCCTGGAAATTTATCTCAGAGAAATGAAAACCTGTACATTATCTTTCATAGCACCTTTAATTCTAATAGAGGAAAACTGGAAACATACAAAATGTTGGACAGATGAATGGTTAAACTGTGGTATATCCATATGGTGAAATACTATCCAGAAATAAAAAGAATATATTTTTGACACATGCAATAACTTGCATAGATCTGAAGGACACTATGCTTAGTGAAAAAAAAGCCAATATCAAAAGGTCACATAATATATTATTTCATGTATATAACTTTAATAAAATAATGTACATATAGAAAACAGGTTAGCGATTTCCAGAGGTTAGTGATGGTAGGGAAATATGAGATGTATGTGACTATAAAATGTGAGGAAGATATTTTTAGTGATGGAAGAGTTCTGTAACTTAATTGCAATAATGGTCACATTAACCAATACATGTGATAAAATTGACATAGACCTACACATTCATATTGTACCAGTATCGATGCCTGGTCTTGATATTGTACTAAATTATACAAGATGTAACTATTGGAAGAAACTGTGTAGAATGGCACATGAGACCTCTCTGTATTTAAAACTTCCTATGGATCTATGATATTTTCAAAATAAAAAGCTAAAAAATGTTAGGTGTTCAATAAATAAAACAGTAGTAACTATATTTTATCTAATTCTTACCATATAAAGATGCTTTACACACATTAACTCATACAATTCAATCTATAGTAGGATCATATTGATGCCATTATTATTACTAACTTATAGCCTAGTAGCTCGCTCAAGGTCATATAGCTAATATGAGGAAGGGTTACAATTTTAATCCTAGCAACCAGCTCCAGAGGATGTGCTCCCAATCAACACATCACAGTGTTTCTCAAAAATAATTCTGGATGGAAGGAAAGAAGGGAGGTAGGGAAGGAGACAAAGAAGGAAGGAAAGAAGGAATGAAGGAAGGAAGGGAGGGAGGGAGGGAGGGAAGGAAGAAGGAAAGAAGGAAAGAAGGGAGGGAGGGAAGCAGTTGGAAGGAAGGAAAGAAGGAAAGAAGGAAAGAAGGGAGGGAGGGAAGGAGGGAGTGAAGCAGTTGGAAGGAAGGAAAGAAGGAAGGAAGGAAGGAACTAACAATAGCAGGTGTATTTACTCAAAAAGAAGACATCATAAAACCCTTTTAACAAACACAGCCTGACTTCTCAAATTCCCTCTCCATTCAACTTCCTTGAATATAGAGTCCTATTCAGGGTTAAGGGAAGGAGAAATCGAACTAAAGATCATAACGCTACATGTATTGTGGCATTGCATTGCCAGAATTCTCTGAGTAAACCTTTCTAGAGATGGACATTTTGCACTCTATTGGAAAAGTTATCTTAGTTATAATGTTTCTGAAGAAGCATTTGCCATAATGAGGGTACATTTCGGTACTCTTGGTCACATACAATTCGATAGACATTAGCACAAGTGACAGGAAAAACTTGATAAAGGTAAAGGGATTGCCTTTGTTATATCTAATATTCTATCACCCCAGATCTATCTTTTTAAATCACCACATTACTTAGCGTAACCCTGTTTTTCTATTTTCTAGAATAACCCTCCACATTGATCAGGCTGATTTATTCACATTTTTCCAAATGCTAGGTACATTCCTTCCTAAATCAACCAGTCAGTTATAGTCTATAATGCCCATGGATGAATTATGTTCACAGTTATGACTCTTAGGAGGAGATCTTCAATAGCATCTGTTGGTATATGCTGGACATTACCTAAAAATGTACAGTTTTTGCAACCAACAGATTCTATTCTTATACCTGTTGGTCATGCCCAGGCAGTTACATGTAAAATAACTACAAAAAAATTTCAAAATTTCAAGATGTTTGCCCACCTATATAATGTCCTTCACTCTCCTCTCCAGCTCTCTAAATAGTATCCATAATTCAAAGACCAGTTAAATCCTACAGGCATATTCACAGAATAACTTCCCCAGGAAACATTGTTTAAATTAATGAAGAGCATCCATGGGCAATGCATCTTCAAGAGCTCAAGATCTCGTGAAAAAACAGAAGCAAAGAAGGAATTTCAATACAATGTGTTGAAGATTTTAGATTATTTCTCTCTTGCGAATTTCCATTGCTTGTTTGAACATTCAGGGGAATAGCACTCCTTTCCCATTAAATGTATAAATAAACATAAGAATGGAAGTTGACCCTCCCTCCAAATTCATTAAACATTAAAAATTTTAAGTAAAAGATATGATGCCTGTATAAAAATTAAAAATCATAATTACTTCCAACATAGAAAATAATTGAAATAGATAAAAACACAACCAAATAGAAATGGATATTGCTAAAAATTACCTTCTTAATTAAATTACTAACAAAAGTGAAATTATTGTTCTATTCATATTGGTGACATTACTTCTTAAATTATTCAAATTAAAATATATCCTATCTGTGAGTTCAAGAAAAATTTACAATAAAGGGATAGCATCATACACAAAGAAATATAACTCACAGTTTTAGCCTAGCAACAAAGTGTTTACAGAACAAGTTATAGATTATTCTGCAATACAAAACAATCCTAAAGTGTTTTTAACCTTAAATCAAAATTCAAATTAGAATTAGAAATGAAATGATGTTCTTATTTCAGCAATGAATACAGAAGTGAAATGATTTGTTTTTCTGAAGACTGTATTTTTCAGTGTTCATCTGGGTTTAACACTTTAAAGAGTCTCTTTTATTCCTTAAATAATATTCAGTTTGTGAATGTAAACACACCTTTTTCAGCTCCACTTATTCTGCAGAAGGAACCTTCCATATCAAGGATTAACACAATATGCATCATGGGTTCAAAAATTTCAATTTGCAGCTATCCTTAGCAAATAATGAGAACCATCTGGACTGATTGATGTGGAGATTGAAAGTAATTGATCCTGCAATTGAGAAGCTTTTTGAAACATGAAATTAAACAAGATGATGTTAAGCATTCTGAAGTTCATCAGAGTGGCATATCAAATGTGTTACTAGCTGTTCATTTTCCTTCGTATTTTTATAAAGAGCCTTGACTGGCAGAATGGAACAGAAATAGAAGCTAAAAGATCTAGATATTGATGTAGTGATCAAAGGCACACAGCTGGTTTACTTTGTTGTAATAAACATTTTATGTGGTACATGAAGACTTTGATTCCTTGCCAAATGTCATGTGTAGGTGAGCAATTATTAATATGATTGTAAGTCTTAATATGCAAGTATCTCCATTAATAAAAGTAGACTATTGTAAAGTGAATTAGCAATCATTTTACTTATGAATAAAAACTTATACTATTTCAGGTCATTTTCTTATTGTTTCTTGAAAAAGGAAGTCCTTTATAAGTCCAGTGAAATATTACCTAATTTTCACATCAAATTTCATGGTAAACAAGACTTATTCTTCTTACTTTACTGATTTTAAAAAGCTAAATTTCACTGGGGATATATCATTTGTTTAAGACTAGGTAACTGATAACCTAAACCAAGACCCAAAATTTGTTATTTTCTTTATTTCCAGCACACACTATTTTCCATCATGGTATATTACATCTTGCTAAAGAAGCAATGTTTTTTAGCAAGACAATTGAAAAGCATGAACATTGGTTTACACTTTAGAAAGATCTTTTAATACTCCATATCATTTACAACTATTTGTTTATTTCCATGTATAAAATGACATTGATTTAATAGACTTCATCCATATTTGCATGATACTCAGCTATACCACTAACTCAGGCACTATTCACATAGCTCCAGAATTAAATCAATGTCTGACAAGAGGGTCCAATATGACCTCCCAATTGAAACAGAAGACAGGCATTTTGTGATTTGAGGAAGACAACCTGTGAATTTACAAACGTCCAGAAAGTGATACAAAAGAAAAACAAAATACTTCAGCCTAGTTAAAAAGCAGTGCTACTATTTCTTGAAATGCTTAAAATTGTAATAAGTATCATTCCCAAATCTGGCGATAAGATATAGAAAATGGCATCTCCCAATATAATCTTGGACATATTTGTCAATAAGGAGTACAATGAAATATGACAAATTATACAGCAAGTTTTAAAAGCTGCTAATAACTCTTTGTTTATCTCAGTAATAAAATTTAAACACTGATCCAACCTAACACAGATGAACATAATATACCCATTCTGAAAACAAAGAATATATATCGATATTTATATATTAAATACAAATCATGGAATATAGAACTATAGACTTGTGCATATTTTCCTAGAAAATATTACCCCAATTTTGTTTCTCTAAGCTTCAAGAGAGGTTTCTTGGAGAAAATGAGATTTTATAAACAATGCTAGCAAAAAAAAAGACAACTTAAGAGATTATGGAGAAAAAGGCATACTTTAGATGTAAAACACAGCTTGAGAAAAGCTTAGGGGTGAGAAGTAATGCATCATTGACCAATGTAAATGAACCATTTAGGCAGTAAAATGTGTCCAAGAAAGTGGTGAGTCTATCCTATTCTCTTTTATATATCTAGACAAGTGATTTCAAACACCCACTTGGAGCCCTGAGACAGTGGGTGTTCACCTAATGTAAGCCCTAATATAGGAGCTGAGGTCAATATTGAGTGAATATGTCCATCAATCAATAAATAAATTAGAGTGAACTAACTGTCACACATTCTTACCTTCATCCCTTTGCTGCATTAACTGAGCAAACATCTCTCTCTAACTAGATAGGAAAAGTTTTAGTACTCAAACAAAAAGCTAAAATTAATAATCTGCTTCAGGCTGTGTGCAAAAATAAAGCAATGTGTACCAGGCTTCTTCAAATATATGCATATTGCAGTCTACCTTATAAGCAGATTTACTATCAATTATAAGAGCTAAAAGAAAAGGAATTATTAAAAAAAAATCCTAACTTCCACCAACCCCATACAAAGTTTGGTTTTATTAACTTTCTTGGAAGGATGTTTTTAATTTTATGAAAATCAAGTGTTATAACTGTTACCATATATTGATTGGATTTTATATATTCAATATATTCTAAAAGATTTTTAAACATATTATTTCCATTTATATTTCTTTTACAACTATCAAGACAAATCAGCTTTCTTTAAATTCTAGAGATAGGTACTATTATTCTTTCCATATTGCTCATGATAAAATTGAGGAGCAGAAAAGTTGAGAATCTATCCATGATTTTTCAGCTATCGAGTGGTAAACTAGGCTTCAACACAATTTAGTCTTAGAGACCAATATGTTAAACCCTCTATTTTCTGTTAGATCTTCAGTTCTTAACACACAGAAAGAAGGTATGGGAAGCATTAGATAAAATATTACCTGTTAAACTGATATAACAAACTCTAATATGTATAATGTGAACAAATGTTCTCCGAAAATAAATTTGTAGCAAAGAGACTTTATTCCAGTGAACAGTTTGAAAATCTGGAAAATAAAGCCTTTGGTGTAAACCAAAGTTGTGTTCCAGAAAACAAAGGAAGTTTCAGACTTTACAGCAAAACTTTCTGTCCAGATTCCCAATCAGTTCCATTTATACCAATTAAGGATTCAAACTTGCTCAGTTCCAATTAGTTGATACAGCTGACACTTGATTGGTCAAGTGAGATGAGCTCTGATTGGTTGCTTCAGGTGAGCGCTAGTATTCCCAAAGCAGAACAAGAAGTATGAGTTTTCAGGAAACTCAGAGCACATGTGTGACCTCTCGTCAGCAAATGGCCACTTGGTGACTGTCAGAACTAAGTTCTTTTGAATCCTTCATTTGCATAAATGGACCTGACTGGGAACCTCGGCAGAAAGTCTTGCTATAAAATATGAAACATTCCTTTGTTTTCTGTAATATCACTTTGTTTTACACAAAAGGCTACATTTCTTGAGTTTTCAAACTGTTAACTGGAATAAAATCTCCTTACTCCAAATTCTTTTCAGAGAACATTTCAAATTTAGACCCCGTTAGCTACTTGGGATCCATTTTGAAGGATTTGTTCTTTCATATTCACATCTGTTCACAGCAGTAAATCTCACACAATGTAAACATATTGCTGTACAATAGTTCGAAGCTGGTGTTCCCTATCAGCAGGTTTCTCTTCTTCAGGAAATAATACAAGGCCCCAGGATTCTACCATTTGATGGCTCTGCTGTCTTTTTCTAGTATAATTGCTTATTATTATCTTCATCGAGCCCATAGAATGGTGGAAAGAGGGAAAGGAGACATAGCTATCTCCTAAAAGCCTTGGCCCAGAAACGGTGCAAATCATTTTCATCCACGCTGCATTGGCAACAACTTGTCACATAATCACACATATCTGGAAAATGTACTCAAGTTGTGTGCAAAGAAAAGGAAAGTGACTCGGGGGAACCAATCAAGATCCTCTGCTATAAAGAGTCAACTAACCAGGAGAAGATCCAATGATTGCTTCAGTTTAAAAAGTTTAGTGAAATTGATAATAAATAATATCAAGGTAAGCACATATTTTAAAAACTATAATAAGTACTTAATATTAGCACTTATTTCAAATTATCACATGCTTTAAACTTTCTATATTAAAACTCTGAATTATGTTTTAGGTAAATGCTAACATATATTTCACATTGCGGGACTCTGCTGAGGATACACTGAGCCTGACTTTTGGCATATCCTGATGAGCTCTGATTTCCTCTGAACATGATTAAGTGAGTTGATTTTGTTTGGAATTCTCATTAGAATGTGTAATTGAAACAATTTTCTCCCTATACATAGTGACTTAATTAAATGAAGGTTATGAGTAAATGTTTGATATATGCAGGGTAAAGCATACTTTTCTACACACAGTCACTCAGATGTAAATGAATTAAAAATCCTCATATCAGAATACCTGGTTTAGAAGAGCTTCATAACTTCATAAGGTTGGCTTAAAACAAATGATTCTATCTTCTGAGAAGCATTGGAATAGACAACAGGGTTTGCAGTTTTAATATGACAGTGAAATATTACCATCATGGGTCAGTGTCATAAACACAGGTGTATTCATCAAACCTCAGCTTGGGAGATCCCAAATAGCACTAGACAAGTTTCTTAATTTCTTTGATTCTCATTTTAATTATTAATAAAAATGAAACAAAATACATTTTTACAATTTTTTTGTGAAGATTGAGAGACCATATACAAAGATCTGAGTGATCAATATTACTTTTCTTGTCAAGCTTGCATCTCTGTGTTTTGCTCCACACCTCCTTTCCTTTACCCTCCCACTGCCCATCTATTTACTTAGAGTGATTATGTTTACCCTCACCTTGACCCCTACTGGCAGAAGAAACATGAATTTAAAAAATGCAAATAAAGAGTAGTTAGAAATTTCATTCTTGGTTTTTAATTATGTCAATTCAATATAGTTATTTCATTATAGCCTACACAGGCAGTAAAATTGTGGATTCTGATTTATTTAATCCATACACAAGCTTATAAATTACTATTAGTATCACAAGTGATAATCATTTCTAGTTCTAACAGTAATTAGCATTATATATGCTGAGACAAAAGGAAACAGAGTATGGTATATACCACTATACCTGTAACTAATAAATAACGGTATCCAGCCTTCTAATTCAAGTCCAGATGCTATGTCTACTACAACCAATTGTCCCCTCTTCATAAACCCTCAGAGGTACCATTGTTCTAAGTAATATTTTCTTCACACAATTATCATACTTAAATGTAAATTACTACTTGAGTAATCATTTTATCAGATTGTTTTTTAATGAAACACAGGCGTTGAGGATAGAATTACTGATATAGTTTGGCTGTGTCCCCATCCAAATCTCATCTTGAATTTCCACCTGTTGTGGAAGCGACAAGATGGGAGGTAATCGAATCATGGGGACAGGTCTTTCCCATGCTGTTATCATGACAGTGAATAAGATTCACAAGATTTGATAGTTTTATAAAGGGGAGTTTCCCTACACAAGCTCCTTATTTGCCTGCCACCATCCATGTAAGATGTGACTTGCTCCTCCTTGCCTACCACCATGATCATGAGGCCTCCTCAGCCAGGTAGAACTGTAAGTCCATTAAACTTTCTTTTGTAAATTGCCCAGTCTCAGGCATGTCTTTATCAGCAGCATGAAAATGGACTAATACAATAAAATGGTACTAGTAGAGTGGGGCGCTGCTGAAAAGATACCCAAAAATGTGGAAGCAACTTTGGAACTGAGTAAAAGGCAGAGGTTGCATCAGTTTGGAGGCCTCAGATGAAGACAGAAAAATGTGGGAAAGTGTGGAACTCCCTAGAGACTTGTCGAATGGCTTTGACCAAAATGCTGATAATGATATGGACAATGAAATCCAGGCTGAGGTGGACTCAGATGGAGATGAGGAATTTGTTGGGAACTGGAGCAAAGGTGATTCTTGTTATGTTTTAGCAAAGAGACTGGTGGCATTTTGACCCTGCCTTGGAGATTTGTGGAACTTTGAACTTGAGAGAGATGATTTAGGGTATCTGGTGGAAGAACATTTTAAGCAGTAAAGCATTAAAGAGTTGACTTGGGTGCTGTTAAAAGTATTCAGTTTTAAAAGGGAAACAGCATAAAAGTTCAGAAAATGTGCAGCTTGACAATATCATAGAAAAGAAAATCCCATTTTCTGAGGAGAAATTCATGCCAACTGCAGAAATTTGCATAAGTAATGAGGAGCCAATGGTAATCCCCAAAACAATGAGGAAAATGTCTCCAGGGCATGCCAGATACCTTTGCAGCCTAAACCTCCCATTACTGGCTGCGAGGTTTAGGAAGAGAAAACGGTTGTGTGGGCCAGGCCCAGGCTCCCTCTGCTGTGTGCAGTCTAGGGATTTGGTGCTCTGCATCCCAACCACTCCAGCCACAAAGAAAAGGGGACAAGCTACTGCTCAAGCTGTTGTTTCAGAGGATGGAAGCCCCAAGGCTTGGAATCTTCTACATGATGTTGAGGCTACAGGTGCAAGGAAATCAAGAATTGAGGTTTGGTAACCTCTGCCTAGATTTCAGAGGATATATGGAAACACATGGATGTCCAAGCAAAAGTTTGCTGCAGGGGTAGGGCCTTCATGGAGAACCTCTGTTAGGGCAGTGCAGTAGAGAAACGTGGGATCAGAGCCCCCATGCAGAATCCCTACTGGGGCACCACCTACTGGAGCTTTGAGAAGAGGGCCACTGTCCTCCAGAACCCAGAATGGTAGATTCACCAACAGCTTGCACTGTGTACCTGGGAAAAGCCACAGACACTCAATGCTAGTTTATGAAAGCAGCCAACAGGGAGATTATACCTTGCAAAGCCACAGTGGCAAAGCTGCCCAAAGGCCATGGGAGCCTACCTCTTGCATCAGTGTGACCTGGATGCGAGACATGGAGTCAAAGGAAATTATTTTGGTGTTTTAAGATTTGACTGCCCTGCTGGATTCCAGACTTGCATGGGGCCTGTAACCCCTTTGTTTTGGCCAATTTCTCTCATTTGGAATGGCTATATTTACCCAATGCCTGTACCCCCATTGTATCTAGGAAGTAACTAACCTGCTTTTAATTTTACAGGCTCATAGGCAGAAGGGAATTGCCTTGTCTCAAATGAGACTTTGGACTCTGGACTTTTGAGTTAATACTGAAATTAATTAAGACTTTGGGGTACTGTTGGGAAGGCATGATTGGTTTTAAAATGTGAGGACATGAGATCTGGGAGGGGCTGGAGTGGAACGATATAGTTTGGCTGTGTCCCCACCCAAATCTCATCTTGAATTCCCATGCATTGTGGGAGGGACCCAGTAGGATATAATTGAATCATGGGGGCAGGTCTTTCCCATGCTGTTCTCATAGTAGTGAATAAGTCTCATGAGACCTGATGGTTTTATAAGGGGGAGTTTCCCTACACAAGCTCTCTCTCTTTGCTTGCAGCCACCCATGTAAGATGTGACTTGCTCCTCCTTGCCTTCCACCATGATTGTGAGGCCTCCCCAGCCATGTGGAACAGTAAGTCCATTAAACCTCTTTTTCTTCCCAGTCTCTGGGTTTGTCTTTATCAGCAGCATGAAAATGGACTGATACAATTACTAAACATCATTTATGACACACTGTAAGTACAGATATAAATCTGGCCCTTTTTTATTCTATTTACTTCTATATGTATTTTTAAGAATCTAATGAACATTTAGTACCAAATCCAAGAACCAGAAATATATGCACCCTTTTGTTTCACGTTTTTCTTCTATCCTGTCCTTGTATCAACAACCAGAAATAGCTGCTATTCTGAATTTTAATAAACATTATATATTCATAGGCACATTTACATGCATGGGTGTGTCAGAGTGGTTTAGTTTCTATTTGAGTTTTCTTGAAGAACATTAAGCTTGATAATGTTCTAAGATTTGAATTTAAAGCATTCAACATTACGGTACCAAGATTTAACCATGCTATGCACATACTCAAGGTTTGTTCATTTTCAACTATTGCATCAATTTCCATGTTCAGAATACATCACAATGCACTCATCTAATCACCTATAGATAGGCATTTGAGATTTTTGGTATTATGAAGAGTTCCTCTATAAAAATCATTGTAATTATCTCTTGGTGCAGATATGCATGGGTTTTTCATGACTATGTATTTAGTGAGATCTCAGGCATAAAAATTTTACCTTTTACATTTATTAGAGCAACTTATACATTTTGTGTCAAGACATATTATCAGGGAATGGAATGACTATATAAAAATGGAGGTGGAACCATTGGTAATTCACATGGAAAATAACTGAAATTTAATCTAATTATCTTAAACATCAAGAACAAATATCTTAAATATTTAAGTAAAACAAGTAAAATACAAAGGATGTTTCCACTTTGGACCAAGTTGAAGAAACAGGGACCACGCTTACCACCCTGCCACCCTCCCCAGAACAACTATAATAAGGGCAAAATATGTGAAACAATGACTCTTTAGACATTAGATATCAGGCAATGAAAGATAATGATCCCTGAGAGATGGGAGAGGGGGAATGAGTGAGCACAACAATTTCCTCAGCTTTCTGACTTGATAGAGTTTCCAAGTCGTGGCACAGAGAGGAGAAACAGAAGTAGAGCCCATTGAATTGAGAAGAGGGAGCTGAGTCTGGAGAGAATAGGGTAGCTGGAGTTCACAGGAGAGTATTAGAGAGGAAAGAGCAATAGAGAGCATCCCAGATATCAGCAAAGGAAACACTTCAAGCTTTCTGCAGAGGAATAGTCAGTGCTTGCGTATAAGGAAACTAACCAAGGGCCAGGAAGGAATCACCAGAGAGGGCTAGATATAAAGTAACAGTTACCAGCCCTCAAGCAAAAAAGGGAATAGTACCCAATTCCAACCAGGCTGGAAAACAGAGTGCTTTGTAAAGCACTGGATACAGTACATGGAAGAAATTTTCTCAACGGTGGGGAATAATTACCCCTAGATTGAGGACTGCTCTGATCCCATATAAAAGAAAAAAATATATATATATTTATATATACAAAATATATATTATATAATATATATAATATAAACATATGCATATATTTTATAGTAATATATAAAAATACAAATATAATATAAATGTCAATATATAATTTACAAATATAAATATAAATATATAAATGCATATAATATTAAAAGCAAAATCTAAAAGGATCAAACCATTTGCAAACTTTATGTCAGAACAAAGCTCAAGAAGATTTGCAGGAATACCAAAATATCTAGTACCCAATATGGCAAAATTCTCAATGTATTGCACCCAATAAAAATTACCAAATAAGCAAAGAGGCAGGAAAATATGACCTATAATGAGAAGAAAAGAAAAATCCATCAAAACTTATACAAACTTAGAATTAGTAGACAATTACATTAAAACAACTATTTTTAATTATATTCCATGTGCTCAAAAAGCTAATTAGTGATAACAAATATATATAAAAAAGACCCAAATAACAATTCTACAGATGAAAACTTCAAAATATGTGAGAAAAAAATACACTGGATGAGATTAACAACAGATTAAACATTGCAGAAGAAAAGAAAATAGTGAAAGCAAAGACAAAATGATAGAAACTGTACAAAATAAAATACAGAAAAAATGACTTAAAACCTTCAACAGAACTACAATGAGTGTGGAACAACTTTGAGCAGTCTAATGTGCATCTATTTAGGATTTTTGGAGTAGATGAGAGGAAGGAGGGTTCAGATAAAGTTTCTGAAGAAATTATGACCAAAAAAAATCACAATTCTGATGAAAACTATAAACCCACATATCCAAAAAACTTAAATTCCAAACACAAAGACCATGAGGAAGGTACATGATAATGAAATTGCTTAAAAACTAGTGATAATGAGAAAATCTCAAGAACAGCCAGAATAAAAATCCACGTTATGTATACATGAATAAAGAGATGACAAGAAATTTTTTTCTTCAGAAATAATGTAGGTCAGTGTGGAGTATTATGTTTAACTTTTTTCATTTAAAGTACTGAAAACAATAGATGAATATCGTTCTGACTTTGAGGTAAGAAACGAATTTTTAAACAAAACACATGTAATCCCGAAAGAAAAGACTGATAGAGTACATTAAAACTGAGAAATTCTTAATAGTATGAACTCATGTTGTTAATAGAAAAATAAATATTTACTTGTTCGGTCCACTGAAAAGGCCTAGGAACAGTGACAAAGCCAATAGCCATGTGCTCACAAAGCACCCAGATTGTGGTCTCTATGGAACATTTCCTGCTAACAGAAATCAGATTCCCTGGAAAAATGACTGATTCTAGTCAAGGGAGTGTTTTGAGATGACCCAGCTAAATTGGTGTTATAGTACCAGAGTAGCTAGCAACCCTACCATAAGTGGCAATGAAGGGAAGCTGGATGTGGGTGTTTACAGTGTGCCTTTTATGGGATACTTTTTTAACCTGGTGGATGTCCTAATGCCTAGTTGTCTGACCTACAACCAGGAGGTCCCTTACACAGGAAACTTGTTTTTACTGGCAGACACTTCTGCAGCTCTTGTCTGGCCCACGTCCAGCTTATGCCTGCCTGATCATTGCTCTTTTGCTGGGAGCTCAACCTTGTATCCCCCTACCTATCCCCATGTCCCAGAGAAAATGCCCAAGAAAGCCCCTCCTTGGTTCTTCAGACAGAAGGTACGAATTCAATAAACCACCAAAATAGGAAACAAGTTCAAAGACTTTTACTTATAGATTCTAGGCAGGAAGAACACAATGAGCTGAGAGGGCTGACCTCAATTCCCAGGTCACACTAGGCAGGAATGCAGAGTTGAGTAGGGGGCAGAGAGAAAATCATGTGGCAATTAGCAGTATATGTAAGAGAATAGGGCATGGGCCACTAATTTCATGAACAAATACTAGAGTGCTCTCTTTAAGGGAAGAGGGGCAGGAAAGCTGGGAGCACAGTTTGCTGCACTGCAGACATACCTCTAAATTCTCATCTCTGACCACCAGCTTGAACTGTGCCAGTTCTGGCTGTGGCACAGGACTGGAAACTATGTCAAAGAGGACTGAGCCCTGTATCTGGTAGGAGAAAGTTAAACTTGTATTCAAAATGGATACTGAGGCAACATAAAAGTATAAGAATTTACTATATAGAGCAGGAAATGTATAATAGGAGCCTGGGAGATGCTGCCATATAAGCAAAGAGCATCAAAGACTGATAAGATTATGTCTAAAACAGATACAGGAGCACACCTAGCACACCTAGATCCAGTGGCCAAAGGTGACAAAATTTTAGCATTAATAAAGGACAATAACTGCAATTTGAATTAAAATATATGAAATATGTTTAGATCCATGAAATGATACTAATGTAAAATATCTAATTGAAAATTTTTGGGTTTTTTTGAGGCAGAGTCTCATTCTGTCACCCAGGCTGGAGTGCAGTGGCGCGATCCTGGCTCACTGCAATCTCCGCCTCCCAGGTTCAACTGATTCTCCTACATCAGCCTCCTGAGGAGCTGGGATCACAGGCTCCCCCCACCATGCCTGGCTAATTTTGATTTTTGTATTTTTAGTAGAGATGGAGTTTCACTATGTTGGCCAGGCTGGTCTTGAACTCCTGACCTTGTGATCTGCCCACCTCGGCCTCCCAAAGTGCTGGGATTACAGGCATGAGCCACCGCGCCTGGCCTGAAAAATATTTAAAAGATACTAGGAAACAAACTTATTTTAAGAAAAGTTACATAAAGGTAAAGACTAAAGCACTTTTTTCTGCTTTTTTGACATGTCTGCCTAAGGGCAGCAAATTGTTAATGAAGACAAGTTCCTCTTTATAGTAGCATTCCACTAATAAACAAAGAAATAACAAAAGAATTGGAATATTAGCTATTCACAGCACCTAATAAAAACAAGAGATAATAGACAGCAAACATCATAAAAAAGGCCATCAGGTTTTATGTACACCCTGAAGGAAGTATACAATACCTCCTGTGAATTAGGCTTGCAAGAAAGAAAAAAAGAACCTCTGTTTGATCAAGATCCTAAATCTAATAACCAATTTGCAAAAATACAAGAGAAGCAAGAGCTTTTTAAATGATACCCCATTTCAGAAAAACTGACAAACCATGTTTTTCTCTGCTCTCACACCAACACAACAATCAACAGAGAAGACTTCGCTGACCCCAAAATATGGGGATTTCTATTTCCCAGCAAGCAAGCAATGGATTCTGCAACAGACACCAACTGGGTGTCGTCTAATTCAATTCTGACACCATAGACCTGAAAATAGTGTCAGATCCCATAGGTTGAGTGCACAGTTCCCAAGACTGTCACTTCATCTTAAGACACTAGTCAAAAGTCTGGGCCTCTGGAAATTCTAACTGACCATCTTCAAATTAGGTTTCCCACAACCCCCATTTTAGGGTCAACCAATTTGCTGGGGTGGCTCACAGAACTCAGGGAAACACTTTCTTATGATTACCAGTTTATTACAAAAGATGTTACAAAGGCTGCAGATGAAGAGATGCGTAGGAGAAGGCATGGAGGGAAGAGTCAGGGAGTTTCCATGTCTTCTGCTGGCTTACCACCTTCCAGGAACCTCCAAGTGTTTAGCTATCCGGGAGCTTTCTGAACTCTTTCCTCTTGGGTTTTTTATGGAGGCTTCTCAAGGGAAAGAATAAATGGTGGGAAAACGTATAAGACACTTCTGGAAATTTCAACCAATAACAACGTATGGATTTATGTGGGCTTATATCAAACAAACTGCTAAAATATGATTGGAAAAATATGAGTAACAATTATTTTACAATGTCAATAATTTATCAAATTTGTAGGTATGCTAATGGCATTGTGGTTATAATTTTTTTTAAGCCCTAAAGGCCGTTGTTTCTCCTGGAACAACTGGAGAAACCTGTTTTGTTTTGTTTCTCTGGAAAACCCTGACTACTACAATGGGAAAGGAAAAAGCTTACAAATATCACCCCCGCCCACCCCTTTACCCCCCACCCTAATACTAACCATTCTGAGTTCAAACAAAAACACACACTTCACACGTTTACCTACATGAAAAGTTTCTGAATAATTTTTGGAGCTTTTTGGGGACTTGAATAGAAGTTATTTTACTTGAAAAAAAGATGTATTATATCATTTAAATTCAATGATCAAACATGCTGTATTTGAAACTGGAAGGAGAATGCAAGGGGGAGAAGAAGGAATATACATATCAACATTTACTAGATAAAAATACAAGTAGTTAAGATCTTACAAATTAAATTATCTTTCTCTCTATATATATATATACAGTTTTAAAGTCAAATACAAAATTCCTTTTCATGCTGACTTTCATAGACTATTCTAGTATTTGATCATCAGCAAAACAATAGCATCTGATATCATTTATATTCATAAATAAATTCAAAAACTGCTATGATGTATTGCTTAGTAATTATGAATTAGAACAAAAACCATATGTTCTGGAGTTGAAAATACTAATTTGTGAAAAAAGGTACACGGACATTACACATATGTCACATAGCATTTTAATAACATGGGATATATATGTAAATGTTCACAGGGACAATTTTATTTTCATGTTTGTGTTAGTTTGTTCTTGCATAGCTGTAAGAAACTACCTGAGACTGGGTAATTTATAAAGAAAAGAGATTAGGTTTAATTGGCTCATGATTCCACGGGCTGTACAGGACTCATGGCTGGGGAGCCTCAGGAAAATGACAATCGTGGCAAACGCTAAAGGGGAAGCAGGCACGTCCTACATGCCTGGAGCAGGAGGAAGAGAGAGCATGGGGAGGTGCTACACATTTTTAAACAACCAGATCTCGTGAGAACTCACTCACTATCATGAGAACAGCAAGGGAGAAATCTTCCCCACGATCTAATTACCTCCCACTGGGCCTCTCCTCCAACACTGGGGATTACAATTCCATATGAGATTTGACTGGAGACACAAATCCAAACCATATCAATGTTCTATAATCAGATCAAGATATGTTAAAATATTCAGATATATTTGTGAATGCAACTGAGAGGTTATATTAACATATTTATACTTTCTCATTCAAACTATTATCATTCTGATCTTTAAGTAATTCTTTCAGGATCTGACTATTATACAATTATGAAATCTACTATTCCTTTTCTTTTTAAATGTTTTCCCATTCAATGGAAAGTATATACCGTGGGGCAGATGAAAATAAGGGTAAAAGCACTGAATCACAACAATTTAGAATGTCTTGGTCTTATGCAAGGTAAATAGAAAGCCTTGAAATTATTGATATTTATTGTGCATACACTATTTTTCTTTTCTTTTTTTTTAATTGAGATGGGGTCTTACTATGTTGCTCAGGCTTGACTTCAACTCCTGGGCTCAAGTAACCCTCACACTTCAGCCTCCTGAGTACCTGGAATTGAAGGCATGCACTACTGGGCTTGGCCTTTTAGCTCCTTTTTTTTTTTTTTTTTTAGTAATTAAATAAAGTCCTCTTTTACATCACTCAGCTTAATTCTCCCAACAACTCCTTGAAATATGTATCATATATTTTTGACAGAGACAGTGGTGATATCTGTAACAGTCTGCTCAGGCTGCCATAACAAAATACCACAAACTGGGTAGCCTAAACAACAAACATTTATTTTCTTAGAGTTCTGCAGGCTAGAAGTCCATGATCAAGTTACCAGTCAATTCAGTTCCTGGTGAGGGCTCTCTTCCGGGTTTGCAGATAGCCACCTGCTCCCTGTGTCCTCACATGAAAGAGAAAGAGAGAGATTGGCTGTCTCTTCCTCTTCTTATAAGGGCATCAGGCTTATCTACCCTTTTGACCTTATTTTTAACCTTAAGTATACTTCCTTAAAGTCATTCTCTCCAAGTAGGGTCATATTATGGATTAGTGTGGGAACAAATGAATTTTGAGAGGACAGAATCCAGTTCACAACACTTTTTAAATATTCTGCCTATTCCTACACATTTCCCAGCCCCACTGCAGTTACACAGGGACATTGACCAATTTTAGCCAGCAGGACTGCATGGAAGTAATGTGTGCCATTTGGCAATCTAAGTATAAAAGAACTAAAGCAGAACTCTAGCAGTCTCTTCCTCTGCACCTCAGGTAATGGAGGAGACCTTGTGTTCCAGATGGCACAATACATGATTGCACAGCACCCATCATCCTTGATCTCTGAGAGCCTTTACAGATTGCAGCTCTCTCACCAACCTGTGATGGGATTAAAAAATAAACTTAGGCTCAGTTTAGCCACTGCACATTTGGGATTGCTTGTTATTGCAGCTTGCCTATTTTTACACCCTATTGAACGATATTTAGTCGCACAAGTTAGGAGTCAAATCACCTTGCACCAACTCTGCTACATATAAAATGTTTGAAGGTGAGCAAGTTTCTTAACATCCTTCATAGTCTCCCTTTGTAAAATGGGGATAATTATAAAGCCCATCTCATTACATTGTCATAAAAAAGGTTACATGTAAAGTGCTCTTAAAAGTGTTTTGCACCTAAATGTCTTTTATTTTTATGTTAAGAATCCATGGCTGGCAGTTTATGCAAATGTTGATGATAAACCTAAACTTTGATGAGTAACCTTGGAAGTTCTCAGAGACAGCTGGTGACTTGTCAAAGCAAAAATAATAATTGAACTGACCAATTGTTCAGCATTATGTAGACAAGGTGAATGTACACCAAAAATAAAATCCTAAAATGTCCCCACAGAAACAAATTGAATGGACTACCTCTTGGCCAAGGGGATTCCAGAGAATCCAGAAGAACTGACTTTCCAGCCATGACAGGATCGGAGGTTGGACACATGTCATTACACTCCCTCCCTTTTGGAGTTTAGGCACAACTGCCTAGCACTGACATTAAAATAGAGATAAGACTGAATAAACTGATTCTTCGTGGCAATAAAGATACTAAATTCAAACCTGACTGTGGTATAGCATCCCATGCCAGAAAGCAGACCTTAAGGAAATCAAAATATTTCACCCCAAATATATTTCTTTGACATATTTTGAAATACCCCTGAAAAGCCATCTTTTGTGGGGGAAATTCGCATCTGTAGAGAATCTCCACTAATGCAGGCCTGTCTAGGAGATCTTCCCAGATCTAGGAGAGATTAACCAGCTTTTAAGGTCTGAAATGGTTCCTTGGAAGCTTCATTTACATGAAAAGAACCTACTTCATCTCCATAAGCCCCCTTATTTTTTTTTTCTGATTTCATCTGCAATTTATTTTTTATTTTTTATTTTTATTATACTTTAAGTTTTAGGGTACATGTGCACAACGTGCAGGTTTGTTACATATGTATACATGTGCCATGTTGGTGTGCAGCACCCATTAACTTGTCATTTAACATTAGGTATATCTCCTAATGCTATCCCACCCCCCTCCCCCCACTGAACTCATTGTTGAATTCCCACCTATGAGTGAGATACCATCTCACACCAGTTAGAATGGTGATCATTAAAAAGTCAGGAAACAACAGGTGCTGGAGAGCATGTGGAGAAATAGGAACAATTTTACACTGTTGGTGGGACTGTAAACTAGTTCAACCATTGTGGAAATCAGTGTGGTGATTCCTCAGGGATCTAGAACTAGAAATACCATTTGACCCAGCCATCCCATTACTGGGTATATACTCAAAGGATTATAAATCATGCTGCTATAAAGCCCCCTTATTTTAACTCAAACATTTCATTCTACTGACTTCAGATCTTTAGTCAAAACCTAATTCTTTCAACCAATTGCCAAAGAAAATCTTTGAATCCATTCATGACATTTTCAGCTAAAACAATGTACACTTTCCCTGTATTGATTGATTTATGATTTTACCTGCAATTCCTGTCTCCCTAAAATCTATAAAACCAAACTATAATTCAATCTCCTTGGGCACACTTTTTTGGGACCTCTTGAGACTGTTCCCTAAACCATAGTTGCTAGTATTGTCTCAGAATAAACCTTTTAAAATATTTTACAGAGTTTTCTCTCTCTTTTTTTTTTCTGTCAACACCCTAAAAGATGGTAACACTCAGGTATACAAAGTCGGGCTGATAAAAGTCCAGGATGTTTACACATAATTGCAACTGAGTTCACATTTACTCATGGAGTTAATCACATAAGTAGGGAGTTGCTGCTGATCATGAAGTAACAATTATTTCCCCGATTCAGTTTGTCAGCACACATTTTTTTCTTGGGAACCCATATGCTTCTATAACTCAGCATAATTCCCTCAGATTTTTTACTTATTTCTGGAGCCCAGATACCAAAACTGCCACATTCATACAATTACTAGGCATTAAATCCTGAACATTTCAGAAAATCCATTTATCAACACTCACTTATTACATCATGAAGAAAAAGTTCCAGTTGTTCATACCAGCCTAAGAAACATTAATTTTATATTTCCCTAGTCCAAACTCTCAAAAGCCACAATTTCAACATTTTTAAAGAATGTAGCAGCTATCAAAGGAAAGGTTTATATGAAAATAAACAACAAACAGAAGCTGCTCTAAGTTTAATATATTAAACTCTTCTGTAATCTTTTAGTCATTCATTAGAAAGATAGATGTGCATTGCTATTGCCTTAAAACAATACAAATGTTGGGCTTCTTTAATGCACTAGGTCACAGAAATGCCTCAGCTCTGGCTATTTTCCTGAGAGTGCTACAGTTTACACTGTAGATACCTGGTAGGTCCCGCTGTGGGAAGCAAAGGAGGACTGGGAGATGGGATCTAGTCTTGCACAATAGGGAAACACACTGAAGTTAGAGAATATAGGCCACAGCAGTCCCTGACCATGATATTAGCCAAGTCACTGCACATTTCTAGATTTATTTCCTTCTCTTAAAGGGAAATGTTGTGTTGCTCAAAGTGAAAGTATTTGTTTATTTGTTTTCAAAAAAGACTATCGTCTCTACCTCCACTCTAGTTGTGAGAGTTGAATGAAATAATTCGAATAAAGTTCTAAAGACATGTTTGAAATTTAATAAGCCATCAATAAATTTTATCACCAGGACTGAGACAACATTTTATACCTATCTAATATCCAAAAATACATTATAATAAGCAAGGAAAGAGGCTACAATGATCCACATATACGGATTACAGCTGGAGACATTGGTAAGAACCCATGTTTATCTTAAAATATTACAAAAGGTGGCAAATTTAAACATTTTTAGATATGTGCATATACACAGATTAATACACACAAATATATCTCTTTGTTTTGTCTGCTGAGAGGGCTATCGCAGGAGCCACAAACACATCTAGTGTCCAGATCATGATTTCTAACACCATTCTCCTGTAAAAACAACAAAAAGCTCCTCAGAGAAATGGCTGATTCAAGGACTGGGACAGGAATTATACAAGATAAACCTGGAGCAACTTACAGTGCCAAAATGTAAGGAAGTGCTTAAAAACAAACAAAAACAAAAACATAGTTGGAGGTGTGCCAAAGGGACACAGAAGCCAATTGAAAAAGCTCCTAATGGCCAAAGCTGGAACAATTTGAGCTACAAAATAAGTAAATTCATATTGGATTATAACCCACAGTATAAAGTTAATATCTATGATTCCATACTTACATATATAAATGATCAAATAAGTTAATAAATGGGGGAAGATATAAATATGCCATGCAAACAAATTCTAAGCAATTTATGTAGATACTTCTCCCTCAAGGAAGGGCAACATAAATCTTGACTTCTTAAGTACTAGCTGCTCACAGTGACTTTCTTTCAAAGAGTACAATGTGGAAAGGTGGGGAAGAACAGTAACTCTACAAGGGAGAAATCTAACAAACACACCTCAGCAAGATTATCATCAACAGCAATGAATCATGCTGCTAGTATGTACTCTTCATATGACGTGATGAAAATCACACTTTATGTCTATGATCTTCTTCCCCAAAACCCATAACGCCAGTCTAAGCATGAGAAAAACATTTTTAAAATTCCAAAAGAGAGGAATCCTACAAAATACTTCACCAGCACTCTTTAAAACAATCAAAATGCTGTGAAACAAGGAAAGTCTGAGAACTGTGGTAGACTATAGGAGCCTAAAGAACCATCACAATGAAATGTAATGTGGTATACTGCCTGCCTGGAATCCTGAAGCAGAAAGAGGCAAATGTGAACAAATTATAGACTTTAGTTAATAATTACATATCAGTATTAGGTTACTAATTGTAATAAATGTATCAAACTAGTATAAGATGCTAATAATAAAGAAAAAAGAATGTTAGGTATATGTGAGCTCTTTTCAGTGTCTCCTCAATTTTTCTGTAAATCTAACACTCTTCTAAAACAATGAATTCTATTAAAAATTCATTGCAATAATTGGAAACATTTTGTCTAAGACCTCTGTTAGTCATTCCTGATGATAGCAGATTGCATGGGAAGTGCTGTAACATTAAACATATGGAGTTCAGTTGCACCTCTGCCACTTAATAGATGCATAAATCAGCATAATTTCTATCTCTTAAAGGCATGGTGCCCTTTTAAAATGTACAAATGGCATGAAAATAACAACCTCAGAGAGTTGCAGTGCGGATTAAACGAAGTTAAATATATGGAGCACCCAAAACAAACTAGTCACAGAAAGCTTAAATGATTTGCCAAAGGATATACAACTGGCATTTAGAGAGCCAGCATTTGGACCTGGCTCAGATCCTAGGCCCATGATCTTGTCATTATGCTAGTTGTGACTCAAAAATCAGAAATCAGCAATTGGAGCAGGCCAGTTGGGCTTAGTTATTTGCTTCCATAGCCCCTCAGCTGGGATAAATATGCATTAGCAGTGACAATGTGATTTTTGAGCCCAAGGACAACAGCCAATGGGAGTCCCTTCCCTGAGGTCTGGTATAAGTGCTGACAGTACAATGGCATAAAGCCTGTTGGAAGTAATAAGTCACAGAGATGGAGAAAGAAAACAAAAAGGGATACAGAATACTAGAAAGAGAGCAGAGGATAAAAATTACATTTACCTTGTCTCCAGCTGAGTTGTTGTCTGTATTCACAGCTTTCTGAAGACTAGATTTCTAAATTTAATTAAATTTATGTAACATCCATTGTTACATATTTCAGGGTGAATATGACAGTTTCCTGGTATATAAATTTTATGCAACATCACATAATTTAAAACAATTTACCCTCTTTTATGTTTGTTTATTGTTTTTTATTTTCAAGTAAGCAGATATTGCATTTTATGGTATAGAATCCAAGTCCAAAAGAATGTCTAAAAAAAAAAAATCCCAAAAAACACAAGATAAATGTAGCAACTGACCTCTACAAACTACATTTTTAGCTGCTTCTGGTCATACATTCAGTCTTACTCTTCTCTGCCACAGGGTTTAGGAGATTAAATGGCCAGCATTACAGGAGGCACTGAAGAAAATACAAGACTGGCTGTGACATGACTGCTTTCCTCTAGATGTTAAAACGCAAATAGGCAAGAAGCACACAAATGGGTAATTGCAACACAGCACATTTTGTGCCATGGTAGAGTCTAAAAGTACAGAAATAAGACCTACTCAGTAAATGTTTACTGTCCCCTGCCCCAACTTTAGTGGCTCATAGCTATTGCTTTATATTAGTAACTACTGATACAGTAAGCAGAATCTAGATATGCTTTGTGGAAAGCAAAGACAAATTCAGAGTTGCATTTTTGTTTCGATTTTTGTTTTTTAATTGAAAGATGTCTCTATAGTTAAAAGAAAGAAAACTAAGGAAGGACAAGACTACATAATGAAAAATTTAAAAGATGATTTCTCAAAAGTAGTAGAAACATTCATATATGTGTGTCTGTAAAAACATACACTTACGAGTATATAAAATAGATTACAAAGATCCTGAATCATGAACTATGAAGTTTGAAATATATAATTTTTTCAGTAAGATTTCTCTTCAAAATGTTACCATGACTTATAGAAATTTATGACGATAGGTGTGTCAGAACTCATTAGGCATTTAATATGATTTCCTCCCACTGTGAGTTATGGAGTTACTCTCACTGTTTTTGTCTGCCTCTGAGCTGCATCACTGTTTCCCAGAAACAGAGGTTGAAAAGCGCTAGGGAAGAACCTCAGGTACAGAACACAATCTATTTTTAGACTTTAGCTCATTCTGACATGAATGCAAGAGCCACTGCAGCTATGATACCTGGGAATTTCCCGTGCTCAGTAAACAAGGTCAGCATACAGCACTCACTGTATCTGGAGCTGTAAAATTCACCAAACATTTGACATAAATTTTAATGAAGGGTTGAAAAAAGCTTGAAAATTTTACAACTGCCAAATTGGATCATTGTAATGAACAAAGAAAAGGCTAGTTGGAAAATGCTTTAGGGATTCAACAAAACAATCAAGAAGGGAGAAAAAGACGGAGAGGAGAAAGAGGGAAAGAAAGGATGAGGGAAGGGAAGAGCTAAAACTGATGACCTATGGGTATGTGATGTTTGCACTCAGTATTCTCACCTGTACCAGCTCAACAGTTTTTATATATGTTTCTATACTTAATATCTCTCTGAGCTTCAGTCTACTCATCATTTAAACCTTGAAAGATGGCTACAAAAATTAACAACAATATATTTCTAACCCAGTGGCTATCACTTAGGAAAAACTCAGTAAACTGTAGCTAGCATCAGTATCCAGTGCCATCACCTATTCACAAATTTTCCAAAAGAACTTTCTAAGAATAGTTTCCTCCCTTCACAACAAACAAACAAACAAAAAACAACAACAAAACAGTGTTGCTATTATCTTCTTTCAGAAAAGGGAGATTCAGGGTCATCAGCATCATCTGGCTCTGAAGTGAATTATTTCCAGGAAGTAAAACCTGCTATCTTTAGAAAGAAACACTTTCAGAGTTTTGTAATAGTCACTACTTACAGGACTGCTGCTCACAGCATGTATGTCAACCATGCAACATGCCCTTCAAAGACTCAAACATGATTGAGAATAGCAGGAAACAGTTGGAAAAAAGGCTACAACATATCGAGGCCAACATAAAATTTATCCTGGGGTCATCCCTGTACTAATATTTTTATTTGCCTTTACAAATTCAGAGAAAGACATTTATATTCCACACACTGCAAACTCAGTAAATATAGTAAGAATTAATCATGGGTTTCCTCCTCTGAAAACTACCCAGAATTATCCAACAGAATTTTCTCCTTCATTTCAAAATTTTATGAAAACTTTGATGACCTCTCTTCTCAACATATGATATGGTTTGGATCTGTGTCCCCACCCAAATCTCATGTCAAATTGCAATCTCCCTCACTGGAGGTGGGGCCTGGTGGGAGGTGGCTGGATCATGAGGGTAGATTTTCCCCTTTGGTGTTATTCTCATGATAAAGTTCTCATAAGATCTGGTTGTTTAAAAGTGTGTGGCACCTCCTCCCTCATGCTGTTCCTCCTGCTCTGGCCATGTGAAGATGTGCCTGCCTCCCCTTCACTTTCTGCCATTATTTTAAGTTTCCTGAGGCCTTTCCAGCCATGCTTCCTGTACGGCCTGTGGAGACATGAACTGTTTAAGCCTCTTTTCTTTATAAATTACCCAGTCTCAGGTATTTATTTATAGCAGTGTAAGAATGGAATAATATAACGTTTCATGATTCACTTTTCTTGTGTTAACTGATGCCATTTTTGATGCATCAATAACTACTTTGGATATATTCTAAATTGTTCAGGGGTTTAGACATTATATTGCTTGTGGAATGTAGCAAAGTTTAGTAATGTGAATATAAGTGCTCTTTCTTAGGCATGGCCCACCCAAATTTTTAATGTAGTATTTATTGCATTTGCATACATGTATGTCTTCCCACTACCAGATTTTATGGTTAGGTAAACAAAAATTCAAACTATAGCCCCAGAATTAGCCTCTTTTTCCCCATCTTTCAGTTCTGTCATATTCTCTATTTACTTTCTTCTTTGGTAAGATCTCTCCACATGTGAGCAAAGATAGACCCTCAAAGAGTGCCAGGAGTTTATGGTTTGCAAGGTTGTGAATCACAGAAAAGAATTCTCTTTTCCACAGTATTTATACCAATCCTGGATAAAGAACATTTATTGGCCTCGCTACAATCATGAGTTCATATGTGGATCAATCACTTCAATCACTGTTTTTAGGTTACACAGACCTTAATATTGCATCTCCTTGGGGTGAAGAAAGGAAGGCCAAGTATTTAACAATTTCATGTGATGCAGGAGGGGGTGAGGTGCATCCAGAAAAAGCAAACAAACATAAGTTAATACATATCTACTCCACTTGATTTCCCTTAATTTCAGTCTTCTCATTTGTAAAGTGTAGATAACGGCCACAATCTCATGGGTCTGCTGCGAACACTGAATGAGAGGACATATATAAATCTGGCACATAGGAGGTGCCCAATAATTACTAAAGTGAAATTGAAGAACATGGTGATTGCATCTAATAATATACGATCAGTTTTAATCATCTTTATATGTATAAAATAGTATTTCAGCAGTAATAAAGCTACATAAATAAAATAACATTTGTTTTAGTTCAAGAGTTAAAAGAAAATTGTAAGTCACCAATGACTGAGTGTTATAACTCTGGTGTAGGAATTTTTACCTGACTAACTTACCACAACTGAAGGTCACTCATTATTCCACAACAATCTCATCACTAATGAAAATGAAATTACAATGCAACCTAGCCTTATGAAGTTACTTGATGATTTCCCAATTTTTGCACTCTGTAGGTTGATCAAGAATGTTGTTCTCATTTCAAAAAGTCTCTAATGTCAGTCTTACTATTCAAGTCACAGTTAGCATTAACATGCAGAACTGTCATTTAGAGACACACACTAGTGACACTGTAGTCTCAACAAAATAGCCATTTGATGTTCCAAATAGACAGACAACTGTTAGGAGAACCGCTTTAATATCTCAGATCAAAAGTTCGCGAAATAAGTGGCAGGATGAAAATGATCTAACAGGAAACATTTCCACTTTCTTTCCAACTGAAAGGCTAGTTTCTGAATATTTTTTGGTGTTCTATACGTTACATTACATATATTCTCTCCCACTCAGCCTTTTCACAGCCTTTTTATCTTTTAAAGTATAAATGTAATACCTGCACATCTAACAAGCCTTCCTAAATTATTTATCATCCCCAAATGGAATCATGGAAGTGATTCTCTACTCCAACAGAAATAAACACTCTCAAATAACTTTGTTAATATTTCTACTAGAGAACAATTTAAATATTATACTTTACATTGTAGATATTATTGTCTAGGACCTTTCCATTGTACTCCAGAAGATATCTAGAAAAGAGGAGGAAGAAGAAACCAGAGCTTGTTCATAATAATTGGGGCACTTCATTTTTCTAGTAAGTACAGTCATGGGAATTCTTTTGGAGAACAAGGCATCTGCAGCTCGTCTCAAAGGAATATATTTTGATCTAAGAATATAAAGATTAAAATATATACTAGATAAAAAGATGTGAGGTCCATCTTTTTCAAAATAACATAGTTTATGGAATTCATAAAAATAACTAGAGGAAAATATTCAACCAACTCAGACTTTCTGGAGCAGAAAATGAAAACTTGTTTTTGAAAAACCAAAAACATCTAACTTCTACAAAGAAAAGTACAATTACCTCTGAGGGGCATAAGGGATTTTGGCAAAATGGTTATGGAATACTAGCAAGAATAGTGTAGCAAAAATCAGTTACTCAAACAGAAGAACCCTAAGAGATAACATATGCGGAGGTGGGGCATTCAAAAGACCTTTTTCTAAGGTAACTAAAATCTCTTGACAGGGATTGATGGATGAAATAAGATTCTAATGTATGTTTGGGGTTCGCTTCATTGGTTTAGTGTTAAGCTTCTAAATTTTGCTATATGTTAACAAGTATCTTTAAATTTCAGCCTTCCATATTATGCTGTAAGACACAAAAGAGCTTACATTTTCTCATTGTTTTTCTATCCTACAGTAACTAAAAAGATTGTAGAAAAATTAAAACTATTAAACAAATTAAAGCCTATATTTTAGATGTCAGTTAATAAGTACTCTATGCTAAATTTTGTAAAATTATAGTGTAATACTTTGAGATAAACTTATTTAACAGTGTATATAATAAAACACATACTATTATCTATTAAACATAATTTGAAATATGATTAAGACAAAAAAGCAAAATAACACCTCTTTAAAATCATAATTCTTAGGGGTAAGTCTTCAGTAATGTAAGGAGAACTGCAGTGTTGGGAAAATTTAAGATTTGGACTCTGATTTTCCCTTTTTATCTAGAGGCTGTAAGGAATTGTCAATGTTTACTTAACAATACATAAGGGCCAAATATGTGCCTCTGATTCCTGGATGAATGTCTTCATGGTGAATGTAAACTGTGTCAACTGTGATAAAGAAGAACACATATCGGATTTTGCCATGACTTGTACTCAGCCATCATCACAGACTCATCTTCTGTGTAATAAATTACAATTTCTTGGGGGGAAAGAAAGAACCAATCTAAAAAACATGTAGTTACCAGAGTCACTACTGAAGAGCATTTTCTATGGACATTGATGACCAAATCACAGGTTCCTAATGGGGATCATAAGAATTAATCACATAAGAAAATTAAATTGAATCCAATATGCATTCTATAACACAACATTTTATAGTGATTACCATATTATCCTTTCCTTCTTTTAAAACATAAATTAAGGGCTATGGATGATTTTTAAATATGTGATGCATATGAACAAAAACTCAGACATTATCTTCCTTAAGAAATTGAAAATGGAATACGTGGCAAGGATGTCACCCAACATAAAATTGAGAAAATGGGCTCCTATGTATGGTATACTTTAAGCATAAATCATCACTCTTGGCGAGATGCAAGAATTGACAAAACTGAAATAACTGCTGTATCTATAAAAATGTAGGCTGCATCTGTATTGAGTCACCAGGCTTACTGCTTTGCAAAATAGCTTATCTGTTCAAACAGTTCTGCAGGTTAGACCAATTATCAATTTTGTTGACTTTTTTCTAAATTGAAAAGTTTTTGTCTAAAGACACTTACCTAATTAATTGGTTTTGTTTCCTTCCATTACAACTATGAAGATGATAGCCAAGGAAATACATTATCTTCCCTGAAATGCTTTAAAAATGATATGTAGTGTAGTGTAACAATAGAAAAAATCAAATATTTACAGGAGACAGGAAATTAAGGTGAAAGTTAGTGAATTATCTTATTGTAACCAACTGGAGAGTTCATGAGCCATCTAGAAAGGACAACTGAACAAAAGGTAGAAACAAATTAATACTCATATTTATTTAATGGTTGCCAGGCAGGAATGCAGAAATGCTGTAAGTTTAATTTCAGGAACAGGATTTCTGGAACTTACAGATTTTTTAGAAAAATTAAAACAAATTTTTATATGAAATCTTGCTATCTTTAAATGCTAGGAACTGGTTCAAATACTCTAAAAATGAAAGTCAACATTTACTCCCTCTCTTTATATATATGCCTGTTTTTACATGTGGGTACAGACATAGACATTCTACATACATACATGTATATGTTATATTATAAATATATATGTATATGTGTGTATATACATAAATATATGTAGATATATACTTCTGGGCTTTGTTATCTTGCTCCCTCGGTGTAATTCAGTATTTACTTTCTTATTCTTTATTTACAAGGAATATGTGAAAGGTCATTTTTATTTCTTCTAAAACATTTGCAGAAATGCAATATTTATTAGCTAAATGAAATAAATATACAGTATATGTGTTGCTCAATATGTTCAGTCAATAACACAAAACATAAAATTACTAGTATAATACTTTTAGAAGAAAATTAAAAGTGGGCATTGAGAGAAATGAGTACATTTGCCTAAATGAATGTAATTTACTCTCACATGTCTTGTCTTTACAAAAGATCCTCATCAAATATTAAGCTATATTGTATATGTGGCAATATGGGAGAAATCTGAAAGGCACAGTTGCCAAAACAGGAAATAAAGCATGCATACACATAAAGAGTTTATTCCATACCACATGACCATTTGTATTTTAAAATGTAAATAGGTGCTATATGAATGAATAATCTGCATAACACAGAAGAGAAAACAAATACTAGAAGAAAAAGCAGATTTTGGATTAAAAAAGAGTTGTGATCATTTTAGTAGCCATTTAGTATTTTATATTGCTAAGATAAATATTGAAATTCTGTTTTAATATACTCAGAAGTATTGACCTCTCAATGAGAAACAACAGAGTAGAGAGATGGGTCATGGAGAAAGACGTTAGAAGTCCAAGATTCTTTAACCAGCCCTATCTCTTAATAACTACATGTCCATGAAAAGATTATTTAAACTCCTTTCACTTTAGAAAGTTAATTCTATCATTAGCTTTATGAGAATCAGACAATAAAATAATACATATTTGAAAGGCTCGTGTGTACTCTAAAAATTACTATGCAGTTCTTCAACAATAGATCAAGTTAATCAGTCAGAACTTGCTTGTGTTTGTGAGTAGGAATTCCCATTCCAAATGAACAATTATGACTGTTCAGTAGTAACTTAAAATGTGCTGTCTGGTAGGTCTGTGTAATACCTATGCCTACCAAATGTGTGCCATGTCATACTTTGGCATACAACTTTTCAATGATTTATCCTGCATAAAATAGTTTCCTTTCTTAGAACATCCTAGTTGCGAAAAAATCATTTAATCACTAAAAAATTTTAAAAATTATTTGTAATATAACACTGCTTTTTTTCTCGTCTATTAAGAACACAACATGATTATGAGCTGAAGTGAGACAAATGGTTCTCTGAAATAGTTTGTCATTATTTTAAGAATGGAAGACCAATCCTCTTACTGAGGACAAGTGGAAAATTTGGATAAAATTAAAATTATTCTACTTAAAATGTTCAGAAGTCAACAATTAACAAATGAGATCCAAGAAAAGAAGTAAATTCAAAGAGGATTATAGTACCTCTTAGGACATGGTGCAGATATTTTTTCAATTCAGGAAGAAATAGCTAAAAGACTAAGTCCTGCTTGTAGCCTCCCACAGAAATATGAGGACAAAAGAAAGTGTCCATAACCCACAAGTTAGGGGACCCTTTTCAAGCAGAGATACAAAGATTATACCACAGAAGGAAGAAGAAAGCAGAAAAAAAACAATTCTCACAATATCTCTAAGGAATTTTCATCTTATTTGGAAGAATAAAAAATCCCAAATACATAAAAGAGGTTGACTGTTATTCAAAATTTCTAATGCTTACAAATATCAATTTAAAAGAAACATGCATTCTCTCTGGAGGAAGATAACATCACTGTAGGCATAAAATAATTTCTACAAATACTTTTCCAAACTACAAATTTCAGTTCACAATCAAAGATAATCAAGAACAAGAAGTTATAAATTCAAAAAGAGCCAGCAAGAAAAAAGAAAGAAAAGAAAAGAAAAAGGCCCAATAGAATGGTGTCCATAGGGACTTCAAATGTTGAAATAATCAAAAGCAGATAATAAAAGAATCATATGACTATGTACCAGGAAATAAAAGACAAAATTTAAAAAGCATTGACAGATAATTGTATTAAAAATTTACATATTTGAAAAAAATATCTTAGAACTCAAAATCTCTGGTTTTAGCAACATATTAGATAAAACTGAAGAAAAAGCTCATGAAAAGATCAATAGGTCAAAAAAAATTCTCAATGAGACACAGAGAAACAAAGGGTAGGAAATAGAGATAAGGGGGTTAAATTCATAGACAGCATAGTGATAGGTCAAACATATGCTTAAGTGGAATCAAAGAAAAAGAGAGGGAAAATGTCTCAAAAGCAAAATGAAGCAGAATCATGTTTAAAGAAATAAATGTTGAGGGTTTCCCAAAACTTACAAATGATGTCAGTTCATTGATTCAAGATGCCCTATTAATTTCAAGCTGCATGAAAAAAAGAAAAGAAATTCACTCAAAGAACGACAGTTAAAAATCTCTAAACAAAACAAAATGAAACTTGTAAGTTTTAAAAATAGAGAAAAGAGTTTATCTTTAAAAATTAAATAACTATATTTAAAATACTTTTTTTTTCCAAAATAAAATAACAATCTGGAAGACAATGGAATTATATTATCAAAATAACTTAAGAAAATATCTGCTAATCTAGAATTCTGTACAGCAGGATACCCTCAAGAATGACAATTGGCATTATCTGTCAAATTTAAAAATATGAAAACTTTATTCCAAGTAGCTTTATACCTAAGGTCTACCCAAGGTAAGAAATGTGCACACATGTACACCTAGGGACATGTATCACTATGCTCACTACAGCATTATTCTTGTTAACCATAACTTGAAAACAACCCAAATGTCCATCAACAATAGAATGGATAAATATATTATGGCATATTTATACAACAAAATGCTATACTTAAGTAAAAAAGAAGAGCCTATAGCTTCATAGGAATAAAAAAAATCTCAAGTATACACAAAGTACTACATAGGGCCATGGATAATTTTTACAAATATAACATTGAGCTAAAAAAAAATCATTACAAAGATAAAATTCACATTTTGCATTATTCAACTTATGCAAAGTTCAGAAACAGGCAAAATTAAATTAAAGTTTAAGAGCTACATACTTAAGAGTTAAAATTAAAGGAAAGCATAAAATACATCAAACATTTCAAAATAAAAATAGTTAATTATAGCTGAAACAACAGGCTTTGTGATTGGAAAGTAATGACTGTGGAGGTTCCTTGGAAGCTGGTAATATTCCATTTCTTGACAAGAGTGTTTGCTAATCGATATTAGTTTTATAATGACTTAGGAGGCAGCATATTCATAACTTAAGAACTTTTATTTGTATTTATAAAGTCTTTTTAAAAAATATGAAAATACTTTCCATCTCACAATTTTATGCAATCAATCACTTTTATATCAGCACCAAACAGTGTGCTGCAAATAAAGCAGTTGGGGATTGAAAGAGATAATAAAAATAATCTATTACAACACTTTCATTTTACAGATGAGGAAAATGTTGTCTAGATTAATTGTAACCTAGTCAAGGTCAAACGGCAGTCACTTATGGAAATAATTGGTACAGGTCTCTTGAACTTGTAATCAAACATACCAGTTACCATTGCAATGTAACATCTAAGAGCCCATGAAGGAATCCATTTTTCTAAAACAAGTTGACTTAAAAAGGAGACACTACTGTTCCAAGATGGCTAAATAGGAACAGCTCCAGTCTGCAGCTCCCAGTGTGATCGACACAGAAGACTGGTGATTTCAGCATTTCCAGCTGAGGTACCTGGTTCATCTCACTTGGACTGGTTGGACAGCGGGTGCAGCCGAAGCAGGGCGGGGAATTGCCTCACCCGGGAAATGCAAGAGGTAGGGGGATTTCCCTTTCCCAGACAAGGGAAGCCATGACAGACTGCACCTGGAAAAACAGGACACTCCCACCCAAATACTGAGCTTTTCCAGTGGTCTTAGCAACTGGCAGACCAGGAGATTGTCTCCTGTGCCTGGCTCTGTGGGTCCCACACCCATGGAGTCTTGCTCACTGCTAGCTCAACAGTCTGAGATTGACCTTCAAGGCAGCAGCCTGGCAGGGGGAGGGGCATCCAACATTGCTGAGGCTTGAGTAGGTAAACAAAGTGGCCTGGAAGTTTGGACTGAGCAGAGCCCACTGCAGCTCAGCAAGGCCTACTGCCTCTATAGACTCCACCTCTGTGGGCAGGGCATAGCTGAACAAAAGGCAGCAGAAACTTTTGCAAACTTAAACGTCCCTGTCTGACAGCTCTGAAAAGAACAGTGGTTCTCCCAGCATGGCGGTCGAGCTCTGAGAACAAACAGACTGCCTCCTCAAGAGGGTCCCTGAACCCCGTGTAGCCTAACTGGGAGAAACCTCCTAGTAGGGGCTGACAGACACCTCATACAGGCAGGTGTCCCTCTGAGACAAAGCTTCAAGAGGAAGGATCAGGAAACAATATTTGCTGCTCTGCAGTATTTGCTGTTCTGTAGCCTCTGCTGGTGATATCCAGGCAAACAGGGTCTGGAGTGGACCTCCAGCAAACTCCAATAGACCTGCAGCTGAGGGACCTGACTCTTAGAACGAAAACTAACAAATAGAAAGGAATAGCATCAACATTAACAAAAAGGACATCCACACCAAAACCCCATCTGTAGCTCACCAACATCAAAGACCAAAGGTAGATAAAACCACAAAGATAGGGAGAAACCAGAGCAGAAAAGATGAAAATTCTAAAAACCAGAGTGCCCCTTCTCCTCCAAAGGATTGCAGCTCCTCACCAGCAATGGAACAAAGAATGACTTTGACAAGTTGACAGAAGCAGGCTTCAGAAGGTCGATAATAACAAACTCCTCTGAGCTAAAGGAGCATGTTCTAACCCATCGCAAGGAAGCTAAAAATCTTGAAAAAAGGTTAGACTAATGGCTAACTAGAATAAACAGCATAGTGAACACCTTAAATGACCTGATGGAGCTGAAAACCATGGCATGAGAACTTCATGATGCATGTACAAGCTTCAGTAGCCGATTTGATCAAGTGGAAGAAAGGGTATCAGTGATTGAAGATCAAATTAATGAAATAAAGTGAGAAGTGAAGTTTAGAGAAAAAAGAGTAAAAAGAAATGAACAAAGCCTCCAAGAAATATGGGACTATGTGAAAAGACCAAATCTGCGTTTGATTGGTGTTCCTGAAAGTAACGGGAGAATGGAACCAAGTTGGAAAACACTCTTCAGGATATTATCCAGGAGAACTTCCCCAACCTAGCAAGTCAGGCCAAGATTCAAATTCAGGAAATACAGAGAACACCACAAAGATAATCCTCGAGAAGAGTAATCCCAAGCCATATAATTGTCAGCTTCACCAAGGTTGAAATGAAGGAAAAAATGTTAAGGGCAGCCAGAGAGGAAGGATGGGTTACCCCCAAAGGGAAGCCCATCAGAATAACAGTGGATCTCTCAGCAGAAACCTTACAAGCCAGAAGAGAGTGGGGGCCAATATTCAACATTCTTAATGAAAAGAATTTTCAACCCAGAATTTTATATCCAGCCAAACTAAGCTTCATAAGCAAATCCTTTACAGACAAGCAAATGCTGAGAGATTTTGTCACCACCAGGCCTGTCTCATAAGAGCTCCTGAAGGAATCACTAAACATGGATAGGAAGAACTGGTACCAGCCACTGAAAATATGTGCCAAATTGTAAAGACCATCGATGCTATGAAGAAACTACATCAATTAACAGGCAAAATAACCAGCTAACATCATAATGACAGGATCAAATTCACACATAATAATGTTAACCTTAAATGTAAATGGGCTAAATGCTCCAATTAAAAGACACAGACTGGCAAATTGGATAAAGAGTCAAGACCCATCAGCATGCTGTATTCATGAGATCCATCTCATGTGCAGATACACACATAGACTCAAAATAAAGGGAAGGAGGAAAATCTACCAAGTAAATGGAAAGCAAAAAAAAAAAAAAAAAGCAGGGTTGCAATCCTAGTCTCAGATAAAACAGGCTTTAAACCAACAAAGATCAAAAGAGACAAAGAAGGCCATTACATAATGGTAAAGGGATCAATTCACCAAGAAGAGATATCTAATCAAAATATATATGAACCCAATACAGGAGCACCCAGATTCATAAAGCAAGTCCTTAGAGACCTACAAAGAGACTTAGACTCTCACAGAATAATAATGGAGGATTTTAACACCCCACTGTCAATATTACACAGAACAACAAGACAGAAGCTTAACAAGGATATCCAGGACTTGAACTCAGCTCTGCACCAAGTGGACCAAATAGACATCTACAGAACTCTCCACCCCAAATCAATAGAATATACATTCTTCTCAGCACCACATCACACTTATTCTAAAATTGACCACATAATTGGAAGTAAAGCACTCCTCAGCAAATGTAAAAGAATAGAACTCAAAACAAACTGTCTCTCAGACCACAGTGCAATCAAATTAGGACTCAGGATTAAGAAACTCATTCAAAACCACACAACTACATAGAAACTGAACAATATGCTCCTGAATGACTACTCGGTAAATAACAAAGTGAAGGCAGAAATAAAGATGTTCTTTGAAACCGATGAGAACAAAGACAGAACGTACTAGAATCTCTGGGACACATTTAAAGCAGTGTTTATGGGGAAATTTATAGAACTAAATGCCCTTAAGAGAAAGCAGGAAAGATCTAAAATCGACACCCTAACATCACAATTAAAAGAACCAGAGAAGCAAGATCAAACAAATTCAAAAGCTAGCAGAAGGCAAGAAATAACTAAGATCAGAGCAGAAGTGAAGGAGATAGAAACACAAAAAACCCTTCAAAAAATCAATGAACCAAGAACTAGTTTTTTTGAAAAGATCAACAAAATTGACAGACTACTACCAAGACTAACAAAGAAGAAAAGATGGGAGAATCAAATAGATGCAATAAAAAATGATAAAGGGGATATCACCACTGATCCCACAGAAATGCAAACTACCATCAGAGAATACTATAAACATCTCTACGCAAATAAACTAGAAAATCTAGAAGAAATGGATACATTCCTGGACACATACACTCTCCCAAGACTAAACCAGGAAGAAGTTGAATATCTGAATAGACCAATAACAGGCTCTGAAATTGAGGCAATAATTAATAGCCTACCAACCAAAAAAGTCCAGGACCAGATGGATTCACAGGCGAATCCTACCAGAGGTACAAAGAGGAGCTGGTACCATTCCTTCTGAAACTATTCCAATCAATAGAAAAAGAGGGAATCCTCCCTAACTCATTTAATGAGGCAAGCATTATCCTGATACCAAAGCCTGGCAGAGACACAACAAAAAAGAGAATTCTAGACCAACATCCCTGATGAACATTGATGTGAAAATCCTTAATAAAATACTGGCAAACTGAATCCAGCAGCACATCAAAAAGCTAATCTACCATGATCAAGTTGGATTCATCCCTGGGATGCAAGGCTGGTTCAACATATGCAAATCAATAAATGTAATCCATCACATAAACAGAAACAATGAAGCCACAGCCAATATCATACTGAATGGTCAAAAACTGGAAGCATTCCCTTTGAAAGCCAGCAGAAGACAAGGATGCCCTCTCTCATCACTCCTATTCAAGATAGTGTTGGTTGTTCTGGCCAGGGCAATCAGGTAAGAGAAAGAAAAAAAGGGTATTAAATTAGGAAAACAGGAAGTCAAATTGTCCCTGTTTGCAGATGACATGATTTTATATTTATAAAACCCCATCGTCTCAGCCCAAAATCTCCTTAAGCTGATAAGCAACTTCAGCAAGGTCTCAAGATACAAAATCAATGTGCAAAAATCACAAGCATTCCTATACACTAATAACAGATAAACAGAGAGCCAAATCATGGGTGAACTCCCATTCACAATTGCTACAAAGAGAATAAAATATCTCGGAATCCAATTTACAAGGGATGTGGAGGAACTCTTCAAGGAGAATTACAAACCATGCTCAATGAAATAAAAGAGGATGCAAACAAATGGAAGAACACTCCATGCTCATGGATAGGAAGAATCAATATAGTGAAAATGGCCATACTGCCCAAGGTAATTTATAGATTCAATGCCATCCTCATTAAGCTACCAATGACTTTCTTTACAGAATTGGAAAAAAAAAAAACTACTTTAAAGTTCATATGGAACCAAAAAAGAGCCACATTTGCCAAGACAATCCTGAGCAAAAAGAACAAAGCTAGAGGCATCATGCTACCTGACTTCAAACTATACTACAAGGCTACAGTAACCAAAACAGCATGGTACTGGTACCAAAACAGATATATAGACCAATGGAACAGAACAGGGGCGTCAGAAATAATGTCACACATCTACACCAATCTGATCTTTGAAAAATCTGACAAAAACAAGAAATGGGGAAAAGATTCCCTATTTAATAAATGTTGCTGGGAAAACTGGCTAGCCATATGTAGAAAGCGGAAACTGGATCCCTTCCTTACACCTCATACAAAAGTTAATTCAAGATGGATTAAATACTTAAATATAAGACCTAAAACCATAAAAACCCTAGAAGAAAACCTAGCCATTACCATTCAGGACGTAGGCATGGGCAAGCACGTAATGACTAAAACACCAAAAGCAATGGCAACAAAAGCCAAAATAGACAAATGGGATCTAATTAAAGTAAAGAGCTTCTGCACAGCAAAAGAAACTACCATCAGAGTGAACAGGCAACCTACAGTATAGGAGAAAATTTTTGCACTCTACCCATCTGACAAAGGGCTAATATCCACAATCTACAAAGAACTCAAACAAATTTACAAGAAAAACATAACTCCATCAAAAAGTGGGCAAAGGGTATGAACACACTTCTCAAAAGAAGACATTTATGCAGCTAACAGACACGTGAAAAAATGCTCATCATCACTGGTCATCAGAGACATGCAAATCAAAACCACAGTGAGATATTGTCTCACACCAGTTAGAATGGCGATCATTAAAAAGTCAGGAAACAGCAGATGCTGGACTGGATGTGGAGAAATAGGAATGCTTTTACACTGTTGGTGGGACTGTAAATTAATTCAACCACTGTAGAAGATAGTGTGGTGATTCCTCAAGCATCTAGAACTAGAAATACCATTTGACCCAGTCATCCCATTGCTGGGTATATACCTAAAGAATTATAAATCATGCTACTATAAAGACAAATGCACACGTATGTTTATTGCAGCACTATTCACAATAGCAAAGACTTGGAACCAACCCAAATGTCCATCAGTGATAGACTGGATTAAGAAAATGTGGCATGTATACACCATGGAATACTATGCTGCCATAAAAAAGGATGAGTTCATGTCTTTTGCAGGGACATGTATGAAGCTGGAAACCATCATTCTAAGCAAACTATCACAAGGACAGAAAACCAAACACCGCATGCTCTGACTCATAGGTGGGAGTTTCACATTGAGAACACATAGACACAAGGCTGGCAACATCACACACTGGGGCCTGTCAGAGGGTAGAGGGCTGGGGTAGGGACAGCATTAGGAGAAATACCTAATGTAAATGATGAGTTGATGGGTGAAGCAAACCAATATGGCACATGTATACCTATGTAACAAACCTGCACGTTGTGCACATGCACCTTGGAACTTAAATTATAATTAAAAAAAAAGAAAAAAAAAGGAGACACTAATGGTCACAGAAACTTTTTTCTGTAAGTCCAGGTCTTCCCCTTAAAAAGGGAGAAACCTGCAGAGAACTGTCAGCTGTGGAGGAAATGGAGCCAGTGTCTTTATGGTTCATGAGTTCGGGCACCCTTCAAGTGTCCCACTGCATGTGATAGACTGACAATCCTTCTCCTTAGGAAGGATCCTGGTGATGGAAAATTCCATACATTGACTATCCTTTACTTAGACAGTGGTGCAGCAAAAGATTAAAATAAGTCTTTGAATTATAAGAAACATCAGGGAAATTGTAAAATAAAATAGGATAGCATAATAGAATGGTGTGTGATCATTACGAAATGGGTCTTTTGAGAATATTTAACGGTATTGGAAATGCTATCAACATAATATTAAACCAAAAAGGTTACAAATCTGTAGCCTACATATATCTATGAAAATATCTGTAGAATACTTACAATATCTGTAGAATATTTTAGCTCTAAAATCTATGATTACAAACCAAATTTAGAAGTTTATTTTCATTTAGATCCAGATTTCTACTTTTACAAATGTTGATATCTGTGATTTTGCAAGAGATTGCTATTAAAAATTATGATGCTGCAATGAGCAAGCTTATATATATTCTTAAGACAGACTTCTATAGGAAGTACTTATCTCATGCCCCCTTTCTATTCTTTACATATATGGTGAATACATATAAAATCTAGATATATGCCCATATACTTATATATGCTAAAGGGAAATATCTGGAATTATCCTCAACTATAGTACTTATTTCTTGGCTTTCATATCTATTAAGTTACTGATTCCTATAAAATCGATTTCATTTACATCTCTCTAATCTCCTTTCTATTTTTCCATCCTCCTTGTCATTGCTTTTGTATAACTGTCTCGATATTTCCCATCTAGAAAACTGAAGCTCAATCTAATGCTGTATTTTAGTTGCTGTTCCCTCTGGATGATGTTTCCACTTTCATCTTTCCAACCCAATGTTGCCTAGTTATTATAAATTATCTTTTAAAACTTCACTGCTATGCAGAAATCGTTCTCAAATTCTCAACAGCCACCTCAATTCTAAGATAGGTTTCCCTTCTCTCTCACATTGCATTATGCTTCTATAGTACATATTTCTATAGTATTGAATTTATCTGTTTCTGTCTTGAATCAGGGCAAAAGAGCATGTTTTTCTGTCTTGCATCTCAATTCTTGTAGCTAAGCGTCTGGCTTATAGAAGGAACTCAATAAATAGTTGCTTAATAACTGTTCAATTTTAGAGTAAGATGAGGACAATCACAATCTTTCTCTACCTGCTGTATAAAGAGGAATACATTTGAGAAAATAAGAGTTAGCTCAAAGTCATCAGAGATAATGAATTTTAAGAGTAAAGTCTTTGACCTCTGTCCCTCACTTTGAACATCGCACCAAGTAAAAGCTTTCAACGTTTCTCAAATTAACTCATAGATGCTTTGCAGCACTGCTCTCTGCACTTTAGGGCACATTTGGTTTCAAGACAGAGAAGCCTTGGCCGGGCAAGGTGGCTCACACCTGTAATCCCAGCACTTTGGGAGGCCGAGGCGGGAGGATCACGAGGTCAGGAGATCGAGACCATTCTGGCTAACGCAGTGAAACCCCATCTCTACTAAAAATACAAAGAACTTAGCCAGGCATGGTGGCAGGCGCCTGTAGTCTCAGCTATTTGGGAGTCTGAGGCAGGAGAATGGTCGGAACCCAGGAGGTGGAGCTTGCAATTAGCCGAGATGGTGTCCCTGCACTCCAGCCTGGGTGACAGAGTGAGACTCCATCTCAAAAAAAAAAAAAAAAAAAAAAAAAGAAAAAGAAAAAAAGATAGAGAAGCCTTTAGGATGCTAATACTAATACGGAAGGGGATATTTGTTTCACTACAACTTAGAGAGGGTATCATGGGTGGTCATTCAAAGTATTGGATTCAGTAGATTAAAGAATATCCAATAAAGTTAAATTCACTCTGTCTTCCCCCTATTTATTTTTTTATGTATTTTAGTTTTTAGTTTGCTGCATAGCATACATGGCCACAATTATGCACTCCTTCCAGTATCCACATCCCTTTACAACATGACATTGTATCCCCTCCCATTAAGTATAGGGTATATTGCCTCATCCCTTGAGTCTTGACTGGTACTGTGACTTGCTTTAACTAATAGAATGTGGCAGAATTGGAATACAGTAGTTACAAATGTAGGTCTTGCTCTCCTCTCTCTTTTTCTCTATCAAGCACTGGCATGTGAACAAGCCCAGGGTGGTCTGCTGGATGATGAGACACATGTGACCCAGTCACTATTTTCATCCCAACCAGCATCTAACTGAGGTGCATCTAACCACAGAAGCATAAGGGAGCTTAATCATGGCAGAACAACTGCCTAAATGAGCTCAGACCAATTTTCTAAACCACAGAATCATGAGCTAAATAAATGTCTGTTGTAGTAGGCACTACATTTGGGATAATGTATTAAAAAACAGAAGTTAATTAATATAATGGCTTTGTGCTTCAGTTTTCTTATCTGTAAAATGAAATTAGCAATATTACCTATGTTTTCTGGGTAACCCGAGGATTAAATTACCAAACATATTACAATGCATTGAACAGTGCCTGGCATTCAGTAAGAACTAACAATGTTAACTATTGTTTGTTGAATTTAACATACCTCTGCTTGGAGCAAGGGATTCAAAGACTCTCTGTTTTGACCTGCCATATATTACCTGGAACACAAAGTGAGATAAAACATGAGTGCATGAGAAATGCAATATCCTCATCATCCTTCCTCCTCTCTCTTTTCTTTTTCTTTCTTTTTCTTTTTCTTTCTTTCTTTCTTTCTTTCTTTCTTTCTTTCTTTCTTTCTTTCTTTCTTTCTTTCCTCCCTCCCTCCCCTTCTCTCTCTCTCTCTCTCTCTTTCTTTCTTTCTTTCTTTCTTTCTTTCTTTCTTTCTTTCTTTCTTTCTTTCTTCTTTCTTTTTCTGGAATCCCTTTCTCATTCTAGTGATCTCTTAGCTTTTCTTTACAGCACTATGTAGGAAGACAGAAGCCTTACACTAAAGAAAATAAACACCAGACATCTATATAAGAGAAATTTCTTGAATACGATGCTCTTGATGCCAAATGGATATTATTTTTTTAGCTTGGTTGTCCCTATTATTTTATTCAAAATGCCTTTTTGGACATTATCCAATATGCACATGTACCAACATTACCTTACACTTCCCTGAGCCTCTGTTTCTTTTACTATCAAATGGATGGAGTAATGTTTTTGCCCTGCATACTTCACATGGATATTTTAGTGATAAAATGAAATGATGGATTTAAAAATACTAGGTGACTGACAAAGCTCATGCAAATGTAAAGGATGAAAGTGTATATTACTTTACTGGCTATACCAAAGTGCTCTATTGATTTATTTCACAACATTTCTTGTCTCAGAAGGAGAGAAAATCTATAAATGACCCTGGCAGTGTCATGGAATGGGTGAAGTTGTCTTCTTAGTGCAATTTCTTATGGCATCTTCAAGTAACCCACAGCAAAGAGGTCAGCTGAGTCATATTTCCCACAACCGGATGACCCCAGCAAGTGTGCTTTTGCCACTGGCAATGCGCTTGTGAAGCTCAACATTCACGGTCAGTGCTTATGAGCTGACAGCTGGGATTTAAAATACTTGTAGCTAAATCGTAAGAGCAGCTGAAAAGCACAGGCCATGTGCTGCAGGTGTGCACTAAAATAACCTCAAATTCATCGAATACACATTGACATGCATTAACAAAACATTTAACAAAAGTTCTTTTCAGTAGTCTTCTTTGGCGGTAAGCTCCAAAATGTTTTTAGCAGATTTTATGTCTTATTCATAGGAAACAGTCACTGCCCTTAGCCAAGCAACATATTTAGACAGAGTGTTGTTCACATGGCAACATCCATCAGACCCCATGGAATTTGGTGACCTGGCACATCTTGGCTTTGCACCTCATCTGTCTGGACTGGGCATTCATTGAATAGGTGTTTGTGGTGCAGACAGAATTCTATCTATCTCATTACAATCCTCTGCATTCACTTCATTGGCTACAAAAATAGACAGAGCATGCAATAAATCTTGGGTTCAACTTTCCAGGAAGCTGAAGTTTACATTTGTGGTTGGTTTTTTTTGTTTTGTTTTTTTTCTTTACTTAAGTGTGCATATCTACTTCATGTGCTCATGCTACTCTGACTGTGTTTCATGTGCTCATTATGCCTATCCAAGTCCCCACTGTGTTCTATATTGGCCTAACCTTTCATGAATGCTGCATGAATACCACAAATTCCCCCAACTAGACATTTTACTTATTTTTTATTGGAAAATAATTGGATTAAACTATTTTGTAACAAGCTGTAAATTATTTCCCATATATCTTCATAGAAGATGTGTATTAGTCAGGGTTCTGCAGAGAAACAGAAACAATAGGAGATTTATTATAAACTTCTGGCTCACATAACTCTGAAGACTGATAAATCCCACAATCTGCTCTCTGCAAGATATCCAGAAAGGCCGATGGTATAGTTCAAAGGCTGGAGAGTCAGAGAGCCAATGGTGTAGATTCCATTCTGAGCGTAAAGGTCTGAGAACCAGAAGGTCAGGAGAAAAACCAATGTCTCAACTCAACTAATCAGTGAGAAGAGTGAATTCAACTTTCCTTCACTCTTCTGTTCTATTCAGGCACTTAGAAGATCAGATGACGCATATCCATACTGAGGAGAACCATCATCTTTACTCAGTTCACCAGGTGAAGGACTAATCATTTTCACAGACACCCTTACAGACATGCTCAGAAATGTTTAACCAGCTATTTGGGTATCCGTTAGCTCAGTAAAGTAGACACATAAAATTAACAAGATGCTTTATAATTAAATAGAAGTCTTATGGCCTAATATACATTCTTCTTTTGTGGATTGTGTTCAAATGTAGATTTATCTGACTCCAACTCCTTGTTTCTTCCTCGATTTTGACAAAATATAAACAACAATAATGTACAAAATCAGATACTTATGGCTTGCATGACCTGAAAAATGCTCCCCAAACAGGAATTTTCCAATAAAAGTTGTGTAAACAAATGTAGGTAAACCCAGGAGAACTAAGTCTAGAGTCAACTGACAGCCACTCATTGTGTGTTAAGCGTCTGCCATGTGGCTACTGCAGTTCAAGATCTAAATTTGTAATTTATTTGAACTTGAATTTAGAAGCTGAAATGGTGCACAATATTGTTTTCTTTAACATGACTCAAAACACACTTTAACAATTCAAATTTTAGTGTCCAGATTGAGATGTGCTGAAAGTGTAAAATAAACATCAGATTTTGAAAACTTAGTATAATGAACATAAAATTCCTTATTAATAATTTTAACACCATTTATGTGCTAAAATATTTTTGCATATATTAAGATAAATAAAATGTATTATTTTAATTAATGTCACCTATCTCTTTTTACTTTACCTTAATATAGCTACTATCAAATTTAAATGGACATAATGTTATATTTTTATTGGACAGCTTTGCCAAAAGGACAAAGTCAGCAAATATCTCTCTGTCGTGATCTCTGCCTTTACTCTCAGTATACTCACAATTCCTATCACCTCATCCAAGAGCCCTGATCCTTGCACCTGTACATTTTCCTGATTTTGTTCCAATGTCTGCTCCTGGTAACAGAAATAACAAAAATTGTCATAGAGTGTTGCTAATCCCACTGCCAAAAAAATGAAAATGAATGGAGGAAATGTAGACCATTATAGCGATGCATTTGTATGTGGAGAAAGCAAGAGCTTAAGGCCAAAAAAAGATGCTTTTTAAACATCCAAAATTTTATTTGAAGTCATTTCCCAGCAAGATATTTTACAAGTAAGGTTATGTTTAGTTGTTTTAGTACAAAATCACGTTTTACATTCATCATAGTTTAAAGGCCTCTTAGTCAAGTTTTAAGGAACCTAACTGAGCCACTAGTATTATTTAAATTGCATCATACGTTCTGGGTTTTAACAAGACAATTACTGTAATATTCTAATGTGATTACCAAAAAAAAAACCTGTATTTCAAAAGCTAAAAGTCCTTGCAGTAGTTTTGAAAAACGTTTATTTCTAAATTAAGATTAGATTCAGATTTTATTTTCTTCATTTTACTTCTTGCGGGTAGATAGTAGGTATATATATTTATGGGTTACATGAGATATTTTGATACTGGCATGCAACACATAATTGTCAGTATCATAATTACATTTAGGAAAGAGCCTAAACATTTGGGATTAAATAGTTGTTTGAGGATTAAATAGTTGTCAGGATTGAATGTAAAATACAACATCATATTATTGCATAACACAAAAATAACCAAATTCATGGTGTTCAAATTGTGCTCTCAATAACTCTTTGAGTAGTCCCAAGAATGTTGAAAATACCTGTTGTGAGAGATCAGAGAATGCATGTGTGGCAAAAACCGCAATTACTTTCGCACCAACCTAATACCTCCTAACTCCTGGTTGCAGCTTAATCCAAGGGAGCTCCTCTGTTTTTGGAGAGAAACTAAGGCAGTGGTTGAAAGTGCAGGCATTTGAATCAAGTGAATTTGAGTCTATATCCTGACTTTGCCATTTAGTGAATGTGCGATATAAGAAAATTTTTTCACAGAAAAACAGGAATAATAACATTTACCTCATAGTGATTTCTAAGAATTATTTTATATAACAAATATAAAAGCATGTAAAGCACTTACCTCGGGAACTGGCAAAGATTAACTTCTCAATCTAAAATAACAATTATAGCTTAACTGCTTTATAGCTTTGGCCTTTTGATAAGATTCTCTTTGATCTCAAGAATTTTAAGATGAATGTTTTATAAACTCTAATTTGGACCTTCTTAAACTTTTTTCTTTCTTTTTTTTAAATTTTCTTGTGGGAGTCTGAAACCTTCTCGATTTTTGCTTAAACACTATTCTTGAGAAAAACTGCATACTTTAAGTAGGAGACCTAAACGAAGAAAATTTTCAATAGCGTGGATGAGTGTGAGATAAGAATTGATCAGTCTACAGACAGTAGCAGTATTTCTCACATTTATTGTGAGGCTACAACACATCTCAACATGTCTGGTCAATAATATGAGATAATCTATGAGCTGACCACGCAGATTATGATTACGTCCATGAAACTGCTCTGGTTCCTTTCTCTTTCTACCTCATCTGTGGTTTAGGTCCCAAAACAGATTTAAAAAATGTAAATGTAAATGTAAATTTAAAAAATGTAAATAGTAGTACAAATTTTAATTTATATTTAGCCTTTCCTCCTGTGGATTTTTTAAAGACAACTTGAGAAATTGGAAGTTTCCTTTATTTATCCTCTTCCTGAAAAAAATCATTTTTTTTTTCTCCCAGACCATTATCTGACCACTTAATGATTATTCCTGTTTCAATGATGTTATTCTCATCTGGAATATCTCTTTTAATTTTTGCTTATTTATTGAAATCTCATCCTTGAAAACTTCAAGTTGTTCTTTATGTCAACTAAAGTATCCTGTTATGTATAAAAGATTCTGTGATGGTTGTAGTTAATCTGCTGTCTTCTTGCTATGAATTTTTCTTACAAATTGAATTAATGCTGCAAATTCAGCACTTAATTGTTGTTTATTTAGTTTCCATTCATCTTACCTCCTAACTACGTTGCAGATTCCTTAAGGGCACAATTATAAACATATGCTAGATATAGGTTAATGCTTATCAGTTGGTTTCTCACCAATGGCTTCAAGCCAAGCATTAATTTAAGGGGCAAATTTGGCACCAGAGAAAAGCTCTTATACTAATAAACTGCAGGTGTTAAACTACTGTGATATGCTAAAGTCCTATTTCAAACTCAACATACCAAGGCATAAACTCAACAAAATGTTTGCCATTTGTCATCCTAATCTCTTAATATTTGATATCCATTTTAAATTTTACTTTAGTTAGTTGGACTCAACCTAAAGAAATATTGAGAAGATATCTCATTATAAAATATAAAACAGGGAGACATTTTCTCCAATATGTTTCTGTTCTTTGAATTATGTTTTAATATGAACATATTTACCAGCTCAGGATGGCAATCAGTATGTCCATATAAATAGTGCTAATACAGCATGTTATCACCCTCATTCTAACATCATGCCACTTGGTAAAGTGACTGCATCAACTTAGACAGACTTATTGGTAAAGGATCTTCGGAGCTCGAGCTTGTTCAACTCTAAAGAAAAAAATAACTTCTCCCCATGAATCCTCCCCTCCAAAACATTTGAGTCTTCAGAATTAGAAAGTAAAGTTCCACTTGTTACCTGGCCATCACAGCACAGCCCTTCTCTTCCCTTTTTGGCTGTAACCCAGGTTAGGATATTGAACTTCTTGCACAGCAATGGCCAAGGAATTGAGGACCCCATAAATCCCTGATACTGTTGACATCACAAGTTGGGACTATATTTTTTGTGGTATATATACTATTTCTGTTGTAATAAGTGGATTTTAAGTTAAACTAAATTATTTTTCTGTTCAAGTTATAGTTATTATTAGGAATGATTTCTCCTGTTTTGAAAAAAAATACATAAAAGGGATAAGTTATTTTAAGAGGTTTATAAGAGAAAATAATGGAATGATACTTAGACCTAAGCTGGGTAGAACAAACAAAGACAACATTTGGTATTTATCAGGGTCTCTACTAGGGACTCCCTGCAAACACACAAAGTAAAAAATTAGACTTGTTATCACATTTGGTGAAATGTGTAAGCAAGGCTTGGGTAAGGGAGTTTTTTTTCCCTTGTACTTACTCTTATTCTGTTTTACATACAGTTTACTGTGTATTCTCCTGAGTCCTTTTATTAGATCATAAATCTCTTGACTAAAAGTCTCATCATTGTTATTACATTTATTGAGTTCCTATTATGTGCCAGGAATTATTTCAATTAAATTTTATCTCCTATATTAATCTACACATTTTGGATCCTCAATAGTATTTATACTTAAAATACTTCAGCATTATAGGACTACCCTCCTAAACATCACAGTTTACAGTGTGGAAAGTACAGAAGTCATAAGAAATCAGATACCATCTGCAAGGCTGATAAAATAGATGCTATAATTTATTTGGTAACAACTTTTGTATATCATCTATCTCTCACAAAAGTAGAGGGTAAACGTTGTATTCCCATTGTAGGTGCATTTATAAATGTTTATGTATTTGCTATTTCACATTAATTGGATTCTGGTTGAGAAAATGACCATTTTATGAATGTAGTACAATGTACTATTTTGCTTGTCGAAAATACGTCTGCTTTTGGTGCCATTTATGCCTTTGTCAGTGTGGTACTCATAAAACAGAGCCATTCAACTAGATATAATATTATTCTTAGATATCTGTAGAGCTTCTGTTTTTATAATTAGAAGTAACCTTTTTTACATTTTATTTTAGGTCCTGGGTACATATGCACGTTTGTTATATACGTAAACTGCTTGTCGCCAGGGTTTGGTGTACAGATTATTTCATCACCAAGGTAATAAGCATAGTACCTGATCGGTAGTTTTGGGATCCTCTCTCTCCTTCCACTCTCCAACCTCAAGTAGGCCCTGGTGTCTATTGTTGCCTTATTTGTGTCCACGTGTACTCAATATTTAGCTCCCACTTATAAGTAAGAACATTTGGTATTTGGTTTTCTGTTCCTGTGTTAATCTGCTTAGGATTGTGACTGCCAGCTCCATTTATGTTTCTGAAAAGGACATGATCTAGTTGTTTTTATGTCTGTGTAGTATTACATAGTGTATATGTGCCACATTTTCTTTATTTAGTTAATCGCTGATGGGCATTCAGGTTGATTCCATTACTTTGCTATTGTGAATAGTACTGCGATGAACATATGTGTGCATGTGTCTTCACAGTAGAACAATTTATATTCCTCGGTTATGATACAGTTTAGATATTTGTCTTTGACCAAATCTCATGTTGAACTATAATCCCCAATGTTGGAGGTGAGGCCTGGTGGGAGGTGTTTGGATCATGATGACAAATCCCTCAAGAATGGCTTGGACCATCCCCTTGGTGATAAGTGAGCTCTTGCTCTGAGTTCTCACAAGATCTGGTGATTTAAATGCATGTGGCATGTATTGCTTTCATTCTTACCATAAAATAAGCCTGCTCCCCCTTTGCCTTTCACCATGATTGGAAGCTTCCTGAGGCCTCCCCCAGAGCAGACGCCACTATGCTTGCTCTAAAGCCTGCAGAAATGTGAGCCAAGTAAACCTCTTTTCTTTATAAACTATCCAGTCTCATGTATTTATTTATAGCAAAGCAAGAATGGCTAACACAGAAAATTGGCAGGAGTGAGGCATTGCTATAAAGATATGTGAAAATGTGAAAGCAGCTTTGGAGCTGGGTAACAGACAGAAGTTGAGTTTGGAGAGCTCAGAAAAAGACAGGAAGATGAGGGAAAGTTTGGAATTACAGAGACCGGTTAAATAGTAGTGACCAAAATGGTAATAGCGATTTAGACAGTGAAGTCCAGGCTGACAAGGTCTCAGAAGAAGGTGAAGAACTTACTGGGAACCGGAGCAAAGGTCATGTATGTTAATGCCTCGGCAAAAAACTTGGCTGTATTGTGCCTCTATCCTAGGGATCTATGAAATTTTCAACTTCATAGTGATGATTTATGTTATCTGGTGAAAGAAATTTCTAATGTTCAAAGCATTAAAGATATTGCCTGACTGCTTCTAACAACCTACACATAGATGTGGAAGCAAAGAAATTACTTAAAGTTGGAACTTATATTTAAAAGTGATGTGAATCATAAAAGTTGGGAAAATTTGCCGCCTGGTCACGTGGAAGAGAAAGGAAAAGCTTTTTGGGGAGAGATATTCAAGCAGGCTATGGAGCAATCACTTAGTAGAGAAATTTGCATAACTAACAGGGAGCCATATGCTGATAGCTAAGACAATGGGCAAAAGGCCATGAAGGCATTTCAGAGACCTTTGAGGCAGCCCCTGTGTATTAGTTCTTTCTCAGTCTGCTAATACATACCCAAGACTGGGTAATTTATGAAGAAAAAAGGTTTAATTGACTCACTTTTCAACATGGCTGGGAAGACCTCAGGAAACTTACAATCATGGCAGAAGAAGTAAACACGTTCTTCTTCACATGGCAGCAGCAAGAAGAAGTGCCGAGCAAAAGGGGGGAAAGTTCTTCATAAAACCATCAGATGTCTTGAAAACTCAATCACTACCATGAGAATAACAGCATGGGGGTAACTGCCTCCATGATTCAATTACCTCCCACTGAGTCCATCCCACGACATGTGGAGATTATGGGAATTAAAATTCAAGATAAGATTTGGATGGGGACAAAGCCAAACCAGTCACCCTTTCTTCACAGGCCCTGGGGGCCTAGAAGGACAGAATGGTTTCATGGGCCAGGGCCAGAGCTCTACTACTCAGTGCAGCCTCAAGACACTATTTCCCACTTTCCAACTACTCCACCTCGAGCTTCAACTCAAAGGGCCAAAGATATAGCTCAGGCTGCTACTTCAGAGGGTGAAATGCATAAGACTTGGTGGCTTCCATCTAGTGTTAAGCCTGTAGGTGCACAGAGTGCAAGAGTGAATAATGCTTGGCAGACTCTTCCTAGATTTCAGGGGATGTATGAGAAAGCCTGGGTGCTCAGGCAGAATCCTGCTTCAGGGGAGGAGCCCTCACAGATAACTTCTACTAGGGCAATTCCAAAGGCATTTGTGGGGCTGGAGATCCCACATAGTATTCAATGGGACATTGCCTAGTGAAGCTGTGAGAAGGGGGCCACAGTCCTCCAGACCCCAGAGTGGTAGTGCCACTGGCAGCTTGCATCCTGTGCCTGGAAAAGCCACAGGGACTCAACAACCTGTTAAAGCAGCTGTGGGAGCTGCCCCCTGCAAAGCCACAGGGGTAGAGACGCCCAAGACCTTGGGAGCCCACTGCTCTCATTAGTGTGCACTCGATGTGGGACGTGAAGTCAAAGACTATTTTGGAGATTTAGGATTTAATAACTGCCCTGCTAAGTTTTAAACATGCATGGGGCCTGTAAGCCCCTTTAACTCTTTGTTTTGGCTGATTTCTCCCTTTGGGAAAAGGAATATTTACCCAATGCCTATACCCCCACTGTATCTTGAGAGTAAATAAATTGTTTTTGATTTTACAGGCACATGGATAGAAGTGATTTGCCTTGTCTCAGATAAGACTTTGGAATTTAAACATCTGAGTTAATGCTAGGACGAGTTGTGATTTTGGGGGACTATTAGAAAGGCATGGTTGTATTTTGCAATGTGGAAATGATATGAGATTTGTGAGGGCCTAGAGTTCGAACGATATAGTTTAGATATTTTCCCCTCCTAAATCTCATGTTGAATTGTAATGCCCAGTGTTGGAGATAGGTCCTGGTAGGAGGTTTGGGGTCATGGGGGGCCAGAACCCTCATGAATGGCTTGGGCCATCCCCTTGGTGATCAGTGAGCTCTCTGAGTTCTCATGAGACCTGATTATTTTAAAATGTGTGCCACTTCCCCCTCAATCCCTGCTCTCTTGCTCCCATTTTGATATGTGATATGGCTATTCCCCCTTTGTCTTTTACCATGATTGGAAACTTCCTGAAGCCTCCCCAGAAGCAGATGCCACCATGCTTCCTGTAAAGCCTGCAGAATGATGAGCTAATTAAATCTCTTTTCTTTGTAAATTACTTAGTCTCAAGTATTTATTTACAGCAATGAAAGATAGGCCTAACACAGGGTATACACCCAATAATGGGATCGCTGGGTTGAATGGTACTTCTGTTTTAAGTTCTTTGAGAAATCACCACACTGCTTTGTACGTTGACTGAATTAATTTACATTCCCTCCAGCAGTGTATAAGTATTTTTTTTTCTCCGCAACCTAGCCAGCATCAGTTATTTCTTGTTTTTTTTTTTTTTTTTTTAATAATAATAAGTCTGACTGGTATGAGATGATACCTCATCATGGTTTTAATTTGCATTTCTCTGATGATTAGTGATGTTAAGCACTTTTTTCATATGTTTATTGGCCACATGTATGTCTTCTTTTGAAAAGTGTACGTTCATGTTCTTTGCCCACTTTTTAATGAGGTCGTTTGTTTTTTGCCTGTTCAACTGCTTAAGTTCCTTACAGATTCTGGATATTAGACTTTTGTCGGATGCATATTTGCAAATATATCTCCCATTCTGTAGGCTGTCTGTTCACTCTGTCCATAGTTTCTTTTGCTGTGCATAATCTCTTTAGTTTAATTAGGTCCCATTTGTCAATTTTCGTTTTCATTACAGTTTCTCTTGGAATATTCATCATGAAACCTTCACCAGGGCCTATGTCCAGGATGGTATTTCCTAGGTTATCTTCCAGAATTTTTATACTTTTAGGTTTAAAATTTAAGTCTTTAATCTATCTTGACTTGATTTTTGTATATGGTGTAAGGAAGGGGTTTAGCTTCAGTCTTCTGTATATGGCTAACCAGTGATTCCAGCATGATTTTTTGAAGAGGGAGTCTTTTACCCATTGCTTGTTTTGTCAACTTTGTTTAAGATCAGATGGTTATAGGTGTGCAGGTGTGCAGCTTTATTTCTAGGCTCTCTATTCTGTTTCATTCATCTATGCAGCTTGAAAAGAAAGAATAAATAATGACTTGCTTAAATAGAAGATGAATAACAAACAACTTATGTAAAGTAATAGGTGTCCAGAGATACTGCTTAGGATTACATGTCAACAAAAATGTAAATAATTCTGAGAGGTTATCCAGGAACTGTTGTGCAAGTGTGGTAGTGAGCACAATTCATTTGTATGTCCTAGAACATCTCAGGCAGAGGCAAGAAAATGTCAAACATCACCAGTAGCTACTTCAACTAAGATAAGACTCCACATAAGATGTATTTATGATTATCTGAAGTTCCGATAATATTTTCATGGGCAAGAAACAAATTTGGAATTGAACACTTAGCCACTTTTCTATCCCTACACATCAAATATAGCATAAAATATCTTCCTCTTATTTTGCTACACTTTTATTTTATGATTCAAATTTCTACAAAAAAAATTAGTTTCAAGTTTAATTGAAATATCACGTGTAGTCTTTTTCTCTTTTTTGTTAGTATAGCTTCCTGTGTGTGTGTGTGTGTGTGTGTGTGTGTGTGTGTGTGTTAAATGCCTATTTTCAGTTGTTCATGTGAGGGAGAGTTATGATATTTCCAATTATTCATAAAATAATATGAATTTAATTTAATTATATTAGTTTTCTCCTACAGCTTGGAGACCATAAAATTTTCATGGAAATTAGAAAAATATTCAGGGTGAAAGAGGGAGTTATTAATAATTATTCCAGAATATCAGGTGTAACTGGGACTGTTCAAGGAAAACCACAATGTAAAATTTTATTACCCATAATGCTAGCTAAGTGAAACTGAGTCATATAAGAAATGTTTTCTATTGGAGAAATGGAAACCAAGCAACATTAGAAACTAATGTATTTGAAGAATTCGCGTGCCCCTTCCTAAAAATTGGAAGTGTAAATTAGAAATTTATGGATATGTAGCAGTCCTGGGAATAAAGGATTTGAAGAAACAAAGTGTGAGAAAGTTTAAAAAAAGGATAGTGAAGAAACAAAGGACAGGGACCAGGGTGAGGTTATGATGGTAGGAGATGGCAATAAGATGAAGGAGAAAAGAGCTATGTAATCTTGAATATCTCTTCTAAATTCCTTCCCAAACAAGTTTATACAAAAGATATCTTTAACCCGTTCCACTAGGGCATGCATAAGCAGAGAGATGCAGATAGTAAAAGACAGGTCCCCTACCTAGCCGCTCATCCCTGCAGTATGCAGAAGAGTGGGACTGGAGCACACAGTCAAAGCAGTGGCTGCAGTTATAGCTACATTATGAGAGATGAATCAGCAGGAGAAAATGACCAAGCCTATCTTGGTTACACTTACAGTTCAACAGCATGAAAAAATCAAACTACAGTAGCAAGTGCTGAATAACAGTCATTCCCATGTTCATGAATTTTTTTTAAATTCAACTTCAATTTTACACACAGAGCACACATTTGTTACCTGGGTATATTGCACTGAGGTAGTGAGCATAGTTTCCAATAGTTATTTTTCAACCCATGCTCCTCTTCTTCCTCCCCCTCTAGTATTCTGTAGGTATCTCTTGTTCCCATGTTGATGTCCATGTGTGCTCAATATTTAGCTCCCACTTACAAGTGAGAACATGTGGTATTTGTTTTCTATTCCTATGTTAATTCACTTAGAATAATAGCCTTTAACTCCACCTATGTTGCTGTGAAGGACATGATTACATTCTCTTTTTGGCTACATAGTATTCCATGGTGTATATATATCACATTTTCTTTATCCAATCCAACAGAGAAATGAAAATTAAGACCATGATATACCATCTCACACCAGTTAGAATGGCTATTATTAAAATGTCTGTGACATTTTAATGTACATCATCTTCATTATGTGTTACAAATGACTTATTTATTTAGGTAAAGCATATATTGGCAACTACTACTTTACTCTTTTTTTGCAAACAGTCAATAATATACTGTAATAATTCATAATGAAGTAGCACCAAATAGGTTAGGTAAATTATGATTTCTTCACACCTCAACATGTCCCTTCCTACAACTAAGAGAGTAATGTTTTCACATTATTATTACATATACATTGTAAAAGAAATGTATACACTTCCCTCAAATCACACATACCCCCATTTAACTAAACCTTTTTCTGCATTTTAACCTAGTACTGTCAATGGAATTGCATGGCATAGAGTGAAGCAAGAGTCATTGTTTCATTTTTTAAACTAGAAAAAGAGATTCATTTACAAATTTTTGATAAAGTAGTTTTCCAAAATCAAGGAGCCAGTATGTGGTAACATTGGAATTCAAAGCACAACATTGAATTATAGTATTGTCCTCCTCACAATTCCAAAATGCCATTCCACATATAACTTCCTACTAGAATAGAAAAAATCAAAATATTTTAGATGAGGAATAAGATTACTTTAAAACTAGGAGTAAGGCATTCTATTTTGGCACCATGGACTTTTTAAACTAATTTAAGTACATTAAGCTTATATTCTCTGACTTATTATCTTTGTGCCTACCTATTTCTATTTATCTTCATGTCTGGCTAACTATGCATGTGTGTTTGTGTAGAGGTGTGGGTAAGAAATCATTGTAGTCTTTGCAAAGTAATTAATTGATCCTTTTTATTGAAAATCATATGTTTTTACTTTCCCGTATCCATTTTCTTCAAAAACAATCAATGTTGTCTTCTTTTAATTTGCCAATTATATCTTAACTTGTTTTTTTAAATGAGATGTGGTTAACATATTCCTCAACTGTGTGTTCTTTGAAGTCTTATGGTTGATTTCTTTAAGATTTTTAAAGATTTTTAAGTCTGAGTCTCTAAGACTAGTTGGATTTTGCATTTCAAAGAAAGTAAAGAAAATGTCATAATAATAAGGAAATAGGCTTGGAGGAATAGAATTCAGGTCTAGTTTAAGGCTTTCATTTTTCCAATGAAGCAAGTTAGAAATACAATCTTCCCAAGTAAACGTGCTTTATCCATGAAAAAAAAATACTGTTAAATAATGGTGGTTACTGCTATCCTAAGAACATATGATATCAAACTATGATAATCATTTTGTTCTAGATAAAAGAACAAACAGGTATTTATTTATTTATTTATTTTGCAGGGCAGAAAACAAGATAAGTACAGAAATAAATTATAGATAGATAGATAGATAGATAGATAGATACAAACATACATACATACTTATTTTGGACACATGTGATGACCATGTTTCTATATTATTTAAGATTCCTGGCTTAGCCATGCTATTTATGTTGATTTAAATATGGCTAATTTAGATATTCTGATTCTTTTAAAAAATATATATGAAAATCACTATACCTTTACCTTTAGAGATCTAGAAACCATGGTTTCTTTTCCATCTTAAAAGAGAAATAGGCTTTTCTTGAGTTTCTTGGGTTTGAAAGTCAGTTTTCTACCCCATTATCTCTAAAGCTAGCCTGCTGCTATTTGTTTAGGAAGGGTCAGCAAGTGTAGGAGTCTTCCTACGCAAGTTTATTATTGTCTCATGCCAGACGAGTCCTTAATCTCTGTATTAGTTCATTCTTGCATTGCTATAAAGAACTGAGACTGGTTAATTCGTTGAGAAAAGAGATTTACTTAATTCACAGTTCCAGAGACTATACAGGAAGCATGGCTGGGGAGGCCTCAGGAAACTTGCAATCACGGCAAAAAATGAAGAGGAAGCAGGCACGTCTTACATGGTCACAGAAGAGGGAAGAGCAAAGGTGGAGGTGTTACATACTTTTAAGCAAACAGATCTCATGAGAACTCACTCACTGTCAAGAGAACAGCGAGGGGGAAATCCTCCTCCATGATCCCACCAGCCCTTACCTCCTACATGGGGGATTACGATTCGACAGGAGAGCTGGTTTATCAAGCTCTAAAAGCCATGCACCACAACCACTGTTGAATTCCCCTATGGCTCTCATTTTATGTCACATTACTATTTTACTACAAGAGTGAAATAATAACTTCACAGCAAATTTAGATTATTATTCCACATAAACATTCTTCTGTTTTCTCATTCAGCCTTTTCTCATCAATCTATTTTGCATATTCACAAAATGCATATATTAATTATGGCCTATATTTGGGCCCCTGATAATTGCTAGAAAGAGTTGACATGGAATGTTCCAGCAGTTATTTTTGAACACTTCGCTTTCCCCTAATAATGGTCCAGCCTTTAATAAATGTGTAATCTGTCTGTATGTCTAAGAAACATCCCAACATATCCTTCTCCTATAGGGAGCAGACCGTTATTATTTTTTTCCCTTCCTACTTCATCACCAATATAAAATCTTTAATTTCCTTTGCAAGCCTTTAAGAGAGCTTTGTCTAATCTTTAAGACTGAGACCTAGAATCTAGGATATGAATGAGATAATATTTTTCTGGGTACTAATATATTTGAACACAGAGTGGGTGTTTTTAAAGCTGTAACATTTAGTACAGATTGTTCTGCCATGCTTACCCATAAAATAATTTTGACTCTTCTAAATAGGAGATTACAGTGGAAATGTCAAACAAGCCTATTATTCCCTTTTCTTCATTTGAACATTTTTGTGATTTTACTGACACCAATAGAGGCATACAGAGACACTCCAGTTCTAAAAAGCCAACAGAAAATAACACATGACAAAAGAATGGCACACTTAGGCAATAGCAATATCTAGACTGGTATTTATCACATTTAATAGAAAAAAAAGTAGTCTATATTCATTTCTTACATAAGAACATTCATTTTCACAACTAAGTCCATGAAGAGGCTACAAACAGAATACAATGCTTTAGCTTTTATTTTTGATCCATAATTACTTACATTCTATATCACCCTATAACATGAGAGATTGTTATGTAATTTTTGAATTTACTTTCTTTGTGTCCTTACATTTTATTAGTCATTCATTCACCAAATATTTACAGAATAAGTTATTTGTGCCAGTCACTGCTCTAGGTAGTTAGTGAGCAAAGATTCCTTCATTTATAAAGTTTTCTTTTGAATAAGAACGGGCAGGCAATGAACACAATAAATATACACATAAATATAAATAAGAAGGAGATGAGTGCCATGGAAAAACAAGTAGAAGAATGTAAGGGGATTCAGGAATGCTAGGGAGAAAATGGATTGCAGCATTAAATAGGGTTATTTGGGTATTTCCTAGGCAAAAAAAAAAAAAAGCAATTAGAGCACAGGCTATAGAGGGAGAGTGTCTAATGTATCAGGAAACAATAAGCAGAGTAATAACGGTCAAGATCAGAGAGGTCTCGGAGACCTAACCACACAGGACTTTGTAGAACAGTGTAAGGAGCTTGCTTTTATTATTAGATTTACCAAATAAAAAGATAGGACACTCAGGTAATATATTCATTTCAGATAAACATCATTTTATATATATATATATATATATATATATATATATATATATATATGTCTTATGCAATATTTGGGACATATACTAGAAAAATATCTGAATAATTATGATATAAGTATGCTCCATGAAATATTTAGGACATAATTTCTAAAATGTTTTGGGTTTATCAGAAATATAAATCAAATTGGGCATTCTGTATTTTATCTGTCAAACCATGGGACTGTTTTAAGCAGAGGAATTGCATAACCTGACATTAGTTAAAAGGATCACTCTGGCTGCTGCTTAGAGAATGGACTGATGGTAGGGAGTTCAAGAAACAAGATCTCCTGGGTGGCTTTTGCAGAGGTAGAAATGAGAGATCATGATGCCTGGAACCTGGAGGATAGATTGTGGCACAGAAAAGAATGAGGAAAGGTAAGGCTAGAAAAGAAAATAAAAGCAAGATACTTACTTATTGCTATCTATCTATCTATCTACCTATCTATCTAAACAGATGTAGTTAATAACAATGTTTGTTTAATTTAATCTGATTGGTTTTGTGACCAATTCTTTCTAAAAATAAATAAAGAGAGAATGTTCTTGTTGCAAACCTGAATAAGAAAGAAGAAATGCAAAGGAGGATGCTGGATTAGAAATCACAGCAGCTGGGTTGTCACTTGTTTATATGTGACTTCAGATAAATCACAACCTCTCAGAGCTCTCATTTTTTATAAGCATGGATAAAAATGTCCATCTTTCTAACCTCACCTGGTTATTGTGAAAACCAGATGAATGTGGATATTCATAATCTCTGTAATGTCATGTAAGTACTCATTGTTATATAAATATTGATGTTACAGGAAAACCATATGGATAAGATTATAAACACAAGAGAGGAAACAAAGGATTAAGTAAGCTGAAGAAATGCCAAATTTCTTACTTCAAGGAAAAGGAACTAAAAAACATTTTGTCCAGGTAACAAAGACATCAGGAATTCATAATGGTCTTTGGAAGGTCATGTACATCTCTCCATTTTATCTTGAAAAACTGTCTTCTTGCTTCTTCCAACAGAAGCAGGAAGACAGCATATATTAGCACACATTCCTTTCACAGTTTATGCGGTGTTCTACTGAGAGAAGAAAAGTAACATGAACAGTGAACATTCAATTTTTTTTATCTCAGAAAATTACTTAGGAATGACAGCAGAATACAGTTAAGATTATTAATGAGAATAGAATCTAAGATTCTACCATGGACCCAAGAAGAATAGGTCTGCTACTACTGGAATCAGTGTGTGAGATCAAGTAACAGACTTAGAAAGAAATGTGACCAGTGTCCGTCTATTCATTCATTCATCAATTCATTTAATAATTACTTCTTCAGCACTATGTATAAAGGTCTATAGGATACTCAAAAATAAATAAAATAGAACCATGACTCTCAAAAGATATGTATATCAATAATCAGAATATTAGGTAGAATATGATAAGTATTATAGGAGAAGTATAGATAATGTGCTAAAGTGGTACAGAGAGAAGAATGGGCACTGCAAGTGTTGATCAGAAAAATGCTGTTTTCAGGTGGTGACCTACCAGATGGGATAAAGGCACCTGGTAGTGCCTGGTTGATTGTGGTTACAATGTAGAGAAAATGAAAGCAATGAACAGAGGTGTACAAGATGAATGAATCCAACATTATAGAAAATATTAAGTATCAGATGAAGGAAGATGTTTTTATTATGTTGTCAAATGTTAGCTATTGAAGGCTTTGGAGCTGACAGCAGCATTAGAGGCAAAATTAAGAAAAATCCATCTGGCAGCATGTGTAGGAACACTTGGATGCAGGGAGACAACTAAAAAACCATTACCATTGTCTCTTGGAAAGAAGGCAGTTGAATGAAAATTTGTGTGGTGTGTATCAATTAGCATCGGAATTAAATGAGTATAACAGGCAATCTGAAATAAGGGTGGCTTACACATGATTCATCTATCACTCATCTAAAAGAACATTAGTAACATTCAGAACTAAAACATAGCTTTATACAGTCTACAGAGACAGAGGATTCTACTTTCTATACAATTTTTTTTAATAGCTTCCAATATCATGTTCCCCAAGATGTTGGCTGGATTTCTATTGTCTCATCCTCATTGCAGGCTGAAAACTATTTAAAAAAGAAAAAGAAAAATCTCCTTTTCTCTGAGTCAACTCCCTTTAAGCAGCTTATCTGAAAAGTGACCAAAGGTTGAATTTTCTAGCCTTATTGTGCAACTCAAAGATGTTATGCTACTGTTAAAGCATTTTCACTATAATTTTTGTTTTTCTGTTACTACCCTGTTTGAAGACTCTTGAAAAACTGATGAATTTTACTTTCACCTGATTGCACAGTATGCAATTGCAATCAAAATACAATGGCAATGTTCAATTCATTCATCAATTTATTTAACAAATATTTATGAGTATCTTTCACATCCCAGGGGCTATTCTAAGTGCTATAATAATAAGTAAAACAGACAAGGTTTTTGCCCTCAAGAAGCTTACATTCTAGTGGGAGTGTAGTAGGCATTTGGAGAGGTCAAATAATGACAAATATATACCGTATAAGCAGAGACTAGAGTAGAGAAATAAAGTAGAAAAAGTGGAAGAGTAGGATAAATAAGAATGGAGAATATATGCGAAATGGGCCCAAAGAGATCTGCAAGCAGAAGCAATAGATAATGCAACGTAAAAAGGCAGGAAGAAGGAAAAATGGATACAAGGGTGAGCTAATGTACTGACTTGTAACAAATGAAAAGGACTTTGTTTAAAAGTATTTTTTTAAGCCGGGCACGGTGGCTCACACCTGTAATCCCAGCACTTTGGGAGGCTAAGGCGGGCAGATCACGAGGTCAGGAGTTCAAGACCAGCCTGACCAGCATAGTGAAACCCTGTCTCTACTAAAAATACAAAAAATTAGCTGGGCATGGTGGCATATACCTGTAATCCCAGCTACTCGGGAGGCTGAGGAAGGAGAATCACTCAAACCTGGGAGGCAGCGGTTGCAGTGAGCCAAGATTGTTCCATTGCACTCCAGCCCCCCACAGTGCGAGTCTCTGTCTCACAAAAAAATTAAATAAATAAATAAAATAAAATGTAAATGAATCAAGCGAATCAATGGAAAGAAGCATGGAAGGAAGGATGAAAGCTCTAATGGACTATAGAATCAGAGGAAATAGGCCGGGCACAGTGGCTCAGGCCTGTAATCCCAGCACTTTGGGAGGCTGAGGCAGGCGGATCACGAGGTCAGAGGTCGAGACCATCCTGACTAACACGGTGAAACCCCATCTCTACTAAAAATACAAAAAATTAGCAGGGCATGGTGGCAGTCGCCTATAGTCCCAGCTACTTGGAAGGTTGAGGCAGGAGAATGGCATGAGCCCAGGAGGTGGAGCTTGCAGTGAGCCGAGATGGTGCCACTGCACTCCAGCCTGGGCCACAGAGCCAGACTCTGTCTCAAAATAATAATAATAATAATAATAATAATCTGAGGAAATATTTTTATACTGGTTTAAAGATGTGATTGGTTTTATAGATAATAACTTTGCTTCAATATAATCCCATTAAAGAAATAAACTATCTTTTAACTGTCTCCCAATTATTCTATAACTGTTCAATTGCTTTGCTTTTGTTTTATACTGATTTTGAGTAGAGTTGACCTAAAGTATCAAGTACCAGAGCTAAATCTGGAGTGTGTGAATCTTGGGTGCACATTATCTAACACTTTGCTCCAAATAGGCTGAAATGTGAATTCTGTGATCTTCCCAAAGCTATTTTCTTCTGATATGAAGCACATGAGTTAAAGTTCTCAACTTGAGGTACATCTCCATGGTTACAAGAGGGCAAGCTGCCTCTTTGTGCCCAGAAGAGCTGGGATTGTTTTCACTTGAAATTGAATAGCACCCAAGCTGCATTTGCAGAATGACAAACTCAATTGTGAGTGACATGTTTTTATTCCAATATAAACCGGATGCATTTAAATCACATTAAGAAAGAGATTAAAAGCATTAACACAGGCATTTATTATTCCAGTCCACGCTGACACAGTATTCAAGAAAATGAACCCAAGAGGTCAACTGTGCAATTTTGAATTCTCTGAACACTACACTTAGAGTGAAAATATCTTCCTAGAATTAGAGAAAGAATTAAACTGAAATAAACCAATAATTGGTGGGACAGAAAACCTATTTTCTTGACATAATGTCTATATAAACATGAAATTTGTGGATTTCTCCTATTTGGGGTTTCTATTCCGTACGTGTATTTATGAATTCTCCCCAAGTTAAGTAAGAAGCTCTACATGTATTCATGTTAAATGAATATTTTTTCCTTTGTATTCTTATGATCAAAAACAATGCTGTTAGAGGATTCTCTTTTTATAATTTGAAAAGATTATACTAAAATAATTTTGGGGATTTTGAGTATGGTTACAAATTTTGAGACCCTTCATATTTGAAGTAGAGTTGTTTCATCAATGCTTAGCCTAAGCATGGGCATCTGTGTCTATTTGTAGATTTACCTGCCAGAGGATTCCAGGGAATGGCACTAGGCTGGTCCAACAGGGATGTCCAGGTATAAGAAAAAGGAAACCAAATAAGAAGAGAGGACAATAGATTCAACATGGATAAATCAGAGATATGTGAGAATGAATAAAAAGAACAAAAACTAAACTAAAGAAACAGTGAATTTGTCTTCTATTTTACTCTTAAAAAGAAGTTCTGGTCATGAATATAAGAGAGTCAGCAGCCAAAATGAAAATCCAGCAGTTCCTTAAGGAAGTAAAAATTTTCAACCATTTCTAATGTATACGTAAATTGTATAGCAAAACCAAGTAGCATTTATACTAGATATGCAAGGCTAGTTCAACATTCAAAAATCAATCAGTATAATCCATCACATCAACAGGCTAAAGAAGAAAAATTACATGATTATATCAATAGATGAAGAAAACATTTGACAAAATCCAGGACCAATTCACAAGAGTTTCATAGTACATTCAAGAGGTTTAACAGCAGAATAGACCAATCTGAGGGAACAATCTCAGAGCTAGAAGATCAGTTCTGTAATCAACTTTGCCATACAAAACTAAAGAAAATAATTTTTTAAAAAATAAACAAAACCTCCAAGAAGTATGGGATTATGTAGAGACCAAATCTGTGACTCATGGGCATTCCTGAGACAGGAGAGAATAAGCAACTTGGAAAATATATTTGAGAATATAGTCCACAAAAACTTCTCTAATCTCACTAAAGAGTTTGACAGGCAAATTCAAGAAAATTAGAGAAACCAAACTAGATATTATAAAAGATCTCCATCCTCAAAGCACATAATTTTCAGATTCACCAAGATCAATGCAAAAGAAAAAATCTTAAAGGCAGCTAGAGGTAAGGGCAAAGTTATGTACAGAAGGAACCCCATTAAGCTAGCAGCAGACCTCTCATCAGAAACCTTACAAGCCAGAAGAGATTGGGGGCCTATTTTTAGTGCCCTTAAATAAAACTAATTCCAACCAATAATTTCATATCCCATCAAACTAAGCTTCATAAGGAAAGGAGAAATAATACCCTTTTCAGACAAGCAAACACGAGAGAAATTGTTTCAACTAGACCAGCCTTATAAGAAGACATTAAGAGAGTGTTAAATATGAACTCAAAAGAATGACACCTACCACAAAAACACACTTAAGCACATAGCCCAGAGGCACTATAAAGCACCTACATAATCAAGTCAACATAAAAACCAGCTATCAGTGATGACAGGATCATAATCACATATATCCATACTAACCTTAATTTAAGTATGCTAAATGCCCCCTCTTAAAAGACACAGAATGAAAGGCTGGATAATAAAACAAAACAAAACTATCTGATTTTTTTCAAGAGACTCATCTCATGTACAATAATACCCACAGGTTCAAAGTAAAGGAATGAAGAAAGATCTACCATTCAAATGGGAAAAGACAGCAGGAGTCACTACTCCTGTATCAGATAAAACAGACTTTAAACCAATAAAAATTAAGGAATACAATGAAGGGCATTACATAATAATAAAAAGTAAAATCCAACAAGAAGGCTTAACTATCCTAAATATATACAAGCTGAACATTGGAGTACCCAGATTCATAAAACAAGTTCTTCTTAATATGAAAAGACTTAGACAACCACACAACAATAGTGGGAACCTTCAACACCTCTCTGACAGAGTTAGATCAACAAGGCAGAAAACTATCAAAGAAATCCTGGAATTATATTTGACACTTGGTCAATTAGATCTAATAGGTGTCTAAAGAACACTTCACTCAACAACCACAGAATGCACATCCTTCTCATTTGTACATAGAACGTAGTCTAAGATCTAGGAGCAACCACATACTTAGTCATAAAACAAGTCTCAACAAATTTAAAAAGTTGAAATCATACCAAGCACACTCTCAGACAACAGTACAATAAAAATATAAATCAATATCAAGACCTCTCAAAACTACACAAATACATGGAAATTAAACAACTTGCTCCTGAATAACTCCTGGGTGAACATTACAATTAAGTGAAAGATTAAAAAATTATTTGAAATGAATGAAAATAGGAATACAACTTACCAAAAATCTCTGGGATGCACCCAAAGCAGTGTTAAGAGGAAAGTTTTATGGACCTAAATGCCTTTATCAGGAATTTATAAAGATCTTAAATTAACAATCTAACTTTCCAACTAGAGAAACGAAGTTAAAAAGATGAAACCAACCCCAATGCTAGCAGGAGAAAGGACATAACTAAAATTGAAAAAGAGGTGGATAAAATTAAGATGCAAAAATTCATACAAAAGATCAATGAAACCACGAATTGATTCTTCTACAAACAAACAACATTGATCGATTACTACTAGATTAACAAAGGAAAAAAAAGAGAAGATCAAAATATGTACAATTAGAAGTGACAAAGATGACATTACAATTGATAACACAGGAATACAACAGATTCTCAGAGAATACTATGAACAACTCTATGCACACAAATTAGGAAATCTAGAGGAAATGGATATATTCCTGGAAATACACACTCTTCCAAGATTAAGCCAGAAAGAGATTGAAACCTTGAATAGTATCAATTCTGCAGTTTATTACACTAGTAATAGAAAGCTATAAACCAAAAATAGTCCTAAACCATGTGAACTGAGTCCTTGAATTTGAGCCAGCCTGGGCAAAAGGTGAAACCCCGCCTCTACCTAAAATAATACAAAGTATTACCTAGGAGTGGTGGTACATGCTTGTAGTTCCAGCTACTCAGGAGGCTATTGTGGGAGAATTGCTTGAGCCAGGCGGTGGAGGTTGCGGTGAGCTGTGGTTATTCCACTGTACTAGAGCCTGGGCAACAGAGCAAGACTGACTTAAAACAACAACAACAAAACAAACAAACAACAACAAAAAACACAAAGCCAGTAGCACATCAAAAAGTTAATACATCACAATCAAGTAGGCTGTATGCCTGGGATGCAAGGATGGTTCAAAATATGCAAATCAATAAACATGATTTACCACATAAGTAGAATTAAAAGCACACACAATATGATTATCTCAATAGATGCAGTAAAAGCTTTCAATAAAATCCAACATCCCTTAATGATAAAAACCCTCAACAAATTACAAGTGGCCAACAAGCATATGAAAAAAATGCTTAACATCACTAATCATCAGAGAAATGCAATTCAAAACCACAATGAGATACCATCTGACAGCACTCAGAATGGCTGTTATTAAAAAGTAAAAAAAAAAATGCAGATAGTATCAAGGCTGTGGAGGAAAGAGAACACTCATACACACTGGGTAGGAATGCAAGAACTTAAAACAAAGCTACCATTCAACCCAGCAATCTCATTACTGGGTGTATATCTAAAGGAAAATAAATCATTCTACCAAAAAAGATACAGGCACATGTATGTTCATTGCCACACTATTCACAACAGCAAAGACCCAAAATCAACCTAGGTGCCCATCAACGATGGACTGTGTTTAAAAATGTGGTGTATATATATACACCATAGAATACTACACAGACATAAAAAAGAACAAAGTCATGTCCTTTGCAGCAACATGGATGCAGCTAGAGGCAATAATCCTGAGCAAACTTATGCAGGAACAGAAAATCAAATACCACATGTTCTCTCTTATAACTTGGAGCCAAACATTTAGCACATATGGACATTCACATGGGAACAAAAGACGCTGCAGACTAGATGGGGGAGGAAGGAAGTGAGGCATGGGTGAAAAAACTACCTACTGGGGACTATGATCACTATCTGAGTGAGGTATCACAAGATGGTAGAATTATGGAATTTTTAATCTCTTCAAGTTTAATGTTTTCCTGATTTTCCAAAATTAATATATACTTTTTTTTAAAGTCAGTATAAACCTTGCCACATATTTCCACATTGAGCTACATCCACATATTCATATTTTATTGAATATCATCTCTTGTCTCACTTGATTATAAAGTCAATAAGAGACGGGAACATGTTTGCCTTTTATTACCACTGGCACAGGTTTGCTATGCAATATTGTATCCACTCAACAAATATTTTTACAAAAATGACTGACTAGATGAATAATTGTAAAAATCATGGTTAAATAGATCAAGAATAGATGCCTTATATTCTATTGAACCAGCACATAGCCTACAGAATAATTTTCCTTAAGCAGATATCATGTACCCACCTTGTAATGAATTATCTCCCAATGTATATGCATTCACATCTGAGTAAATTCTAACATCCATACTTTATTTGGAATTCAAATATTCTTTAAACCTCAACTTCCTGAAAAGTAAGCAGGATAAATAAACTCCCTATAGTTAGGCTGCAATTAGAGATAATCTAGGTATGAAATTTAGCATGTACCTGACCTAAAGAAATTATTAGTATTGGTATTGTTATTATCCACTTTCTTAATCTAATCTATTTTTAAAGTTTTGTCACCCAGTTCTCAATTAACCATATTTCTTTTCAGTTAAATAACACTACTTACTTTTAATTAAAATAAACCATAGAATTTTCAAAATTTCAATTATTCTAATGTCACCCTCCCAATATTTACCAATCTGAATATCACATATACATACTATTATTTACTTTTTAAATACACCTTATATTGCTTTTGTTTCTTAAATTGATTTTTGGCAACAATATTGATTAAATCATGGCTTCGATTTTTTTCTAATATAAAGTATGTAATTATTAAGTAAACAAATACACACAGAGACACGTATTTCTTCTTTGCTTAAACCCATCTCATCTTGTATTTACAAGTAGTACATATAATATATTTAGAGAAACATTGTCCCATATTATAGTGGCAATTTGGCAGTTGGTCCTGTGGAGTCATTTTGTGGATTCAAATCCTAAATTCAAATGTGTCTCAGAGCTCACCTAACATTTCTGTGTTTCAGTTTCTTTGTTCATAATTGGTAGTCAAAATAAGTTTAAGAAAAAGAAGAGTAATTTTAAAATATTTTCCTCTTTGTTCATTGAAAAAGTTTAAAAGCAATGACTAATTCAATAGAAATGAGTATTCCTAGTTCTTACATTGTAGCTCTAAATACTATTTTACATTACACCAATTTAGGTCTCCTTGAAGAAATGGCTGATTCCAATTCTGAGGTAGGAAATAGATCAGATTAGCCCAAAGAGTATCCATCCAAGAATACTGAGATCATATCAGAAGGAACCAATTTAATTAGGTTTCTAGTGAGTGAACATGGGACAATTTAAGCACTGGTAAGCATAATTTAACTGTAATGAACTGAAATCTATCAATATGTTTATATCCATGAGTTTATGATGATATGACAAAAGAAAAATTCATTGATTACCTTTAGTGGATGCAAGAAAATTATCTCATTATTTTGAAAACTGATAACTGGATTAAAATAATTAAATATTTATTCTGCCTTTCCTATCACTAATTTTTAGATAACAATATAATTAATGAGGAAAATACCTCTCTATTGAAATAATTCAGCTAATAGATGCAGGAAAATAATCACAAATAATCACCTGACCATTTATGAAAAATAGATGTGGAATTAAGTGCAAATCCAAAGTTTGTGCCTTGAGGTTATGGCAGGATGAAGTGGTTCTTAATTAAAACAAAATAAAAGAATCATTAATTGTGAATTAGGGCAAGTCATTTAACCCTCTGAGCAGCTTCTCCTCTCGTAAGTTGGGAATCATAAATTCTACACCTAGACTTAAGTCTTGTGAGACTTCAGTGAGATAATATATAGGAAAACATATGTAGTGTAACATTCTAAACAAGCTTAACATATACCTAGGACTTTATCTTTCTTTCTTTGAGTCCACGAAACATTTTCTATGGACCTATTTTATAGCAGTTATATTTTTATTCTCTAATTATTTGCACAATATTTTAAATTATTTATCTCTACCTGTTCGATTATAAATTCCCTAAAGGAAAGAAAGATGTTTTGCTTAATTTCCATGCCCTGTTTTCCACATATCCGGATTTGAAAATATCTGGCAAGCAAGTAGGTTCATTCTCCTGCACATCTGCTATGTATTTATCATTCTTTTCCAATGGGGCTAGGGTACAGAGTTAGTATTTTTTATAACATGCCCTTCTATGCAGCCACTGCTTTTACCTGACACCTGAAAAAGAAACTTGTTTGTCACAATTTATCACTACCTTAATGGCACCAAGCAGACATTTATTGAATCAATGAAGTTATAAAGTATACCAAACTCAAACTAAGGTCTGTGAAGCTGTCTAAATAAAGTACATGAGTTTCGTTGCAAGCAGTTTATAATCTTTTTTGCTTACTGAAAGGTTTTGCTTACTTTACAGATCTTAGATGTTTCTGGTAAGGACAAGTATGAATATTGGACTGGGAAAGTGTTAATATAACGGGGTATGATTATCATAATGCTAAAAGGTTTAACTTTCCCCTTTGGACTTTATTTAAAATGTTACAATTATTTCCTTGCAAAATTTACCATTAATCATTATTACAAGGCCTGATTTACAATAGAAGGAAATTCAAAGTATTGGAAAAAACGACACAAAGAAATTAAGTGCAAGTACATCCAAGGAAAATTTTTGTCACAGCTTCCATTATATGATAATATGATTTAATTCTACCATTACAAATAAGTCAGTAGATATTCAATTATTACAGTAATTTTGAGTAACTTTTTTTTCAGAAACAAACTCTCATCTCTATACCTAGTGAGCTAAGTTAAAATTGCTCACCAGGGAGACTTTTTTCTGCCAATGCTTACACCACAAAATCAAACTCTGTCCTTATATTTTAGAGCCCCCCTTCTGGAGAATATTTTCAGAATATCACTGGAAGCCATTTTTTAAAAGTATTATCTCCCAAGAACATCTAAACTAAAATCTAAAAAGTTAGAATGTATCCTTTCTGATTTAACTATTACAGATTGTATATTAATTTATACAACCCATTCAATACTTTTGAAGAAAAATGTCTATCAGCATATACATAAGGTTAAATAATTTCAAGGAAAATGTTTTAACTACCCATAGTAACAATTTGAAAATAATGTTATATAATATAGTTATCAAATATATATATTTATATTCTTTCTAGTACAGTTCTACTGGAAACTTTATGTAGAAAATATTAACACTTGGTAACAAACTCAATGTTTTCATCTATAAAGTGGGTATAGTAAAAACACAGAATTTACATTATGTCTTTTAAATAATAACAAGTGTTGACAAGGATGTAAAGAAATTGGAATTATCATAGCTTGCTGATGACAATGTAAAATGTTGCAGTTGTTCCAAAAAGCAGCTTGACAATTCCTCAAGAAATTACTTATAGAGATACCTTATTACTAAGCAATTCCACTCCTAGACATATAGCCAAGATAATTGAACAGATATTGAGCACACAAAAATTTGTACTGAGCATTCATAACATTACTCATAATAGCCAAAAGGTGGAAACAACCCAATGTCCATCAACTAATAAACGAATAAACAAAATGGTATATCCATGCAACAGAACCTCATTCAACCAGAAAAAAGAATAAGGTATTGATTCATGCTACAACATGGATGTATTTTGAAAATGTTATGCTGAGTGAAAGAAAACAGACACAAAAGGCCACATATTGTATGATTCCATTAGTATGAAATGTCTAGAATAGGCAAATCCATGGAGTCAAAAATAGATCAGTGGTTGCCAGGAGCTGAAAGGAGGGCAGAATATAAAGTAACTGCTAATGGGCATGGGGTTATTAGGGGGTTAAGAAATGTCCTCAAATTACCTAATGACATTGGTTAAGCAGTTTTATGAGTACAGCAAAAAGCATTGAATTGTACTTTTTGGTAAATGTGAATATTATATGTGAATTACATATCACTGAAGAAAGAATCAGTCAGAAGATAGGTGTCTAACTACTATTGTCAAAACTGTTCTATTTCACATAATAAATAACATTCTTTTAGCTAGGTTGTGCTGGCTAGTACAAAATATTCTTTGATTCATGACACATTTTTAGCTAAAATCAACTTATTGCTTAATTATAGTATTGTTAATATAGATTTTGATTTTCCATTCCTACAGAAGAAAAATAGAAATATTCTAAATTAGAAAACTTCTATCCAACTTGAAATCTACCTTATATTTTCTATACCAATTTCCAAGTTTACATAGTCTCAAACAGAAATTTAAGAAATACACTGTTCTCTTAAGATCAATTTTTTTAAAAAATGAGACTTAAATAAGTGAGAAATATAAAAATGCAATTTATAAGACACATGATATGGTTTAGCTCTGTGTCCCCACCCAAATCTCATGTCGGATTGTAATACTCAGTGTTAGAGAAGGAGCCTGGTGGGAGCTGATTGAATCATGTGTGTAAACTTCCCGATTGCTGTTCTTATGATAGATTTATCACAAGGTCTGGTTGTTTAAAAGTGTGTTGCATTTCCGCCTTCACTTGCTCTATCTGCCTCCTGCTCCAGCCATGCCAGTTTCCCTTTCACTTTCTGCCATGATTGTAAGGTTTCTGAGGCCTCCCCAGAAGCAGATGCCACTGTGTTTCCCAAGCAAACTGTGGAACCATGAGCCAATTGAACCTCTTTTCTTTGTAAATTACCCAGTCTCTGGTATTTCTTTATACCAATGTTAGAACAGACTAATATACCATAGAAATGCAATAACAAGATATACCCTTATTTTTCTATTAAAATTATTCAAGTATAGTAACAAAAAATATCCTACTAATAAAATGCCAAATACAATATAAATTATTACAGATTTGATTTTAATTCTTTTCTGTTCTAATGGACAAAAAACCCATAGATCAGTATTATTTGAAGACATATCTTCACACTTACAGATTTACATGTATTTAAAGAGATATGTGTTTTGATGTGCACAAAGCAACAACTTAGAGGTTATATACAATCTAACTTTTATTTTTTCAAATGAAGTTATTTAAAATAACCAAAATTTTGCTGTAACTATTAAGTCAGGGCCTAGTCTTTAATATTTTTATTATTCTTTTTCTAAATCTACTGCCTTCAGGGCTGCCTCTGAGAGATACGATCAAAACACACAAGCATTTAACTTAGAAAACACAAACATGCATTTACTCAGAATGAGAGATATGTGACTTATATTATCTTTAGTTTGTTAGTATAATCACTGAGACTCTGATGCCAACAGGAAATAGATGCAATCAGATAAAAAGAACCAATGTTCAATATTAAACCAGGGATCCTTAAAGAAATGACTAATTGAAAGCTAGGGTAGGAATTATACAAAATAAGCTCAGAGAATTTTGTAATGCTAAAAAGTAAAGAAATGCTCAAATATACGCACAAACATGCACACATGGGGTATGTTAAAGATTTCAGACAGACACAGGAGCCAGCTGAAAGTGCTCCCAATACCAAGAACTGAAATAATATGAGCAACAAAATATACAAAGTAGTATCTGATTATAATCCAAACCACAACAAAAATGTCCATAAGGCCATACTAATATAAGCCAATGTTTAAATAAAGAAATAAATAGAGAAAATAGACAAATCTTTCATGCAGAAAAATTTCAAATACTTGATGTGGATAATCCAACTCAAGTAAGTGGAGTATAATTCCCCATATCTTATGTGTAGGCTGTGCATAATTACTTCCTTCCAAAGACTATATTATGAAATGGGAAAAAGCATAACTTTATAGTGAAAAAAATCTCACAAACACTATCTGAACCAGACAATCAAATTTAACACCCACAGTGATAAGTCATGTTGATAATATGTAGCTTGATATACTGTGATGAGAATGGCACTTTTCTTCTGTGGTCTTGCCCCCTCCAGATTATTAACTCCAGGGCAATTGTGGAAAAAATTCAGAAAAAGTCCAGCTGAGGAGGATTCTACAAAATACCTGACCAGTATTCCTTGAAACTGTCAAGGTTATCAAAAAGAGTAATTGTTTGAGAAACTGTGACAATATGGAGTAGCCTGAAGATCCTAAAGAGACGTGACTACTAAATGTAATACAATATGCAGGATGGGATTCTGGGCCAGCAAAGGACATTAGGTAAAACTCATGAAAATCTTTTAAAAGTGTGGACTTTAGTTATAATGATATATCAATATTGGTTTATTAATTGTGACAAATGTACCATAGTAAAAACAGGTACTAATAATAAGGGAAAATTGAGTGTTGGGCATATGAGAACTTTGTAGTGTCGTGTCTATAGTTTTTCTATATATTTTTAAACAAGTCTAAAGTAAAGTTTATATTTGAAAGTGAGTCTTTGCAGGTTGGTATAAAGCACAGAGAGACAAGAATAAAAGACTCTTAACACTGTCTTACAGTCTCACAGAGAAGTGAATGACATCTTTCATGCTGCATGGAAGTATGTGGTGCATTTTCTTAAACATCATAGAATAAAAAAGTAAAACAAAATTTACACAAATGAAAATTAGCTTAAAATATTATCTAAGAAAAAGATGAAGGCAATAGAAAAGAAAATGCCACCAGATGAAATTTTCATGCTTGCTTAAGTGTTTCAAAAGAGAAACATGCTAGTATCAAACACTACATCATGATAGTTTTATATTATAGAGTAGTACACTCAAAAATGTGTATACTGTACTTCCTGGGAAATTTAGTAAGTTTTTAAAGACATATTTGATTTGGAATTTTCTCTTAATTCAAAGACTTTGATTTTTTTTTAACCTGGATCTGTCTTCATCAGATTTTGGCAGTGACCCAATAAAAAGGAGTTGGATGGGGAGTGTATTAACCCATTCTCACACTGCTATAAAAACATACCTGAGTCTTGGTAGTTTATGGAGAAAAGAGGTTTAATTGACTCACAGTTCTACAGGCTGTAAAGGAGGTATGCTTTGGAGGGCCTCAGAAAACTTACAATCATGGCAGAAAGTGAAGGAAAAAAAGGCACAGTCTTTACATTTTGCAGCAGAAGAGAGAGCAAAGGGGGAAGTGCTACACACTTTTAAACAATCAGATCTTGTAAGAACTGACTCATTATCATGAAAACAGCAAGGGGAAAATCCCCTCCCCACTGCATGATCCAATCACCTCCCACCAGGTCCCTCTCCCTACATTGGAAAGTACAATTCAACATGCGATTTGGGTGGGGACATAGAGCCAAACCATATCATTTTGCCTCTGGCTCCTCTCAAATCTCATATCCTTCTCACATTTCAAAACACAATTGTGCATTCCAAATAGTCCCCCAAACTCTTAACTCATTCAGCATTAACTCAAAAGTCCAAGCTAATGTCTCATCTAAGACAAGGCAAGTCCTTCCATCTATGAGCATGTAATATCAAAAACAAGTTAGTCATTTCAAAGATATAATGTGGGTACAGGCATTGAGTAAATAGCCCCATTCCAAAGGAGAGATCAGGCAGAACAAAGGGGCTAAAGGTCCCATGCAAGTCCAATACCCAGTAGGGCAGTCATTAAATTCTACAGTTCCAAAATAATCTCATTTGACTCCATGTCTCACATGCATGCCACACTGATGCAAGTAGTGGGATTTCAAAGCCTTGAGCAGCTCTTCCCATGGGCTCTGCAGGTTACAGACCCTACTGCTGATTTCGTGGGTTGATGCTGAGTGTCTGTGGTTTTTCCAGGTGCACATTGCAAGCTGTCAGTTGATCTATTATTCTGGGGTCTGGAGAATGGTGGCCCTCTTCTCACAGCTCTACTAAAAAGTGCCCCAGCAGAGACTCTGTGTAGGGGCTCCAATGCTCTATTTTACCTCTGTACTGACCTAGTAGAGGTTCTCCACGAGGGTTCCACCCCTGCAACAGACTTCTGCCTGGATGTTTCCATACATCCTCTGAAATCTAGGTGGAGGCTTCCAAACCTGAACTCTTGCCTTCTGTGCAACCACAGGCTCCAAACGATGTGGAAGCTGCAAAGGCTTGAGGCTTCCACCATCTGAAGCAATGGCCTGAGCTTTACCTTGGCCCCTTTTAGGCACAGCTGAAGCTGGAGCAGCTGGGATGCAGAGTGCCATGTCCCAAGGCTACACAGAGCAGCGTGGCCCTGGGCCTGGCTCAAAAAAACATTTTTCCCTCCTAGGTCTCCAGGCCTGTGATGGGAGGGGCTCCCATGAAGGTCTCTGAAATGCCCTGGAGGCATTTTCTCCATTGTCTTGGCTATTAACATTTCACTTTTTTTCAATGATGCAAATTTCTGCAGCCTTGAATTCCTTCCCAGAAAATGGGTTTTTCTTTTCTATTGCATGGTCAAGCTGCAAATTTTCCAATATTTTATGCTCTTCTTCCCTTTTAAATATATTGCAATTTTAGATCATCACTTTGTGAACAGATATGAATATATACTGTTAGAAGCAGCAAGTTTACACCTTGAACATTTTGCTGCATAGAAATTTATTCCACGAGATCCCTAATCATCTCTCTCAACATTCCACAGATCTTTAGAGCAGGGGCACAATGCTGCCAGTCTCTCTGCTAAATTATAGCAAGTGTGACTTTACTCCAGTTTCCAATTAGTTCCTCATTTCTATCTGAGACCTCAATAGCCTGGCCATCTCTGTTCATATCACTATCAGCATTTTTGGTCACAATTGTCAATAAGTCTCTAGGAAGTTCAAAACTTTCCCTCATCTTCCTGTCTTCCTCTAATCTCGCCAAACTGTTCCAACCTCTGCCCATTACCCAGTTCCAAACTGGCTTCCATATTTTTAGGTATCTTTATAGCAATGCCCCACTTCTCTGATCCTAATTTTCTGTATTAGTTTATTCTCATACTGCTGTAAAGACATATCTGAGACTGGGTAATTTATGGAGAAAAGAGGTTTAATTAACTCACAGTTCTGCAGGCTATACAGGAAGCATGGCTGGGGAGGCCTCAGGGAACTTACAATCATAGCAGAAGGCAAAGGGGAAGCAGGCACAATCCTTACATGGCAGAGCAGGAGACAGAGAGAGTGAAGGGGAGAAGTGCTACACACTTTTAAACAACCAGATCTCATGAGAACTCACTCACTATCCTCAGAGCAGCAAGGGGAAGTCTGCCCCCATAATCCAATCACCTCCTACCATGTCTCTCCTCCAACATTGGGAATTATAATTCAAACTATGACTTGAGTGGGGGCACAGAGCCAAACCATATGAGGGAGGACATTGTTTAAAATGAAGATTGCAGCCTACTCCCGTCACTAATTCTTACTAGGTTGATCTCTGGTAGAGTTGTATCAGAAGATGCTCATGTTGATTGTCTTGGAGTTTTCCTCGAGAAATAGGAGTTCATTAAATTCTTCATGAAAATGTCATTTGTCATAACAATGTACTTTGGTATTCTTACAGTTCTGCTTTTTCAGAAGTGGAGTATGAGGAGTAATTAACTGATATGAACCTCTTAACAACAATTTTTGTATTCTTAACTAAACCTTCTAGGACTCCATATTCTTACTTAATTTGATGAAACACTGAAGTCAATGAGAGAGACATTTGAGAGAAAGAATTTGTTTTCAATCTTAAAGATATTATCAAGGATCTGCAAATACAGTTTTATAGGTCTTAAAGTCTAAAAACACATTCTAGATAGGTCTTACAAGACAATACCTGTTAAAACCAACTCTTGTGAGTAGGGCTCCAGTAGAAATCTATTAGGGAGAACATATAGACTTGGCAGTTGGGTGGACCTAGAAATAATTGGTTGTCTGATATGGGGCAAGCTACTTCAACCCTTAGAGCTTCATTTATCTCATATGTAATATAGGAATAAAAATACCTTAAGGATAGAATTCTTAAAATTATTTGTTGCAGTAGTATGTGGAAAGCATCTGATAGATTGTTGGGCACATAACTCAGCACTAGTAGCCAGAAACATATTAGATCCATTCACTTATTGCATTAGATTTAGGAATAATAGTACTCACAAGTTAAAATATTTTGCAATATTAAATGTCATGAACAAAAACTGAAAGTGACCATAGGCTACTATGTTACACAGATGGAGACACTGAATTCCAAAAAAGTTATATGGTATGTCCAAAGACGTAGATTTTGTTAGTGCTGCTTTCCAGCCCACAACCAGAAATCTAGATAGCCAGGCCAGTGACACATAACCTAATGCATATCATCTCAGGAATGGTTCCTACTATTTTAAAAATAACCAAGTTCACCCTTGAGCTGAAAGTCACATTTCTTCTGGTCAATGTAACTATTTAAACAACTTTTCAGGAAAATGAATGCAGAAGGTAAGAAAATTACCCAAATGAATACATTTTTAAAAGCTACGTTTTCTTATTAAACTGTTGTATTAAGAACTTTTCTGGTTCCAATTTAAGAAAATCTCTTGGTAACGCAAATTGCCATTTAAATTCAAGCTTAAATTTCACCTAAAACTGTAGGAGGTATAGCTAATACTTACTAAAGCTGATGAATATTCATTTTCCCTGTCCAGAATATTATAATGGATTCAACTTGCTTTTAAATCCCCTCAGGATATGGTCATGATTTCATTGTATGCCTGATTCAATAAACAGGAAGAATGATTGCTAATCTCTCCAGAAAACTGTAAAGAAAATTTTCCCTTATGGCACTAGCAACTCTTCATTGGGCTTAAAATTTCTTCGGTTTTCAGACAGAATTATTTTTAATGTATTAAATATACATTATCTGCAAAGACAGCTAAATACAACTCATCAACGGGGAGGGACGAGGTTTCTAACACACCTTAGTTCAAATGTATCAAAAGAAATCTCTTTCTACGATAAAAGTTTATTTTCCCACAATAACTGAGCAGAGACAATGAGAGATACAGCTATTAGACTAATAAAAGAGAATGAGACAAAGGCTTATAGACAAATATGTTGTACCAACTCTATGGAATGTGGCTGGATATTGAAATACCAGGCTCCTAACATGCACTCTTCTCTTAGATATCTACACCCTCTGCCTTTGGGATCTCGTCCAATCATATGGCTTTAAATGCCATCAGGATACTGATGACTCTTCAGTTTATGTCTCCTGTCCTAACCTCTTCCCTCAGTTCCAGATTTCCTATATATCAAACTAGCAACCTGATCTCCATTTGAATATTTAACAGTGCGTCAAAATGAACTTGAGAGCAAAACTGACAGAGAGAGAGAGAGAGAGAGAGAGAGAGACAGAGAGAGAGATCTAGGTTTTCTAAAAACAAAACTTAACCTCATACCTCCATAAGTTTTTCCCACCTCATTAATTATCTGCACTACCTTCTCAATTATTTAAACTTTAAACTGTGGTATACTTTTGAGTCCTCTCTTTTTCTCATACATACATTCCTCTGTATTCAATTTACATTGTTGAACTTGCTCTACTTTAAAAATATACCCCAAATTCATTACTTCTTATCATCTCCACTCCGGCTCAAGGCAGTATCATGGCTCACCTAGACTCTTAAAACAACCTTTGTCTTTCTTGTGTCCAGTGTTCTCTCTAATTCATTTGCAACATAGGATGTTGAAACTTAGATTTAGCACTTTCCTGCTTATGAGTTTCCATGGGTTTTATATTGTAAATAGAATATAATCCAATTATTCACCTTGCAAAGCCAGTGAAATGGCCTCTGTGCATCTCTGTGAGCTCATGTCCTGCCCATTTCTCTCTTACTTTTAACCACAATGACCTTATTTCTGTACCTTATATTTCCTTTGAAGGAATCCTTGCATTTTCTGCTTCACCTGTCCAGATAATTCTACCCCTGGATATTCACAGTCCTAGCTTTTTTGCATCATTTATGTCTACACTTAAAGACCATTTCCAGAGAGTACTTTATGGAATTAATGTCTGACTCCAAATGGAAGCTGAAGAGGAAAAGACTAGTTTCTAGGAAGGAAAAAGAGGTAAGTTCAGTGGAAGCTCTCCTCCCCTACTGATGGGTAGAGGAGAAATGATTGTAGCAAATCTTATTGCAGGGGGAGGGTTTTTTCCTTCCATGGAAGCTCCTCTAACCCTCTTGGCAGCATTCCCAGTGCCTTCACCTAATATCCCCAAGGGGCAAGGGTCAACTTCATCTGATGAACTGGGCATGTGTCCCTCACCCCTTTTTCTTCCCATAAATGGCACTACTTTGCTGGATTCACCATGCTATACATTCTACAAATAGCCTCTGCCGTTGAAATGAATAGGTAAGTTAGCTTATATCCCTTTTATATGCAGATATAAACCATTGTCTTATTATTTACTTCCTCTGTAAAAAAGTTTATATTTTGGTCATTATTTGCCTTATGACACTCTTGTATCTTTTAACTGCTCTGACACTCAAGTTTAGAAGAAGAATGACATTGGTCAGAACCTCTTACGTCCTGAAAGAAGCAGGGCTCTTCCAGCATGTATTAATATGCCTAAAATGAACCACAGCTGGCTTTGAGCTACAGTCTGAAAGGACGCCCTGGCCTGAGCTAGAACTAAGAAATTATGTGACCAGTAAAGGTCTTCTGCTTCCTAATTAGAAGAAAAATTTATAATGTTTATCTGACTTAAATAATTTTGTATATAAGATGCTAACTCATAGTATATAGATAAGCCCCATAATTATTTGTCAAAATACTGAACAAATGAATGAAGGATATTTTTTCTTACCTTCAGTCAGCATAAGATATGCACGATCCAGTGCCAGCTTGGATACAAGCACAGCAGTAAAGCATCCATATCCATATACAGGAAGAGCAGCCACGGTGAAGGGGATGAAGGACTACAGCAACTGCTTCAGCAAACAAAATTTCCAGACAATGGTGCAGACCGATCTTTCAGAGATAGAAATTACAGGCCGGGTGCAGTGGCTCAAGCCTGTAATCCCCACACTTTGGGAGGCCGAGGCTGGTGGATCACGAGGTCAAGAGTTTGAGAGCAGCCTGGCCAATATGGTGAAACCCCGTCTCTAATAAAAATACAAATATTAGCCAGGCGAGGTGGCGGGCGCCTGTTGTTCCAGTTACTCGGGAAGCTGAGGCAGGACAATCGGTTGAACCCGGGAGGCGGAGGTTGCAGTGAGCCGAGATTGCACCACTGTACTCCAGCCTGGGCGACAGAATGAGACTCTGTCTCAAAGAAAAAGAAAAAAAAAAGAAAAGAAATTACATATAATTACTTAGGTAATTTAAAATGGACTGAAGGTTCACACAGCAAGCTAGCAGTGAAGAAGTATGTCAGAACATGAGGGGGAAATGGTAGTTTGGGAGAAGCCAACAGAAATAAAAGATTTATTATTACCATATTCTCCAAACCTGGAAAAATGCATCTTCCAACAGCTTCCTTTTAAAACATTGCACCTGTTGAATTATAGTTTACTAATACGCTGTTTTTGTTGTTGTTCTTGGCCTTCCTGAAGTTAGAATTTTAAGTAAAAATTACCCAGTTGCATAGAAGTATTTTCTTGAAATTTTATTTAAACTCCATAAAATAGTGAGTTTAACAAAGGAGAAAAGGTTAAGATGTGAACAATCCATTTTCTGTTCTTTTAAATTTAGCTAGCTTCTTGCATTAAGTAATGTTTCCATTGAAGTGAAAAACACTTACTTTGTTAATTTCCACGAAGTCTTTAAACGTTCCCATTACTCTTTGCTGAGCAAAAACACTAGGCTCATGGGAGGAGCTCCCAATTCACAGCTGTTTAGCATCACATTGTCATGGCTTATTATCACAGTTGCCTGGAATGTCTTTTTGAAGATCAATTTCCTAGTGAGCAATCAGATCAAGAGCAGTCAATCTAATTCAGTCACTTTAATGACCAGCTAACTGAAATAGTGCTGGTAATTTTGGTGATTAAAATGACAAATACAATTCAGTTTTGCAAAATTGACATATCTCAGTGCTTGGCTGTGATGTCAACACACAAGCACACACAAAACCCCTCTGAGCCTGAGCAAAGCAGTTTGTGGACACAGTCCAAAACTGCCCATCTCTTGCCAGTGCTTTGCATGATGGCTTTTGCATGGCTGGGGTCTATCATTTTTGACAACCCATCATAATAATACATTTTCTCCGTGTTCCTTACACAGCCTTGTCTTAGTGAAAAATAACCAAAATTGCACCTTATCTCAATCATATTGAATTTAGTGCTAAAGTTCTGACAATAAGATTAAAGTAATCACAATCACTTATCACTCTGGTGGGAAAAGGTTCCTTTGTCTGCAAAACAAACATAATGCCACATAATTTGTGATTTTGGAGAACATTTTAGGAAAAAGAAATCCAGAACATCTGTTGTTGTCAAGTCTCAGGAAAACTGCCAGTAGCATTTTAAATGCTGCCTTTACCTGCTTCACACAACAGCTGAGTCTTACCATCTGGCCCAGCCTGAAATTTCCATGAGTTCAGCCAAATTGTCAGAATAGCTTCCTTTTGCCAGTCCTTCAAGAAATGGGCTGCTTAGAAAACTGAAAATACATTTGACATCAGAAAGCCTTCCCCAAATGCATGAAGCCTGAATGCCATAAAATGATGGGAAGAGTATTAGGCTTACACACCATATAATCATTTATAGTGTAACACCATATTAGAATTAGGGTTTAAGCCAACAGAGCATGTTTGTTTAGAATTGTGATAATCACTGAGTGCAGAGCAGTATAAAAATCATTCCTCAAAATGGAACATTGCATTTTACTAATGGACAACTAAATAAATAAACATGTTGCACATGTTTCCACAAGTCAAGCAACAGAATACTTTAAAGCAAAAACAACGTATACTCTCAGATTATAAACTTTAGGCAATGCCAATGAAATTTAACTGCACTTAGCCCATTTTATCCTCAGAGACTGTGGAGATTTTAACTCTTAACTTTAATCAATATTGATTAAAATAAAAACAAAAATTAAATCAGAAGAATATAGACTGGTAGGTAGAATGGCTAACATTTTCTAATGACGTGTAATTCACAAGCAGTGAAATTCACAGATCTTTATATAGATATATATACTTTAAGTTCTAGGGTACGTGTGCAGAACATGCAGGTTTGTTATGTAGGTATACTTGTGCCATGGTGGTTTGTTGCACCCATCAACCCGTCATCTACATTAGGAATTTCTCCTGATGCTATCCCTCTCCTAGCCCCCAGACAGGCCCTGGTGTATGATGTTGCCCTCCCTGTGCGCATGTGTTCTCATTGATCAACTCCCACTTATGAGTGAGAACATGCAGTGTTTGGTTTTCTGTGCTTGTGTTAGTTTGCAGAGAATGATGGTTTCCAGCTTCATCCATGACCCTGCAAAGGATATGAACTCATCCTTTTTTATTGCTGCATAGTATTCCACAGTGTATATGTACCACATTTTCTTTATCCAGTCTATCATTGATGGGCATTTGGGTTGGTTCCAAGTCTTTGCTATTGTGAACAGTGCCACAATAAACATACTTGTAGATTTGTCCTTATAGTTGAATGATTTATAATCCTTTGGGTATATACCCAGTAATGGGATTGCTGGGTCAATGGTATTTCTAGTTTTGATGCTTGAGGAATCACCACACTGACTTCCACAATGGCTGAACTAATTTACGCTCCCACCAACAGTGCAAAAGCATTCCTATTTCTCCACATCCTCTCCAGCATCTGTGGTTTCCTGACTTTTTAATGATCGCCATTCTAACTGGCATGAGATGATATCTCACTGTGGTTTTGATTTGCATTTCTCTAATGACCAGTGATGATAAGCTTTTTTTTCATATGTTTGTTGGTTGCATAAATGTCTTCTTTTGAGAAGTGTCTGTTCATATCCTTTGCCTACTTTTTGATGGGGTTGTTTGTTTTTGTCTTAAAAATTTAAGTTTGTTGTAGATTGTGGATATTAGCCTTTTGTCAGATGGATAGATTGCAAAAATTTTCTCCCATTCTGTAGGTTGTCTGTTCACTCTGATGATAGTTTCTTTTGCTATGCGGAAGCTCTTTAGCTTAATCAGGTTGCATTTTTCAATTTTGGCTTTTGTTGCCATTGCTTTTGGTGGTTTAGTCATGAAGTCTTTGCCCATGCCTATGTCCTGAATGGTAATGGCTAGGTTCTCTTCTAGAGGTTTCATGGTTTTAGGTCTTATGTTTAAATCTTTAATCCATCTTGAGTTATTTTTTGTATAAGATGTAAGGAAGGGATCCAGTTTCAGCTTTCTCCATATGGCTAGCCAGTTTTCCAAACATCATTTTTTAAAATAGGGAATCCTTTCCCCATTGCTTGCTTTTATCAGGTTTGTCAAAGATCAGATGGTTGTAGTTGTGTGGCATTATTTCTGAGGGCTCTGTTCTGTTCCATTGGTCTATATATCTGTTTTGGCACCAGTACCATGCTGTTTTGGTTACTGTAGCCTTGTAGTATAGTTTGAAGTCAGGTAGAGTGATGCCTCCAGCTTTGTTCATTTTGCTTAGGATTCTCTTGGCTATGCGGGCTCTTTTTTGGTTCCATATGAACTTTAAAGTAGTTTTTTCCAATTCTGCAAAGAAAGTCAATGGTAGCTTGATGGGGATAGCATTGAATCTATAAATTACTTTGGGCAGTATGGCCATTTTCACGATATTAAGTTTAACATCTCAATGCATTTGACAATTGCATGCATTCATGTACCCCACATATTTACTGAGATAAAAAATATTTTCATCAACCCAAGAAGTTCCTTCTTTATATATATACAAAGAGATTTAATTGGCTCACAGTTCTGTAGGCTGTGCAAGCATGGAAACACATTGCTTGGCTTCTGGGAAGGTATAAGGGAGCTTTTATTCACGGCGGAAGGTGGAGTGGGACCAGACACATCACATGGCAAAAGCAGGAGCAAGAGAGAGTTTGAGGAATGTGCCCACACTTTTAAACAACCAGATCTTACAATAATTCACTCACTATCATGAGGAGAGCACGAAGGGGATGGTGTTAAACCACTTATGAGAAATCCACCCCCATGATCCAATCACTTCCCATGAGGCCTCACCTGCAATACTAGGGATTACAATTCAACATAAGATCTGGGGGGAGACACATATCCAAACTATATTGTAGGGATAACTTAATGCTATTCCCAGTCACTCTCTACTCCACCTGCAGAAACTACTACTATTCTGATTTCTTATACCAGATTTAGTTGTTATGAAATTTCATATAAATAGAATGATATGATTTATACTTTTCGTGTCTGTTGATATGGTTTGGCTCTGTGTCCCCACCCAGATCTCATGTTGAATTGTAATTCCCAGTGTTGAAGGAGGGGCCTGGTGAGAAATTATTGAATTATGGGGATGGATGTCCCCTTACTGTTCTTGTGATAGAGTTCTCAGGAAATCTGGATTTTTGAAAACATGTAGCACCTCCCCCTTCACACCCTCTCTGCCGTGTTGCTATGTGAAGAAGGTGCTTGCTTCCCCTTCCCCTTCTGTCATGATTGTAAATTTCCTGAGGCCTCTCAGTCATGCTTCCAGTTAAGCCTGCAGAACTGTGAGTCAATTAAACCTCTTTTCTTCATAAATTACCCAGTCTCAGGGAGATCTTTATAGCAGTGTGAGAACAGACTAATGTATCTGCTTTATGGTTTTATAATTGATTCTATATCATTTCACATTTACATATTATTTCATTGTAATATTTTTACTTTTCATAAAATTAATTTATTTGTCATTTATGATTTTTGATTCTTAAAAATTTTGCCTATCCAAAAGCCAGAAAGATGTATTTTTCACTTTATTTCTTGATGTTTTATAATTATAACTTTAATGCTTAGGCCTATGATTTATTTTGAATTATATTTTGTGTATAGTGTGAGGTATGGGTTGAGGTTCTTTTTGTCTTTTTTTTTTAATATTTAGTAGAATCCACCAGGGAATCTATTTCGGCCTAAAGATTTCTTTTGAGAAAGTTTTTAATAATTATACAATCATATTATAAATATGAAGTTATTTCAACTTTTTATTTTTACTTGTGTCAATTTTCCATTTGTTCATTTCATCTAAATTGTCAAATTTATTAGCATAAATTTCACATAATAATCTTAAATATTTTATGACTAAAATCACTAGTGGTGTTCCCTTTTTCATTTCTGATGTTTATCTTTTGTGTATTCCCTTTTATTTCTTAATCACTCTAGTCAGCAGTTTATCAAGTTTATTTATGTTTTCAAAAGCACTATTTCATATTTCATTGATTTACTCTATTTTTGTTTTTAGTTCATTGATCTCTACTTTTTTTAATTTTACCTACTTTGATTTTAATTTGCTCTTCTTTCTCTAGCTTCTTAAGGTGGAAGCTTATATCATTGATTTTAAATCTTTGTTTATGATACAACATTTGATAATATAAATTTTCTTTTAATCACTTTTTTATTTGCATCTCACAGATTTTGATATGTGTAAATTATTATTTAGTCCAAAGTATTATTAATTTCACTTGTGATATTATTTTTGACCCATTGATATTTAGAAGTATATTTTTAAATTTCTAAATATTTTGAAATTTTCTAGGTATCTTTATGTTATTGATATTAAACTCAATTCAGTTGTTGTCATAGAGTATATGCTAAGATTACAATTTTTAAATGTATTGCGGCATTTTGTGACTCAGCATATGGTCCATAATGCTGAGTGTTCCATGTACACTTAAAAAGTAATATGAATTCTACAGTTGTAGGATGGATTGTTTTATACATATCAATTAAGTCGATAGCATTAACATTCAGACCTTCTATATCCTTACTGATTTTTTTGCTATATTTTTATTTTAAATACTAGGAGTGTTAAAGTCTCCAATAATTATCCTGGATTTGTCTATTATTCTCTGTAATTCTATTTTTCTTTTTGTGTCATAATTTTGAAGCCCAATTATTAATTCCATCTGTATTTAAGATTGTGGAGTCTTTTTGACGCATTGATCCTTTCATCATATGATAATGTCCCTTTTTGTCTCTGGTAATACTCTCTCTCTCTCTCTCTCTCTCTCTCTCTCTCTCAGATGGAGGTTTTCTCTGTAACCCAGGCTGGAGTTCAGTGGCACAATCATAGCTCACTAAAGCCTCAAACTCCCGGCCTCAAATAATCCTCCTGCCTCAGCCTCCAAATGTGTTCCCAGACAGAACCAGGTCCATATGCGTATTCTTGTGGCCCAATAACTAGATGCAGATGAACTGGGAAAGAAGAGAGTTTACTTCTGTAATTAGATAAAGGGAGAATGTTGGAGATAATTTTCCAGACCAACTCAGGGTGCTAAAGTTCTTCCAGTGCTTATATATGTTTGGATTATATGCCTATGTGTAGTATCATATTTGCCTAAATCTATAGGTTATTAATTTTTGTTTTAACTAGAAGGGCAGAGGCAAGAAATATCCTCTAAATCTACTTAATCCATGAGAGCCCCAGTACCAGGGTGACTAAGAAATGTCTTCTATTATTATTATTATTATTACTGGAGACAAAGTCTCACTCTGTCACCCAGGCTGGAGTGCAGTGGCATGATCTCAGCTCACTGCAACCTCCACCTCCTGGGTTCAAGTGATTCTCCTGCTTCAGCCTCCTGAGTAGCTGCGACTACAGGTGCATGCCATCATGCCTGGCTAATTTGTGTGTTTTTAGTAGAGACATGCTTTCGCCATGTTGGCCAGGCTGTTCTCGAATTCCTGACCTCAGGTGATCCACCCACCTCACCCTCCCAAAGTGCTGGGATTACAGGCATGTGCCACCACACACAGCCCAGAAATGTCTTCTAAATCTACTTAATGAGGGTCCTGGTACCGAAGTGATTACTTCCATCTTATCCTACCTAGGGTTTGGGTCCAGAAAGTTGTTTCAGACCCAAGACAGGTTTTGGTATGAGGCCTGTAAGGCTGTGTTTGTTACCTTGACTCACCTCAGGTTTTGTTGACCCAAGATGGGTCCTGGTACAAAGAACGTAAGGCTGTCTCCACTGTCTTGACTTGCTGCAGTTTTCAGGAGAAGCCTGAGCAAGGCTCTTACAGAACATATGTTTCCTTTCTGACTTTAATGTCTGGGCATCAATTTTCCTAGGTTTAATTATTAACTTAATGTTAAAGCAAAAGATTTGGAAATTTGTCTGTATAATTGGAGCGCTATGGAGGTCTGTCTGTGTGACTGTCAAGGAGAATTGGCCTGCCACAAAAATGCTGGCATTACAGGTATAAGCTACATAGTTGTCTTAAAGTTTACTTTAATATTATTTATATGGTCACTCCAGCTTTCTTAGAGTTAGTTTTTTTTATACTTTTTGAAATTCTGTTACTTTTAAACTGTCAGTAAAATTTTACTTAAATGCACCTCTTTAATGCACTGAATAATCATTTCTTGCTTTTAATCAAATTCAGTATTTGGTTCACAGTTTCCCAATTCTCTGTTGCTCTGTGCCAGGCCTCTAAAAGTATCGCCCTATGAATGCATGGCTTGAATATTTGGTGCTCTTTTATGATTCCCTGCCTTGCAAACTACAGCCACAACTGCAACCTCAGTCTTTAATCATTGCCTCCTGAGCTCAGTGAGACTGCTATACTCTGTTTGTGATTCACTTCCCTGCCCCATTGTCCAGAAAGTGCTTCTAAGCAGAGAATCAAGGAGTTATCTGTGGTTCACCTCATTTGTCTTTGTTCTCTCAGATATCATAATTCCACAGTGACTTCTGTCCCATAATCAACAGTTACTGTTCATGCTGTCTCTATAATCATTACTTTATGATTGGGGCAAGCAAATATTGTAAGCTGCAATTTTAGTAAATACTTTCCTTGTATACATTTAACACTTTACCTGTGAACATTCACAACCAGGTGAAGGTATGATAGAGCCCAAAGCTTATTCTGTTTAAAGTGGGGTCTCTTTAATATAAATGAGTACAAAATTAAGGTCAGGTTTACATGAGAATATTTATCTAGAGAAAATAAATCTCTGCAAATCACACTTTATAAAAATTGATGAATAAAACAAATATTACAAAAAGCAGAAAATAACCTATTGATTTTATTAATTAACTGCCTATCTGTCAGTAATACTTTTTTATCCTAAATTTTTCACCACAGTCTTCTTGATTGTCTCTTTACAGATCAGTAATTGTATGTAATAATTTGCTTTAACAGGAAAGGCATCGTTGATTGAATTTTTTATTATTAATAATTTAGAATAATTTATTTTCACTTTACAACTTCTAGTTGGTATTTTTATTTAAAAATTTCAGATTGTAGTCACATTTTGAAACAAAATCATAGATTTTTTAAAAATATATGAAGTATAATATTTCTGGGAATTTCCAGTTTTTTAATGCAGTGACTAATGCCATCAGATTACCAATAATTTTATAATAATTATAAATTTTTTTCTAATATGTATATTCACTTTCTATGTTTAAATGCATAAACAAATAATAAAAGAGCCTATTCATTTTAGCTCTTCAGAGTTTCTCCTTCCTTTTATTAAACTGTTGTCTTTGGTATTATATGACATTTTACTGAAAATTTTTTTAGAAGTCACAATAATTTCTCACTATTCCATCCTTTGATTTTATCACTTTGTTTTAGATTCAACTATCAACCATTTTTTACTTAGTTTTCTTGAAATTCTTTTGAATAAAAGAAGATAACTTTTATATACATAAAAATAAGAAGCTTGTAATATAAACATAAGCTTATAATGTCAGATATGTTTTCAAAAGGTTCTAAAACATATGTGTAACTCATAGTCTAAAATGATGTATTTGAATTGTATCAACTTTTTGAATAAATTGTTTGCATTCCATTTATGTATAGGCTTCTCTTCCATGTGTTGAAATATCCTTTAGAGTCTTCAAAATTTTGTTGTAGCAATGTTACAGGACTTGCACAGTTTTACAATTTACAGATCATCCCATTACACCTATTATCTTTAAAGAAGTTGGCATGAATATACAATATTTGAAATGGAAAAGCTATTACTTTTGTAAAATGCCAAAAATTGTCAATAACCTCAGGTACTGTGGATGCAGTCTTTTAAAAATCTGATTAGAATAAGAGAATAAGCAGCCTATTACATATGTTGTCTCCTTTTTTATAGGTGGATAGCTCTTTGTTCACCCCATTCAGTCATATGACTGACCACAAATGTTGTCACAAGACACTTTGCAATCATGCCAGATTTTACTTGTTGAAACAATCACTAATAAATAATTTTTAGTTGGCAAGAAATGTAAGAATTGTTCAGAGGGTTTTGCATGATAACAGTAGCACACAATAAGGCTCAACTAATTAGTCTGTGGTAGTTATATCCAAAGTAAACATTGTAATAATGAGCAGTGTGTAGTGTCTGATTTGTTAGATTTATAGCTTCATTTTGTCCATGCTTTCCAATTATTTTGTTTAATTTTGCATAAACTCTTTTGGATAAATCACATTTTTATCTGAAATTTTTTAAAGTACTTGTGCAAAATATGGATGAAATTCAACCATTATTATACCATTTCTATTATTTGACAAATCTCTTTTCATCAAGACCTCTGAAAAGTAAACCTCATTCACTTAAAAACTTAACCACAACTACTCCTTTTAGTACTTTGAAATAGAACTGAATGTTCTGTCTTGTCTGTTTAAGATACTGGTCTGGTGAATTTTCATTTGTTTTTCAAAATTAAAGTAATTACGCTTGCTTTGATCCTGTCTTCATGACTTTTAAGAGCTCTTAACGTATTCATTCGGTCTGAAGATTGATCTAACTTAAATACGGTCTGTCTTGTTTTTAAACAGTTGTAAACAGTTGATAAGCACAAATATAAGCAAGCTTTAGAATTGGTATAGAATAGTAAGGATGTTGTAAGAGTGAAATATTTTCATATTTTTTCAAACATCTGTTTAATAATCATCTCTTTTTCCATTATATATTCTATTTGATAATCTATAAATATTCCTAGGTCAATGATCATAAGTAAACAATCTGTTATTTATTAAACAGTGATTATAATTATAGCTCATTTTAATGTTTATTGAAGATGATAGGACTTATCAAAGTCAACAAATTTATCTAAACAAAACCACTGTTCTTAATGCCCTGTTTTGACCACAAAAATTGTGCATTGCTTTTCTGTTATTCTCATCTCCCTTTGTTTCTTCCTGCCTGCAATCTTCCCCCAACAACCCACCCACATTTTGCTGTGTCCTCATTCTCACAACTTCCTTTATCAACTCTGTTGTCATTTATATTAGTTGTACTTTTTTGCAATTGTGATTCTTTCCATTATTTTCATAATTTTTTAACATTATGCATTTCAGTTTCCATATTGAAATAGTTTCCGACATTTTTTAACTTCTGCATCCATATTTTGTTGGAAATGGGGGGGATAGGTGTTTGTTTTCAGCTTCTACCAGAACAGTTTTGATATAATCAATCATTCTGAAAGAATATACAAAATTATTCTGAATTTAAAACACATGCAAGGGCAATCTTAATGCAAATTAAACTGCTGCTGCATGTATTAAACTACATATATGTGTAGTCAAATTACTTATACACTATTTACATTCACTTGTTGACTAATACACAAAGTTTTGTCTAATTGAAACAGTTGTTTTTTTGTGTCTCGTTGATCTGTCCAATGTTGACAGTGGGGTGTTAAAGTCTCCCATTATTATTGTGTGGGAGTCTAAGTCTCTTTGTAGGTCACTAAGGACTTGCTTTATGAATCTGGGTGCTCCTGTATTGGGTGCATATATATTTAGGATAGTTAGCTCTTCTTGTTGAATTGATCCCTTTACCATTAGGTAATGGCCTTCTTTGTCTCTTTTGATCTTTGTTTGTTTAAAGTCTGTTTTACCCAAGACTAGGATTGCAACCCCTGCCTTTTTTTGTTTTCCATTTGCTTGGTAGATCTTCCTCCATGCCTTTATTTTGAGCCTATTTGTGTCTCTGCATGTGAGATGGGTTTCCTGAATACAGCACACTGATGGGTCTTGACTCTTTATCCAATTTGCCAGTCTGTGTATTTTAATTGGAGCATTTAGCCCATTTACATTTAAAGTTAGTATTGTTATGTGTGAATTTGATCCTGTCGTTATGATGGTAGCTGGTTATTTTGCTCGTTAGTTGATGCAGTTTCTTCCTAGCCTTGATGGTCTTTACAATTTGGCATGTTTTTGCAGTGGCTGGTACTGGTTGTTCCTTTCCATGTTTAGTGCTTCCTTCAGAAGCTCTTTTAGGGCAGGCCTGGTGGTGACAAAATCTCTCAGCATTTGCTTGTCTGTAAAGTATTTTATTTCTTCTTCACTTATGAAGCTTAGTTTGGCTGGATAGGAAATTCTGGGTTGAAAATTCTTTTCTTTAAGACTGTTGAATATTGGCCCCCACTCTCTTCTGGCTTGTAGAGTTTCTGCCGAGAGATCAGCTGTTAGTCTGATGGGCTTCCTTTTGTGGGTAACCCGACCTTTCTCTCTGGCTGCCCTTAACATTTTTTCCTTCATTTCAACTGTGGTGAATCTGACAATTCTGTGTCTTGGAGTTGCTCTTCTCGAGAAGTATGTTTGTGGCATTCTCTGTATTTCCTGAATTTGAAAGTTGGCCTGCCTTGCTAGATTGGGGAAGTTCTCCTGGATAATACCCTGCAGAGTGTTTTCCAACTTGGTTCCATTCTCCCCGTCACTTTCAGGTACACCTATCAGATGCAGATTTGGTCTTTTCACATAGTCCCACATTTCTTGGAGGCTTTGTTCGTTTCTCTTTATTCTTTCTTCTCTGAACTTCTCTTCTCGCTTCATTTCATTCATTTCGTCTTCCATCGCTGATACCCTTTCTTCCAGTTGATCGCATCGGTTACTGAGGCTTGGGCATTCATCACGTAGTTCTTGTGCCATGGTTTTCAGCTCCATCAGGTCCTTTAAGGACTTCTCTGCACTGGTTATTCTAGTTAGCCATTCGTCTAATTTTTTTTCAAAGTTTTTAACTTCTTTGCCATTGGTTTGAACTTCCTCCTTTAGCTTGGAGTAGTTTGATCTTCTGAAGCCTTCCTCTCTCAACTCGTCAAAGTCATTCTCCATCCAGCTTTGTTCCATTGCTGGTGAGGAGCTGTGTTCTTTTGGGGGAGGTGAGGCGCTCTGATTTTTAGAGTTTCCGGTTTTTCTGCTCTGTTTTTTCCCCATCTTTGTGGTTTTATCTACCTTTGGTCTTTGATAATGGTGACCTACAGATGGGTTTTTGGTGTGGATGTCCTTTCTGTTTGTTAGTTTTCCTTCTAACAGTCAGGACCCTCAGCTGCAGGTCTGTTGGGATTTACTGGAGGTCCACTCCAGACCCTGTGTGCCTGGGTATCAGCAGCGGTGGCTGCAGAACAGCAGATATTGGTGAACCCCAAATGCTGCTGCCTGATCGTTCCTCTGGAAGTTTTGTCTCAGAGGAGTACCTGGCCGTGTGAGGTGTCAGTCCACCCCTACTGGGGGGTGCCTCCCAGTTAGGCTACTGAGGAGTCAGGGACCCACTTGAGGAGGCAGTCTGCCTGTTCTCAGATCTCAAGCTGCATGCTGGGAGAACCTCTACTCTTTTTAAAGCTGTTAGACAGGGACATTTAAGTCTTCAGAGGTTATTGCTGTCTTTTGTTTGTCTGTGCTCGGCCCCCAGAGGTGGAGCCTACAGAGGCAGGCAGGCAGGCCTCCTTGAGCTGTGGTGGGCTCCACCCAGTTCGAGCTTCCCAGCTGCTTTGTTTACCTACTTAAGCCTGAGCAATGGCGGGCACCCCTCCCCCAGCCTTGCTGCTGCCTTGCAGCTTGATCTCAGACTGCTGTGCTAGCAATGAGTGAGGCCCTGTGGGCGTAGGTCCCTCCGAGCCAGGTGCGGGATATAATCACCTGGTGTGCCATTTGTTAAGCCCATTGGAAAAGCACAGTATTAGGGTGGCATTGACCCGATTTTTCCAGGTGCTGTCTATCACCCCTTTCTTTGACTAGGAAAGGGAATTCCCTGACCCCTTGCACTTCCTGGGTGAGATGATGCCTTGCCCTGCTTGGGCTCACACAGGGTGCACTGCACCCACTTTCCTGCACCCACTGTCCAGCACTCCCCAGTGAGATGAACCCGGTACCTCAGTTGGAAATGCAGAAATCACCCGTCTTCTGTGTCGCTCACGCAGGGAGCTGTAGGCTGGAGCTGTTCCTATTCAGTCATCTTGGCTCCACCCGCTTAATTTTAAGAAGTAGTCCAAAGAACTTGATGGTAGGCTAAATAACTTGATGGTAGGCTAACTGTGGATATAAGGGAAAGGGAGAGAGAAATAAAGGATAATCAGTAACCCCTAGGTATTTATTCTAAGCAACCATGTGATTAGTGTTGAAGTCAAAATGAGGAAGATATGGCAATAAGTGGATTTGGAATCAGAGGGAGGGTTGTATAAGACAAGAATCAAAATGCTATTACCCACACATAAAGAGATGTTGGGTAAGAAATTGCATGGAGGAGTCTGGTGTTCAGAGAATTAAGACTGTGTAATATTTAGGTGTCTTTACCAGAGAGATGATATTTCAGTGTTTGTGTGGTCCTTGACCTCAAATTTCTATCACAATTAGGGCATTTATGTCATTTATTTGGGACATTTCTCTAAGTAATTCCTAGGCATGTTACTGTTTCACATGTATGGGACTTGGCCTCTTCAACTCTATCACCTCTGGGCTGTTTCCACAAAATATCCTCAATGTTTCTCACAAATAAGTATCACTCCCGCCCTCCCTTCCAAATTCCCAATTGGCTTCTCCCTTGTAAGGTCTTAGTTCTTTGAGAAGGATGGCAAAGAGGGTGTAATTGTTGGTTAGACATCCATGTTTCAATTCCACTATACAAAAAGTTTATCAAAAAAGTAAACTCTACTTGAGGTTGTGATTGGAATTTAATTATGGGAAAAAATAAGCAATTACAAATAATAAAAATACTTTGTTTTAGTGAAGTTTTTTATTTCAAAAGTTAATTGGCATGGCAATTTTCCAAAATAATATTGTTTGGATGTCACTGCTAGATACTTAAATATCTTATAATGCACAAATATTAAAGCAAGTTGAGACTACTAAAATAAAACAGTAAGCAAAACAAAACAATAAAATAACAAACCAAGGCACAGTTCCTAATATATGGGAAAAGTTAACATCCTCCAAGGACCACTCTTCAAATTAGAGAATGATGTAAATTTTATTAACAAATAGTGTTTGCACATGAGGTTAACTAATTGGGAAAAATAATTTGAGTTCTACATTATGAAATACAATAAAATGTTTAGTTAAAATATTAATTATAAACAAATTAGCTTATATTAGGTGAATATAAACTGATTTCATATTAGGAATGACTTATTCCAATAAAGCTTCAATAGCCATATCAAAAAAGGGTTAGATTTGAATCCACAAAAATAAAAATAATTTTATACAAAAATACCTCAGATACAACTTAAAGTAAAATGAAAACTGATAAGAACAATTAGCTAATTCTGTAACAAATGAGAAGTTAATATATTTAATTTAAAACAAAAATTAAGAATCAGTGCAAAAAATACACTATAGTGTGTTTTTATTTCAAAGGGCAAAGAAATGATGAGAAAGTTCACAGAAGAAATAAGCAAAAATATTTTCCAGTTTTACAAAGAAAGGTCCACAGTCCCCTTTGTCACTAATCAAATGAAAAATTCATTTATAAAAAGCTACAGTCTTTTCATTAAAAATTGGTAAATTATTCCATGCATTAATTTCTTGGACACCTATTTTTGGGATATCTACTTTGTGCTGGATGCTGCTAAGTGCTGAAACCTTTAAAAGTACGTACATTTTTTACAATCCAAGAAAATACTAACTCAAACTCTCAGTGGGAGTTTAGATTAATACAACATTTTTAGAAGGCAATCTGCAAATATTTTTAATATTTGCATATGGTTTGACCCATCATGCTTACAGAAAAAAATCATTGGACTATTTTGCAAAGGTAAATGTGCATCAATGTTTTCTTGGTTCTGTGTGTAATATCAAATGAATTGGTAGTGGTTAAGAATAGAGGATTGGTTAAATAAATTATGAGATATTCAAATAATTGAAACTATATAGCTACTAATTGAATGAATGATAAAATTATAGTAATTTTAACATCTTTTAAAAATTAATTATGTAACATAAGTACATTTCTTCAATTTTTTTAAATACAGAAAAATGTGGTGCTGATTACATGCATCTACACGTGTGATGACACAGAACTAGAAATACATTTGTGCCAATGTCAAATTCCTGGCTTTGATACTATAGTAGAGATAGCACAAAATATAACATTACCATTTGGAGAAAGTGTGAGAAGGGAACATGGGAATTCCCTGTACTATCTTTATAATTTCTTGTTAACATAATTATTTCAAAATAAAAATTTAAAAATATATAGAAAAACATGAGAAATCAAAGACCTATTTCTCCACTATCATTCTGATTTACAGCTACATCTTTCAATCTTCCCCTATTCCCAGAGACAATCAATGTTACTTTGGTATTCATCTTTCCAAACATCTAAAAATATTTTAAAATAAATATAAGGTCTATAGATCAAAACAGAGCTCAGTATATAAAAATTGGAAAAAAAAGAAACTATGTTTAGATTGCTTTGATTTTCTATAAACCAAAAAACAAATATGCAAAGATACATGACAAAATCAAGGTTACAAGGGAGCAAGTAAACATAGTTTTCTAATTGCCAAGACCAGCTCAGTCAGGGAGACTCTAACCCAGCATCACTATAGGAATTAAAGGCACACACACAGAAATATAGAGGTGTGGAGTGGAAAATCAGGGGTCTCACAGCCTTCAGAGCTGAAAGCCTCGAACAGAGATTTACCCATGTATTTATTAGCAGCAAGCCAGGGATAAGCATTGTTTCTATAGATTATAGGTTAACTGAAAGTATTCCTTATGGGAAACAAAGGGATGGGCCGAAATAAAGGGATGGGTTTGGCTTGTTATCTGCAGCAGGAGCATGTCCTTAAGGCACAGATAGCTCATGCTATTGTTTGTGGTTTAAGAACGCCTTTAAGAGGTTTTCCGCCCTGGGTGGGCCAGGTGTTCCTTGCCCTCATTCCCATAAACCCACAACCTTCCAGCATGGGCATCATGACCATCACAAACATGTCACAGTGCTGCAGAGATTTTGTTTATGACCAGTTTTGGGGCCAGTTTATGGCCAGATTTTGTGTGTGGGGAGGTCTGTTCCCAACATGTCCCCCTTATTTGATTTGCAAAGCGATAAAAGCAAAGGCAGCTTTGTCACAGTGAGCTACTTCTTGCAGGAGTCAGGATCTGCATCTGCAGACTATACAAAGACAAACAATACAGGTTAAAAGTGCAATCATCATTGAAATCACAGAGCTTCAAAGTGTTTTTATCCATTTTAGTAGGTTACTAGCTGCTAATCTGTCTGCAGCTCCTTCAAGCACTCCAGTTCCTGGCATTAAGTTCAGGTGTGCATGGGATGCTTTAAATATTTGTTCTCAAATTTTGATCTTATTAAGAGTCATTAATAGTTTCCACAAGTCCTTATGTTTAGCTCCGACAACAGGCCATATCATTTGAGGTTGCTATGCCACTATACCACCATGTTTCCAGATAATAGGAACTCTTGCCGTACTTATCATTTCTACCATCTGACCATTTTGTTCAGACCATCTGAACATAGTGTGGCTGTGGCATGCAGACTGACAGGTTCAATCTAAGCTAAACATCCCCTTAGGGGACCAATTAATAATGATTCCATAGGAATTGTTGCACAGCACCTCTGCCTGTTCTGCAATGCAATCTTCCTAAACAAGTATGTTCATTTTTTCTGGCCAGGTTCAATTTTGTTTACAAATAGGTTTCTGAGGGCAGTGTGCTTCAATTATAGGAGCAGATTTATTATGGTAAATACTGAGGCCAGAAAGCATGTGTAACTGTGTCATAGAGTGATTACATCCAGGCATTATTGCCAGCCAAGATTGATAAATATGCCCAATAAGTATATTTGCTCTCTGTGTGAGCCCTTATTGAAGGAATATTCATGGCAATGATGATCACCACTACCATAGCTACCATTAAATTACTCATTGTGACTGGTTGTCTTGATTTCCTCAGGTTTTCTTCCACCATCTGTGACCACTTCTTAATCTGTCCCCAGGTGGGTAGCTCTGTTCAACGGGTGTTGCTTGTGACAGTTGGGGTCCTCCTCAGCATCAGTCATGACATGGCTGCAACCATGGGGTCCTTGGGATCCTCCCAGAATCTCTTCTTTGGCATCTGGCTCATGATAAGGTTTCAGGTGTCTTGATGGTATCCAAATTGGCTGTTGATTTTGGCCTGGAGAAACACAAGCATAGCCTCTATCCCAAGTTATTATTTTACCTATTTCCCAACTTTTTGTTATCAGATCTCTGCACCGAACCAGTTGTTCTGCTTCTGTCTTTGCAGCTGGTTTCTGTAGATGCTGTTCAGATGCTGATAACATCTGGCCTTTGGGCAGGCTCAAAAAATTTAAAGTTAATAATGCTAGATTCAGTTGCATCTGTGGTGTTCCATATTCTCTATTTCCCTCTGCTTTTGCAATTGCTGTTTTAGGGAGAGATTCATTCTTTCCACTATGGCTTGTCCTTGAGAATTGTATGGGATACCAGTAATGTATTTAATATTCCACATAGAGAAAAATGCAGTTAGAGCTTGGCTAGTATAGCCTGGGGCATTATCTGTTTTTTTTAATAGAAGCTGGAATGCCCATCACCACAAAACACTGCAAAAGGTGACATTTAAAACAGGCAGAAGACTCTCCTGATTGGCATGTGGCCCAGACAAAGTGAGAAAAGGTGTCCACACATACATGTACATAAGCTAGTCTCCCAAATGAGGGAACATGTGTGACATGCATTTGCCAAAGAGAATTAAGTTCCAATCCTTGAGGATTAACTCCTCCTGTAAAAGATGAGGAATGTACCATTTGGCAAGTTGGGCATCACTGGATAATAGCTTTAGCTTCTTTCCAGGTAATACTGGATCTGCGTTTGAGACCAGAGGCATTAACATGGGTTAAATTGTGAAAGTGTCTAGCATTAGATATTGCATTAGCAAATAGGTGATCAGCCATTTGATTCCCTTCAGTCAAAGGTCCTGGAAGAGGTGTATGAGCCCTAATGTGAGTGATGTAAAAAGGATGCATTCTACTCCTAACTGCTGTTTGCAATTGGGTAAATAAAGTCATCAGTTGTTTATCTGTATGAAATTGTAACTGAGGATTTTCATTTAACTGTATGGAACGAACCACATATGAAGAATCAGAAATCACATTAATAGGCATATCAAAAGCAATCAATACCTCAATTATAGCTACAAGCTCTGCTTTTTGAGCTGAAGTATAGGGCATCTGGAAAACTTTACTTTTCGATCCAGAATAAGAAGCTTTACCATTACTAGACCCATCTGTAAAAACATTCTCAGCACATGCAATTGGTTTAAATTTAGTTATTTTAGGGAGAATCCAATTAGCTAATTTCAAAAACTGAAACACTTTCATTTTAGGAAAATGATTATCGAGAATACTCACAAAGTCAGCTAAATGGGTTTGCCAAGTAAGACTATTTATAAAAGCTTGCTGTATTTGTGCCTGCGTGAGAGGGACAATAATTTTTCCAGGATCATATCCATGTAACTTAACAATCTGAGTTCTCCTATTTCCTATCATAGTAGCAATTTGATCTAAATAAGGAGTTAGAGTCTGTGAATTAGTATGTAGAAGAAAAAGCCACTCTACTAAGTCCTGTTCTTGGACAATAACACCAGTAGGTGAATGCTGAGTTGAAAAAATTAGCAAATCTAGAGTCTTCTCTGGATCCATTCTATTTATTTGAGCTTTATGGACTTGCTTTTCAATTAATTGTAACTCTGCCTTAGCTTCCTTTGTTAAATTGCCAAGGGCTAGTGAGACTAGGATTTCCTCTAAGGATAGAAAACAGATTACTCATGGCATAGGTAGGAATGCCTAGAGCAGGTCGTATCCAATTAATGTCCCCTAGTAATTTTTGAAAGTCATTTAAAGTTTTCAATTGATCCCTATGTATTGCTACTTTCTGTGGCACAATGGTAGTGTCATTTACTAAGGTCTCTAAGTAGGAGTAAGGAGTAGTAGTCTGAATTTTGTCAGGAGCTATAATTAAACCAGCATGAGAAATCGAATATTGCAAGTGATCATAACATTGGAGTAATATTTCTCGAGTGGGGGCAGCACAAATTATATCATCCATATAATGAAAAATGTAACACTGTGAAAAAATTTTACTTGTAGGTTCAATTGCTTGCCCTGCATACATCTGCCAACTTGTTGGACTGTTTAACATGCCTGTGGCAACACTTCCCAGTGAAAACTCTTAGCAGGCTGCAGGTTGTTTACTGCAGGAATTGTAAATGCAAACCTTTCACAGTCTTGCTCAGCTAAGAGGATAGTAAAGAAACAGTCTTTTAAATCTATGCCTATTAAAGGCCGGTTTTTTGGAATTAAAGCAGGAGAAGGCAATTCTGGCTGTAATGCTCCCATAGATTGTATGACTGAATTGATGGCTCTTAAGTCAGTTATCATTTCCATTTACCTGATTTTTTTTTTATTACAAAAACTGGAGAATTCCAAGGGGAAAATGCTGGAGCTATGTGCCCATTTTCTAATTGTTCAGTAACTAATTCCTCTAAAGCCTCCAGTTTCTCTTTACTTAGCGGCCATTGTTCTATCCAAATTGGCTTATCTGTTAACCATTTTAAAGGTATAGCTTCTGGAGGCTTAACAATGGCCACCATCAAAAATGATATCCTAATCTTTGGTGGGAACTTTGTCTTTCTGCTTGAAGCGGTTCTTTCAAACCTTGCAAATTTTTTTCTAGTCCCATACCAGGGACATGGCCCATTTCATGCATCATATGTTGACTTTAAGGGCTATATAATTGTTCTGGAATTAGAACTTGTGCTCCCCTTTGTTGTAATAAATCTCTCCCTCATAAATTTATAGGTAAAGAAGTTGTAATTGGTTGAATAGTTCCAGGTTGTCCATCAGGCCCTTCACAATGCAAAATGTAACTACTTTGATATGCTTCAGGGGCTTTACCAACTCCAACTATGTTAAATTGAGTGGATTGAATTGGCCACATGGACGGCCAGAGCTGTAAAGAAATGACTCAAATGTCCACTCCTGTATCTACCAAACCTTTAAATTTCTTTCCCTGAATAGTTATTTCATAGGTAAGACATTTATCAGAAATTTGATTTACCCAATAAGCTGCTTTGCCTTGTTTATTTGTGCTTTCAAGCCCTCCTGTTCATTTAATTTCACTTTTTCCCATTCCCACATCCGGCACAATCAGGAGCTGTGCTATGTGCTCTCCTGGCTCTACTTTCCAGGGAACAGAAGTAGATATAAGAACTTGAATTTCCCCATTGTAATCTGAGTCAATGACTCCTGTATGTATTTGTACCCCTTTTAAATTTAAACTAGACTTCCTAGAAGTAATCCTATCGTCCCTGCTGGCAAGGGTCCACAGACTCCTGTTGGGACCTTTGGCAGGGGTTCCCCAGGCAGAAGGCTCACAGCTTTCATGCAGAATAAATCTACTGTGGCACTACCGGCTGTGGTGGGGGACAGACCTTGTACAGGAGTGAGGGAATGACCTGAGTTGGAAATGCCCCTGTTTGGAATGGGGCCCAGGACAGGCCCCAAATGGCATTTCCCAAAATTGGGTTCCCATCTTTATCAACTTAGAGTGACACTGATTAGCCCAATGTTTTCCTTTTTTACATATTGGACATATTTCAGGCTCAGCAGTTTTCTTTTTTCCCCTATCTGGCAGCCTGACTTGCTGATTTTTTCTACATTATTTTTTAGTATGACCATGCTTCCAGTTAAAACAAGCTCCAGGAAACAGAGTATTTCCTTTAGCCACTCTCAGTCCTGCCATTGCCTATGCTAGCAGAGTAGCCTTATGCAGATTACCTCTGATACCATCACAGGCCTTGATATAATCAACTGAATGTGCTTTCCCTCTAATAGGTCTCAGAGCAGCCTGGCAATCGGAATTAGTATTGTCAAAAGCTAATAACCGCAATGCTATATCCTGAGCGGCCAAATCTGCAATCACCTTTTTAAGAGACTCCTGTAACCGAGCTATAAAATCCATGTACGGTTCTTTTGGACTCTGTTTTACAGCTCTGAAGGAAGGGTATCGCTCTCCACCTGAAGTGATTTTTTCCCAAGCTCTAATGCATACTCCTTTAAGCTGTACTATGGCATCATCCTGCATGACCACTTGTGCATCTAAACCAGCCCAGCTGCCAACCCCCAAAAGTTGGTCTGCAGTTATATTAATTTGATGTTGGGCCTGGGCATTGCGAGCAGCCTGAATGGAAGCTTCATCTGCCCACCAAGTTTTAAATTGTAAGAACTGAGTTAGGCAAGCTCGAGTAAGAGCGTCCCAATGAGTAGGAATCATCTGACTGGAAACAGCAACATTCTTTAGCAGTCCCATTACAAAAGGAGAACCTGGTCCATACTGATTAACAGCTTGTTTAAATTCCTTGAGTAATTTAAAAGGAAAAGGCTCAAATATAGCTAAAATATTTCCCTGTTGATCTGGGGGAGGTATATTCTAGCAGGGAACTGCCAAGCCTCTATATCACCCTCTCTTATAGCTTGCTGAATTCCTGCCTGAATAGAACTGAGAGAAGTTGCTGGAAGAGCTGCTTGAACAGTCACTGGGGCAACTACTTTTCACCCAGTATCCTCTGGAAAAGAAAGATCTGGAGGGTCAGTCCACTCTTTTTCTTCAAAATAATAATGAGGGGGTGCAGAAGGGTAGGGATGAACCTCTCCCTCCTTTGCCACTTTAGCTTTAGCTGGCAAACAAACCAGCTCTGTAACCTCTTCTGTTACTTTGTTATGCTCTCCTTTCTCCTCATCACCAGTGTGAAAAAGTTCCAAGGTGGAATGAACCAGAGTCCACGCTTGTCCCATTGTTACCCTGATGCATCCAAACTCCCCTTCTTACTCACCATAGGGATTGCTTTAAGAGTGCTTGGGTGTCCTCTGGCTTAGTTCCACATTCTCCAACCATTGCTCCAGCGACCCTTTGACCTGGATTCGAGCCCCTACAATGGACGCCACTTGCCGAGACCAGCTCAGTCGGGGAGACCCTAACTCAGTGGTGCTAGAGGAATTAAAGACACACACACACAGAAATATAGAGGTATGGAGTGGGAAATCAGGGGTCTCACAGCCTTCAGAGCTGAGAGCCTTGAACAGAGATTTACCCACATATTTATTGACAGCAAGCCAGGGATAAGCATTGTTTCTATAGATTATAGGTTAACTAAAAGTATTCCTTATGGGAAACAAAGGGATGGGCTGAAATAAAGGGATGGGTTGGGCTAGTTATCTGCAGCAGGAGCATGTCCTTAAGGCACAGATAGCTCATGCTATTGTTTGTGGTTTAAGAACGCCTTTAAGAGGTTTTCCACCCTGGGTGGGCCAGGTGTTCCTTACCCTCATTCCAGTAAACCCACAACCTTCCAGCGTGGGTATCATGGCCATCAAGAACATGTCACAGTGCTGCAGAGATTTTGTTTATGACCAGTTTTGGGGCCAGTTTATGGCCAGATTTTGGGGGTCCTGTTCCCAACACTAATGCACTCCAAGATCCATCTGATGGCAACCTTCCTGGAGAAGCGGAATTGCCCCAAAAGCTTGAAGTTTGGTTTTTAATTATTCTTTTGGAAGTGGTGTTCCAAAGTTCAGAGGAGTGTAGAAAATGGAAATTTTCTGCATTCCACAGAGGAGGCTAGAAGCAGCCAAGTCACATGTGTGACTCTTCCACCAGTTGTAACATATAAAGTAATTCTCCCCTGTGACAAACTACATAGGCTATTATTTTCTTTTGTGCTTCATCATTGGACCTTTATCATGTCTTGGCTTGCCAAAGCATAGTAAACATAAAGTGTGCTTTCTATGCACATTTTCATGTAAATTATATTATACTGTCATTAGTATTTATAAGTTGCTTTTTAAATTCAAAATATGTTAAAGAAATAGACACATTAAAGAAGTAGGTCTAGCTCTTTCCTTTTAAGTGTTTTGTAGAATTCCAATGTAGGACTATAGGTATAATTTATCCATATACTACAAAAGGACTTTCAGGTCATATTCGCTACTCTGGTGTTGTAATTAATGTTGCAATAAAAATATCTCTAAGTAGCTTCCTTTCTCCTCCACTGCTTTGTTTGTCAAGGATATATGTTTAGAAGAGAAAATAGGTCAAGTCAATGCAATTTTTCTTTCAAATAGTACTGTCAAATTGCCTTCTAAAATGCCTGATTCAATTTATATTCTCCCTTTTGTGTGAGTGTACCCCTTTTTCCCATCAGTCCACAAATTTTTGCTTTTATTAATTGTTTGGACTTTGCTAAGTTTAAGGGCATTTCTTTATAATCTGTATTTTCTTAGTTATCTTTTCTTATTTGCTTCCTTATGCTTAAGTCTTAATTTTATTTCTATTTTAGTTTTACATAGTTAAGGTATGAATCTAATTTTATTTTATATTATAATGATAAACCTCTTGACACTTATTGAGCTGCTTTTCTCCCATTAGTTTTGGTATTTTACATTGGTTTTTATTGTTAAAGATACTTAAAATACATTCACATGCACATGCATACACACATATACACACATATGTCTATTTCTGGACTTTTTATTGTGTTAAACTACTTACTTACTTATGCACCAATATCCCACATTATTAATTTTCCATAGGTTTATGATGTACTGCTATCCAGCAGAACAAACCACTCTTCTTTGTTCTTTTTGAAACTTTTTCATTCCCAGTCTTATGCTTTGATATGAATGAATTTTAAAATTACAGACTCCCACAAAATATTGATTGAGACTACAATATAGATGAATTTAAAAAGAACTGATATTTTGGTCCTAACAATACTGAGCTTCTATAAACAGAGTGAAGATTTCCATTTATTCAGTCTTTAAATGTGTTCTTTATTCATATTTTGAAATTTTCTCCATAATGGGACATTAAAATGGTTAGGAATTTTAGGGTGTCCTTTGCTGAGTACTTAAAGAGTTTCTGCGAATGGGGAAGGAATCCTTAAGTATTATAATTATTATTCTTAATACATGTTCTAATTTGCCATTGCTGTCAGGGGGAAAAGTTCTTGATTTTGTTTTTGATCTTCTATCTGGCTACTTTGCTTGATCAAGAAAATTAGCCTTGTTACAAATCAGTTTCTTCTCCTAAATAGCCACTAATAACATGATATTTCTTCCATTGTATGAAAGAGAAAGAGAAATCTGACTTTGCATTATGAATTTGAAGAAATCGAAGCATAGAACGTGAGTTTTAAAAATATTTTGTCTCTCTCATTGTAGCAATCATACAAGTAGGACATCAGAAAACATTAGCTTGTAAATGAAACCCTTCAACACACACAGACGTTCTCACTCTTGAAGTGAGTAGAATGAGAAGAAAATGAGAAACTCTGACTTAATACATAATGCTTCAAGACTTTTCTACAAGGCAGTCCTGTTCCATGTTTGAGGGACAAATTGCCTACATTAAAATCTGATTCCACCATCTATGTCTGAGGGACCTTGGAAAGTTCACTTAACATTTTTATATTTCAGTTCCTTCATATTCAAAATAAGAGTAATAACAATGGTAGAGATTTCTAAGTCTTGTGGTAAGTATTAAATGAATTAACAGAGCTTAAGTCAGCATTGACAGTATTAATGACAGTTAGCTGGTATTCTATTTGAGGCACCTAGAACAGGGTTTTGCGTGTGGTGAAAAACAATTTTAAATGCTTACTTAAAATCAAATTGAAGTGAGACACTATTTCCCAGATTAGCTTCAGGAAAACCAATAACATTCCCATATTGCCTTACTTATTGGAGATAAATGCCATTTTATATAATTAGAACTTCTATTAAAATATTAAATATGAACTTATTCTACCTGACCACTGGCTTGCCCAATAGTTCCATGACACAATTAATATGGGAACAGATGGGTATGACTCTGACTGAATCCCCTCTTTCTCTCTATCAAATTAATTTACAAATGCCTTTGATTCTATCATCTCCAAAGTACATGCAAATGTCTTCTATTTCAGTCTAAGCTACTGTGCTTTCTCACTACGTTAATGGAATGGCCTCCTATGTCATCTCTCTGCCTTTGCTGGATCCATTCAATCCCTTCTCTAAACAATAGATCAAATTGTTTCTGAAAAATAAGAAGTAGCACAGATTACTCTTTGTCTTAAAACTCTTAAGTGAGGTACCCTGTATTTTCAATGAAAAAAGACTCTTGACCATATCCTAAAAGGCTCTTATGCCTTTCAACTCTCCAACAGCAAATTACTTATGGACAGAGAAAAAAAACAAGCACGAAAGCTCTGGGAAAGAATACCTTTGCCCAGCCTCACCAGCTTTCTTTCTCTTTAACAACTTCTTCCCAAATTTTAAATGGGAAGCTCCTCATCTCCTTAGACCCCTGCTTCAATAGTATCCTCAGAGACATCATTCTTGAACCCTCTAATAAATTTCCCACCATTCACCCACAATCGATCTCTGTCATTTATTCCACTCTATTTTAATCATAACACTCATTTTTACCTGTAGTTACCTCATTTATTTATTTTTTTATTGTCTGCCTCTGCCCCATTCTATCCTATATTTCAGAATTAGAATTACATTAAGATTATAGCAAGGACCTTGTTTTTCTTGTTCACCACTGTACTTCAAGCATATGGAAAACTGCCTGCCACATAGTAGATACCCAGTACACATTTGTCAAATATTGGTCAGTATATGAATATAGTATTGCTATTAAATATGAAGCTGCAAGATCTGCTCCTTCTTCAACAGATGCAACTTCAACAGGTATAATTTCAGCCTCTGGAAATTACTGGTTTTGTTAACTTTCACTTTAAAACAGAGTTCTCAAAAACTGAGAAGACATTTTATTTATTTATTTATTTATTTATTTTTATTATACTTTCAGTTTTAGGGTACATGTGCACAACGTGCAGGTTAGTTACATATGTATACATGTGCCATGTTGGTGTGCCGCACCCATTAACTTGTTATTTTATCATTACCTATTTATGGCTGTGCCTGCCTTGTAGGACTCACTTCCATTGGCCAGCTGAGAAATACTGTGGCTTATAATGAAGCAGATATATTCAGCATATATAAACATACATTAGAAATGCCAAAATATCTCTTAATTCTCTTTTAATCTGTATTTCCATATATTATTTTCCCTTACATTTATATTTTGTGGTTGAAATATTCAGGTCACTTTTCCTATGAGGTTTCTCACATTGTAAATTTTGCTCATTGTATTCTTAAATACTAGAATGTTTTAATATATCACTCTACAAGGAAGAGAAAAAAATTCTGCAAATAATTCAAATATCCAACATAAGGAACAAGTTGCATAAACAATTTTACATCTACACAGTGCAGTACCAGGCAGTTGAAAAGAAGTCAGGTATTTCTCTAAATGGTTCTATGTTCTGATCTCTACAATACATTGTTAAATTAAATAGCTAAGTGCAGATTTATATAATGTGCTACTATTTATCTAAAAAATGAAGGCTAACAATATATGTGCCAGTTCCTAATGTTAAAAACATAGATGAATAAGACAAACATTAGTAAGTGGTTTCACATGATGAGAGAAGGAGAATAAGGAAAAAGAGATGGGAAGGTAGAAACTAAATTATTTTGAATAATGTTTTTAAAAATTTTCATAAAAATAAATATTTTATTTAATTGTAAAATATAATGGAATTTTTAAGGAGCAGTCTCTGAAAACTGAAAGTAATATGAAATAAATGAACCTACATAAAGTTAATGGCATAAAATGCACAGAGAAAAACTATTCCAAATCATTACTGTGAAAACCAGAAGATAAATGGGAAATACAAAGTATTTATCTGCTTTTCCTCTAGAAAGTGTACCTCAGGGTAATCAAAATTTGATGAGGACAAATACCTGTTATAAAATCAATTCACCTAACAAAATAATAAAGAGTGATATAATTAGGATACCATGATTTTGTAGTGCCTGGGGAATTAATACATCACAGCAATGATCATCCGTGTCTGCTAACATCACTGAAAGAGAGCAAGCTGGCATTCTGTGCCCCCTTATGGAAGTTCATAATGCCATCTATGAAGTCTTGGAAAGAAAAGGAAAATAGTAACAAAAGAAGAAAAGGAAACTTTAATCTTTTGAAAATGTTTAATGGCAAAATGTGTAGTATTTCAAACTTTACAAATCACCTAAAAGGCCTCACATATATATCAGAGAAATTGTAATATCTGGTGCCTTGTTAAACCTCAAAATAAATTGAATGAATAAGTGAATAAATTTATTGAAGACACTTTGAATTTGGAAAGCTGCTGAAAATCTACTGTCAAAACTCTCAATAGAAATATTAATAGAAATTTTGTTTCCTGGTGAATCCTGTATGCATTTGATAATTGATTCAGAGGAGAAAGACAAAAATATAGTCAATATAATTTAAACAAGACAAAGTATATTTCTAATATGAAAGGAATAGTCAGATCTTAATAATAATTGTGACTCACTATTAAATTCAGCTTGCAAGCTTCTCTTTAAAATAATAATAATAAAAGGTATTTCTAAAGAGATTATTACCAGGTTAAGGTTTGAAAGTCAGCATGAGTCACACAATCCCATGCAGGGGAGAATGAATGTCCTGAACAGGATACAAGCTCTTTGTCAACACAGGAAAAAAAACCTGTCATCTGTATCTTTGTAAAAGCCATCCTGCTGGGCGGTAGATTTGCAATGATAATCCCTTTTGTCCACCCTGTTGGACTCATATGACTCTGATACACATAATACTGCTTCCTACTTAAGTCTATAGCATTGATGATTTTGTGATAATGTTCCAAATTATGACTTAGACATTTTCTAAGAGGCTATCCATAGCACGGACATACACACACACATATCACACTTACTCCCATTTTGTATGTAAGAATCTATTGTCTAAACCAGATTTGTTGAGTTTGCAGACAAAGGAAAAACAGGCATACTTAAGTAAGGAAAAACTGTGTTAAGTAGAACAAAGCATTGATTTTAAGTAAAATTTATTAATAAAGCTTCAATTACCTAATAATATTTAATTGCCTAATAATGTTCATTTGTGTGTTGTAATCACCTTATTATTGACTCAAAAGATTATAAAGGACACAAAACATGCCATCACTTAACTTACCTAAACCTCCATTTCTTTATCAGGGTAATTAGGGAGAACTGAAATTAATAATCTCCAAAATACATCCAATTCTGGAGGGCTCTGAGACTATGACAGCCTTTTCACTTCGTAACCCCATATCACAAGCAATGCCTACGTGTACAATGTGTCTAACTGGCTGTTTATTTGTGCATTTAAGATCATGATTACAAAAATGTTTTAAACATATTTTTTTTCTGAAGAGTCAAAGGCCATGCCTACTATTACTTATAGTTTAAAAAAAAAAATTAAGCCGGGCCTGGTGGCTCAATCCTATAATCCCAGCACTTTGGGAGGCCTAGGTGGGTGCATCACCTGAGGTCAGGAGTTTGAGACCAGCTTGACAAACATGGAGAAACCCTGTCTCTACTAAAAATACAAAATTAGCTGGGCATGGTGGCACATGCCTGTAATCCCAGCTACTCAGGAGGCTGAGGCAGGAGAATCACTTGAACCCAGGAGGCGGAGGTTGAGGTGAGCGAGATCGTGCCATTGCACTCTAGCCTGGGCCACAAGAGAGAAACTCCATCTCAGAAAAAAAAAAAAAAAATCATAGAGATTCTGCCTTGGAAGTTTCATAGAAAGACAGTGATACAGATAAAATCAGATAATTTTCAAAGCTCAGATAAATTAAGCATTACCCCAGAGATAAAGACAAAGTACCCTCTCTGAATAAGGGAAACATTCATGTGGGTTATAACATTTGAACTCAATCTTTAAAGATGAGAAAGGTCTAGCATAATGTGTCCAACATGTCTCCAAACACCTGTCAACATTCCCTAAGAATTAGTACTATAACTTATTAGTCTTTATTTTCCTATACTGGTATCTATTGGGAGCTAAAAATGTTTTTGTAGTTAATTGAGAAGAGAGAAATTCTAAATCATAGAATCTCAACTGAAAAGGACCTAAATATTACACAGAACAAGCTTCAGATGCTGAGAGCAAAATTTCTAAATCAGTCTAAAATTGTTATACACCATAAATTGAAGACATTTTCCAAAATTTCAACATATTAGTTTGTTTTCACATTGCTGATAAAGACATACCCAAGACTGGGCAATTTACAAAAGAAAATGAACTCACAGTTTCACATGGCTGGGGAAGCCTCATAATCATGGTGGAAAGCAAGAAGGAGCCTCACATCTTACATGCATGGCAGCAGGCAATAAAAGAGCTCGTGCAGGGAAACTTCTCCTTATAAAATCATCAGATCACGTGAGACTTACTCACTTTCATGAGAACAGTACAGGAAAGGCCCACCCCCATGATTCAATTATCTCCCACCAGGTCCCTCCCATAACACGTGGGAATTGTGGGAGCTACAATTCAAGATGAGATTTGAGTGGGGATATGGCCAAACCATATCATTCAAGAAACCTTTAAACTTTAGTTTGAATATAACCTTGGTAGCCAGTTCTGGCCATATATCATCTTGATAAGCCATGCATTTCTGCTTGTTAATTGTGGCCTAATTTATTTTAACAATAATTCAACTTCATTTCTTACTTGATTCTTTAAGGAGATAGAAAAACTAGCCACCTTGTTGATAGTAAGCCTTTATGCAATTAAAATAACATTAAACTTAAAATGAACATAGTAGGTATGGAGGTAGGGTATAATTTCAAATATGCAATATATATATATAGAATTTGTTTTTCCCGTAGCATATCCTAATTTCTAAATGGAACTCCTATTCCCCCAATATATTAGAACCTGAAATGGCCATTTTTATAGTTAAAAAAATGTTGAGTTTTTCAAACTAATAAAAACTTAATTATACTCTAAGTTTTTCTCAGTCAATTTGGTCTTTTCTTCACTCTTCTTCCTAGCCTTTCAAAGTTATCTTACCAAACAAAAACATTAAAAATAGAAAACTTGACACAGCCCAGTGGCCAGAGAGAATAGTTACTTTAAAAAGTATCCCAAAACACTTAAAGAGCACGGGTCCTGAAAATGACAGTGAATGCTTTGCAAATTTTGGAAGTGCTTGAGTCATTTTTCCTAATTACTGCCACCATATGATACTCAGTTATTCACAGTGTGAGATAAGATTGAAAGTTTTTTACTATTCCAGGGGGTCGGGGAGAGATCATATGGCACAGGAGGCCATGACTGAGCAGGAGCCGTTGCAGACAGACTCCCCTAAGGTGATATTTTGCAGACAGCGCAAGCATGACTGCAAGCTGTCAGCACCAGGGAGGGGAAGAGGGCACTGTGGTGACAGTCTCACTTTTGCAGCCCACTGGCTGAATGGCCCTCCTTGTCCTCTGTTTTAAGATTCCTACGTGCATTTAAAATTGACAATTTACTTTCAATTCTTTTCTTGCCTCAATCTTTCTTTAGCAGAAAAAAAGATATTCTCCTTTAAACTATGGACTTCAATGTACTAAATGACCCTCTAAAGGAATAACTGTAACTCTATCACACATGCAACAGGAGGGCAACAAACCCCAGAGAGAATCAAAGTGAGAAATACCTATCAATTTTACGGAGCCTTTGTGAGAGAGTTGGTGATTAGATTAAATGACTTTGAAAGGGTCAAATTCAATGGAAGAGCTCATTACTTCTATTATTGGTGGAGCTGGTAAGGGTCATGTCCATTATGCAAGGGCAGGAGAGACAGGGGAAAAAAATCCCCATTAGGCTTAGAGTTTAGTTCATGGTTATAAATTGGTCATACATTCTTATTTAACATTAAAACCAATTTGATGTTTTAAACTATTTGTCCGCTTTCTGTTTTTCATATATGCTTTTAAATATACATTTTTAAGTAAAAGTTTTCAAATCATAATATTCATTTCCTTAGATGTTAGATTATTGCTTGGTATATTTAAGACTTTTTCAAGTTATTTCCTCAGAATCTACACTTTGGAATAGACTGACAATAACAGCTTTTTACAGTAAAAATATTTTTTGGTATTCAACAGCAGAATTTACTTAATGGGGCCTAAGATTAACCTGCTTGTCAGTGCACTTTGTTTGGAACATCAGGAAATAGAGTTTCATAGTATTATATATCCATGTCCATGCTGTCTTTAATTTTTTAACCATCTACAACTGTGGTTCTCAAAGTTTAGCATACATGAGAATTACCTGGAGGGCCTGTTAAAACAGATTCCTGGTCCTAACCTCAGATAAAGGCTGTCTTTGGTAAGAACCGATAATTTTCATTCCTAACACAATCCAGGTGCTACTGATGATATTGATCCAGGAACCACCATTTTTAGATAAACCAAATTAGAAGCACAAAATATGTTGGTTTAAATCCCTACATAGAAATAATTAAATGTAAAGAAGCTTAATAATCCTCAGCATAGAATGAAACATGGAAGCTTATTTGAGCAAAGTGTTCAAATAGCGTCAGATAATGTGCATGTTAACAAAAACTTTTAACATGAATAAATAGGTCAGGTTCTTGACCTGATATGGGGGGTAGGAAATAGAACTGATATGCTGTTATCAGTAAGGTAGTATGATATCAACTGCATAAGAAAATAAATGAAATACCATCAAAATAGACATAGCATCAATGTTCTGTATCAAACCAAATGTAGTCAGAGGTTTAGTACATAAAATTTGGTGGTGTAAATGGAGTAAATCTCACCACCATGGTCTGACCCAGCAAATGCTCTACAGAAAACATTCTGCAAATGTTGAATTTAAATGCATATTTCAGCTTTCATATAGCTAAATGCACTAACTGATATATTAAGTTTTATATAGCATATTATATATATATATATATATATATATAAAATATACTGGATAATGTAAAAATGGTACCTATTATGTTGGTGACCACAATTTTGGCAGCCTTAGAAAAACTTCAAAGCATAAGCCAGAACAATTAGAAATATCATGGCTTTAAATTAATTTTTTAAAAGTCTTAAGGTGACAAATATTCTGTCATCTGTCAAGCAAAGCTCGTTCCACAGAAGGGCAAATTAGGAATCCGTTACCTGGAATAGCCATTTCTCATGCCTAGAAAAAGAATCTCTACAAATAGGATTCTTGCTCTTCAACCATGCCCTTATAAAACGGGGCCAGACTGAATCATTTTTTCTTGGCAATGGATGAGAAAATCAGACTGTAGCTATAGCTTTGTCACTGAGAATTGGTCAACCATTTCAAAATAGGTAGGTTTTCTCCCTCCGATGCTTCTACTGGAGCTTGAAGGATTGATAAATATGCTTCTATTCCCTGTCAGAGCTTTGAACTAAGTGAGAGGCAAAGATTCAGGCAAATGGAGATCAAGTTGACAGCCTTTTTTTAAAAGAGCTATGGGGAATCTTTGCAGTAACAGTGGATTTTTCTATTACTGTAAACACACATACCTTCCCAGCCACAAGTAGTGCTAGACAACTGCACGCCTCCCCATTCCACCTCCCATCCCAACAGATGTATAGGCATTTTCTTTAGATGTTGATGAAAATAATCATTTTATCACTATATCCAGATACTTCCAGATAGTAATACGCTTGTTGAGGTGAAAGAATCTTTCTAAGATACAAACAGAAAATATATGTGATTGAAATAGATACTAGGTGATATTTCACATATGCAGTATGAGCTCTGCTTCTTTGACAAGACAGATGAATGAAGAGTTCATGTTGGAATGATTGGCATTAGTCCAAATTATTAAATAATGAAAGTGTCCATATTCTCTGCCCAGTTTGATCTTTTAAAATATCACCCACACAAATACATGTGAGGTCATATTTTTCACAATGAGGCATCAAATTTAAAGATGGCAAAAAAATAACGAATATACCTCTTAGGCTAACTGTTTACCTTAGTGGCTTTAATGATGTGGAAAGTTGAAATTTAAAATCAGAAAAGTGCCAAAAAAGAAAATAATCAGTCTCCTGGCTTTCACATCTGGTAGTCTTAGAATGAATGTCAGAACTGTCACAGGTCAGATAATGGCCCAGTATGTTTTCAAATAAGTGGCAGTGAACACCATGTTTTAGAAGTACATGATTATCCTTCCTGATGTTAATCTCAGAACTTAAGGACATGCTTGCCAAGCATCATAATTTCTCTTAATAACTCAGATAAATCTCCAGCGAAGACCTGTGCTCTGGACTCTGGACTCATGCCAAGTAGCCTAATTGCACTCTATTCTTGGAGGCAACATAGGCATCTCAAAGTGAACATACCTCGAAAAGAGCTCTTAATCTCTCTCTACTCTCCTCACCTCCCCAGCATCTTCCCTATTCTCACCTTCTCTCATCATCTTCCTCACGTCAGTTAGCAGCTAATAAACTCCATCCGTATACTTAAACAGTTATTAAGCCACAAAACACCTTGCTTATATGCTTGACTGCCCCATTTTTAAAAATTATACTTTAAGTTCTGGGATACATGTGCAGAACGTGCAGATTTGTTACATAGGTATACATGTGCCATGGCGGCTTGCTGCACCAATCAACCCGTTATCTACATTAGGTATTTCTCCTAATGCTATCCCTCCCTTGCCCGCCACCCCACCAACAGGCCCTGGTGTGTGATATTCCCCTCCCTGTGCCCATGTGTTCTCATTGTTCAGCTCCCACCTGTGAGTGAGAATATGCAGTATTTGGTTTTCTGTTGGTGTGTTAGTTTGCTGAGAATGATGGTTTCCAGCTTTATCTATGTCCCTGCAAAGGACATGAACGCAATCTTTTTTATGGCTGCATAGTATTCTATGGTGTATATGTGCCACATTTTCTTTATCCAGTCTATCATTGATGGGGATTTGGGTAGGTTCCAAGTCTTTGCTATTGTAAATAATGCTGCAATAAACATACATGTGCATGTGCCAACCCCATCAAAAAGTGGGCAAACAATATGAACAGACACTTCTCAAAAGAAGAAATTTACGCAGCCAACGAACATATTTAAAAAAGCTCATCATCACTGTGCCGGGTGCATCCTGCAGACCCTGACTGAGCGACAGAAGAAAGGAGTACTCAGACACAGGTATACAGTGTAAGAGCAGGCTAGGGGACTGCTGGCACTAGGGGCTGAAGGGAGTTAGCAGTCTTGATAAGCCAATAAGCCAGAGCTGCTTGTATTTATTCAGTAGTGGTATAATGTCAAAGGCCTGGAGCCAACACAATTGCTGGGTAATTAACATTATTGCTCCCCCTTACAGGGAGCAGCCTCATATGCAGATGATCAAAGGTCAGTTTCTGGACTACATAAGTTGTTTACATAAGTAAACAAGCCTATTTAGATAAACTCTTTTACATTTCCTTGCACCTACTTCTCACCCTTAGCCTCAGGGCAAGATAATTAGCTGCCTTCACCTTTATTCTCTCCCAAAGCTTTTGCAAGACCTTCCCACCTTTCAAGAAGGCCTGCATCTTTCTTTATAGCTTCTCCCACCACCCTGACCAATCTCCTACATCACTTGTCATTAGAGAAATGCAAATCAAAACCACAGTGAGATACCATCTCACTCCAGTTAAAATGGTGACCATTAAAAAGTCAGGAAACAACAGATTCTGGAGAGGATGTGGAGAAATAGGAATACTTTTACACTGTTCCTGGGAGTGTATATTAGTTCAACCATTGTGGAAAACAATGTGGCAATTCCTCAAGGATCTAGAACCAGAAATACCATTTGCCCCAGCAATCCCATTTATACCCAAAGGATTATAAGTCATTCTACATTTCTTTTTTTGACATGGAGTTTCACTCTAGTTACCCAGGTTGGAGTACAATGGCTTTATCTTGGCTCACTGCAACCTCTGCTTCCTGGGTTCAGGTGATTCCCTTGCCTCAGCTTCCGAAGTAGCTGGGATTACAGGTGCCTGCCACCACGCCCAGCAATTTTTTTTTATTTTTAGTAGAGATGGGGTTTCACCATGTTGGCCAGGCTGGTCTCAAACTCCTGACCTCAGGTAATCCACCGTCTCAGCTTCCCAAAGTGCTGGTATTACAGGTGTAAGCCACCACTCCCAGCCACCCCCATTTTTTTTATACCTTATACTATGTTAACAAATTTTGTCAATAGTAATTCAAAACATCTTCAGATTCTGTTCCTGTCTCACCATCAATACCACCTAGATCCAAACCACCGTCTCTCCACTCTCCAGTTAGGTTTACTGCTACAGCCGCCTAACTGGTCTTGCTGCTTCCCTGTAGCCCGTTGCCTTCAGCTTATTCTTGTCTCTGCAATTAGGGTGATTCTTTAAGAGTATGTCAGACTGAGCCATTCTGTTTAAACCCTCCAATGACATCATTCTCCATCCCACTCAATGTATTAGTTTCCTCAGGCTACTGTAACAAATTACCACCAACTCAGTAGCTTAAAAGTACAGAAATTTATTCTCTCTCAGGCTAGAAGTTGAAAGTAAGGTGTCATCATTGTCATGCTCTCTCTGAAGGCTCCGGGGAGGATCCTTCCTTGTCTTTTCCTAGCTTCTGACAGTTGCCATCAATCCTTGGCATTCTTAGGCTTATAGTTACATGACTCCAATCTCTTCCTTCATCTTCACATGACCTTATCCACTGTGTGTTTTCACAAATATCCTCATTCTTATGAGCACACTAGTCATTCAATAAGAGCCCACCTGAATCCACTTAACTTGATTGACTAGGCAAGATTTTATTTCCAAGTAAGGTCATATTTACAAGTACTGAGCGTTGGGACTTGAACATCTTTTTGAGGAAGACACATTTCAACCTACAGTACTAAAATCCAAAGCCCTTACCATGCACACATCTCCAGTCCTTTGGTATTCAAAGTGTGATACACAGACCATTAGCACCAGCATCACCTGGAACGTGTAAGAAGTGTAAACTCTCCAGACAACCTGAATCAGATTTTTTATTTTATCGTGAAACCTAAGTGATTTATATGCAAATAAGAATTTGAGAAGCATACCCGTAAAATGACCTGCCTACTTTTCTTACTATTTCATCTGCTACTCACTCCATATCACTCTGTCATTACTCTGCTTCAGTCATATTGGCCTTTTTGATATTCCTGAAGTGCCTGGATTGGTCCTCCCCAAGATATTTGCATGGGTTATTCACTCACCTGCACCAGATAAAAAGATATAGTTATAGTTAAAACGTATAGTGATATATAATTATATATATAACTTCAGTGCAGCCATTCCTGGATATTCTATTTTAAATATACATCCCACCAACCCCATTCTTCCTTGCTTTATTTTTCACCACAGAACTTCCTATCAACTAGCATGTTGAATATTTTGCTTATTAACTTTGTTCATTTTCTTCTCCCTCAATGAGAATATTAGCTCCTTGAGTACAAGGATTTGAGCCTGTTACATTCACTGCTGAATTTTAGGCTCCTGGAAGATAGCCAGAATTCAATAGAGACCACTCAATAAATACATGTCAAATAAATGAGTCTGTAAGTTCATCAATTGATTTGCCTATGTACATTAACTTTTGCTTATATACATCCAATAACTCTTGTTATTTGAAATCAACTGTATTATTTGCTTCATGTAATAGATTTAAAATAGATATGTATGTATATAAATATATACAGAGATCATAGACCTAAGTCAGTCATATACATGTGTGTATATATATGTTTATTTATTTGTTATTTATGTATTTATTATCAATAAGTATATTGATTTGTTTATATATAAACATATTTATATATAGACACACACATATATATGACGGACATATATATGTGCACATATATATGACGGACATATATATGTGCGCATATATATACCTTATGTAAGTGGAATCAGGCAGTATTCAAACATACTTTCAATTAGTAATGACTATAATTCTCATAGTTTAAATAAGAGAAAGCAAACATCAGTTTTTAGGGAAAAGGATTACAAATTGCGATATTGTGATAAAAGTGTAAAATATTTTTTACGTTTGTGCACTTAGATCCATGTTCAAGCTGTAGCTCACCTATACATGCATAGCACCTTTGAATATGTGCTACAGTATGCCATTTATTAAGACTGAAAATAATATTGTATAAAAGGATATTATTTATTTAGCAACCTCACGAGCTTTGGTTTCAAAAATGCCTGGATTACATAGCATAATCTTAGTGATGGAGAACAGATCAGTGGCTACCAAGGAAAAGGGTTGGTTGGAAGATGTGATTAGTGAGGAATAATGTGAAAACATGTACTTTCTTTGTGTTGGTAATGCAGTTGTGCATCTAGATTGTGGTGATGATTACATAAATCCACACTTCATAGAACTATACACACACATCACACATACACTCACACATACCTATACAAGAGTACATGTAAAATCCTCAGAAATATGAACAGGGTCTGAACCTGAGTTAATGGTATGGAAACAATGTCAATATCCTGATTTTGGCAACATACTAGGTAAAGTTAGATATAATCATTGGGGAAAGTTGGCTGAAAATAACCGTCATTCTTTTTCCTATTTTTATAATATCTTATGAGTCAAATTATTTTAAAATAAAAGGTATTAAACAAAGACGAAAATCTAAAACTTCCAAAATCAAAGCCCATATGAATTTGGACATATTACTTGATTTCTTTTGTAGACATTGATTTCTTCACCTGTAAAAATGGAATAGTACGATGCCTATCTCATTATTGTCATGCTTAAATCATATCATTTATGTAAGTGCCTATATATATGCACTATATATAGAGAGAGATATATAGATATATAGATCTATATAGAGAGGGATATATGTAGACATATAGATCTATATAGAGAGAGAGATATATAGATCTATAGATCCATATATAGAAATATATAGATCTATAGATCCATATATAGAGAGAGATATAGATCTATAGATCCATATATACAGAGATATATAGATCTGTAGATCTATATAGAGAGATATACAGAGATCTATAGATCTATATATAGAGAGATATACAGAGATCTATAGATCTATATATAGAGAGATATATATAGATCTATATATAGAGAGAGATATATAGATCTATATAGAGAGATATATATAGATCTATAGATCTATATAGAGAGATATATATAGATCTATAGATCTATATAGAGAGATATATATAGATCTATAGATCTATATAGAGAGATATATATAGATCTATAGATCTATATAGAGAGATATATATAGATCTATAGATCTATATAGAGAGATATATATAGATCTATAGATCTATATACAGATACATATATCTATAGATCTATATATCTATATATAGAGATATATAGATCTATATCTATATATAGATATATATATATCTATATATAGATATATATATATCTATATATCGAGATATATAGGTCTATAGATCTTTATAGAGAGAGAGATATATAGGTCTATAGATCTATATATAGAGAGAGATATATAGACCTATAGATCTATATATAGAGAGACATATAGATCTTTATATCTATATAGAGAGAGACATATAGATCTTTATATCTATAGAGAGACATATAGATCTATATATCTATAGAGAGATATATAGATCTCTATATCTATATAGAGATATATAGATCTCTATATCTATAGAGATATACATATCTATATAGAGAGATATATATAGATATATACAACTGTATAGATATATATCTCTATATATAGAGAGATATATAGATATATATATTCAATATATATATATAGAATATATATATATTGAATATATATATAGAAAATATACATGGACATATATATATGTCCGTCATATATATATGCACATATATATGTCCGTCATATATATATGCACATATATATGTCCGTCATATATATGTGTGTGTCTATATATAAATATGTTTATATATGAACAAATCAATATACTTATTAATAATAAATACATAAATAACAAATAAATAAACATATATATACACACATGTATATGACTGACTTAGGTCTATGAACTCTGTATATATTTATATACGAACATATCTATTTTACATAGATATATATAGATATATATATAGATATATATCTATATATAGAGAGATATATAGATATATATCTATATATAGAGACATATAGAGAGATATATAGATATATATCTATATATAGAGAGATATATAGAGATATATAGATGTATATATCTATATATAGAGAAAGGTATATATATCTATAGAGACAGATATATATAGATATATATATCTATATAGAGATATATATCTATGTATAGAGAGATATATAGAGATATATATCTATGTATAGAGAGATATATAGAGATATATATCTATGTATAGAGAGATATATATCTATACATCTCTATGTAGAGATGTATAGATATATATCTATATATATCTAGGTAGAGATATATAGATATATATATCTATATATATCTAGGTAGAGATATATAGATATATATATCTATATATATCTAGGTAGAGATATATAGATATATATCTATATAAAGAGATATATACAGATATATATCTATATAGACAGAGATATATACAGATATATATCTATACATAGAGAGATATATGGATATATATATAGAGAGATATATAGATATATATCTATATAGAGAGATATATAGATATATATCTATATAGAGAGATATATAGATATATATCTATATAGAGAGATATATAGATATATATCTATATAGAGAGATATATAGATATATATCTATATAGAGAGATATATATAGATATATATCTATATAGAGAGATGTATAGATAGATATATCTATATAGAGAGATGTATAGATTGATATATCTATAAAGAGAGATGTATAGATAGATATATCTATCAAGAGAGATGTATAGATAGATATATCTATATAGAGAGATGTATAGATAGATATATCTATATAGAGAGATGTACAGATAGATATATCTATATAGAGAGATGTATAGATAGATATATCTATATAGAGATATATATAGATAGATATTTAGAGATATATAGATATATATCTATATATAAATAGATATATATATTTATTTATATATAGATATATATCTCTATATAACTATATATAGATATCTATCTCTATATATCTGTATATAGATATCTATATATAAAGATATATAGGTATACCTAGATATAGATATATATAAATTGATATCTATATAAACATATATATATCTATTTATATATAGATTTCTATATATCTTTATATATATAAAGATTTATATAACGATATATAGATTAAATATCTATTTATATAGATATCTATTTATATAGATATCTATTTATATAGATATCTAATCTATATATGAAGACATATAGATATCTATCTATATATGAAGACATATAGATATCTATCTATATATGAAGACATATAGATATCTATCTATATATGAAGACATATAGATATCTATCTATATATGAAGACATATAGATATCTATCTATATATGAAGACATATAGATATCTATCTATATATGAAGACATATAGATATCTATCTATATATGAAGACATATAGATATCTATCTATATATGAAGACATATAGATAGATATCTATATATGAAGACATATAGATATCTATCTATATATGAAGACATATAGATATCTATCTATATATGAAGACATATAGATATCTATCTATATATGAAGACATATAGATATCTATCTATATATGAAGACATATAGATATCTATCTATATATGAAGACATATAGATATCTATCTATATATGAAGACATATAGATATCTATCTATATATGAAGACATATAGATATCTATCTATATATGAAGACATATAGATATCTATCTATATATGAAGACATATAGATATCTATCTATATATGAAGACATATAGATATCTATCTATATATGAAGACATATAGATATCTATCTATATATGAAGACATATAGATATCTATCTATATATGAAGACATATAGATATCTATCTATATATGAAGATATATAGATATCTATCTATATATAAATAGATATATAGATATCTATATATAAATAGATATATAGATATCTATCTATATATAAATAGATATATAGATATCTATCTATATATAAATAGATATATGGATATATATAAATATTTATAGATATGTATAAATATATATATAAATCTATATATATGTTATTCATTCAATAGAGATTTAGGTCTATGAGTAAAGAAGTGGAAATTGGAATTTACCAGAACCATTGTGAATTGAGTTGTTCTTATGCTTCACCAACTGTCATGGTAAAGAACACCTTAGCCCTAGCTCACAGTATGAAAACACATAAATGCTTCTTTGTGCCCTAAATTTCTCTCTGTTAAGATTTATAGAATGTTTTTTGTTTATGACACAGAAATATGGTCACAAAGCACAGGTGTACCATAATACAAATTTTGTGTATTTTGTCTCTTTGTGTTAGGTTTTCTTTCCATTTATATTGTTTCAAGCTAACAATTCCTAATCTCCTGATACAGTGGGCATTTCAAGCACTTACTTCTTTGGATAATCATGTTCTTTTAACTAGAATCCCACAGTTAAAGTTATCAAAGCATGGAGAAGGTAGAATAACCTTGACTCCTTCCGCTCCAGATCTCCCATTGAATTCAATTGGGCCCAACCTTGTATTTGTTTTGTTCTTCTGGAAAAGAAAATATTGCCATTACTCTCAATAAAAACACAACCTAGTTAGGGAGATGTGACTTCAGAGTAGGATTTCTTAGTTTTGTTTTTGATTGTCTTACCTTCAGATATTTGGAAAGGCCAAAATGCTGTATGCTTATGGACAGCAAGCAGGATGAATGGAAAACAAAAGTAATAAATGTTACTTATGACTTTCTTATAATGTTTGTTAGGATTGTTAGTAGTTAACCATTACTTACTGAAGGAAGGTTTAAATTGAATATTTCTAAATGGGAAAATTTTAAAAAGCAGCTGAATCAATAAAGTTTAGGTCCTAGAATTTACTGAGCTAAAAACTCAATGAGAATTAATTCTCTATTGGTGTTGTAGCAATTCTTGAGATTATTTGTGAGGACTCACAGGAGAGCCAAACAATAAAAGAGGACTGAGACAATTTCAAGGGATGGAGAACACCCTCCTTTCTTGTTCAGATGATACTCTGAGACGTTGTCATTTATTTTGACTCCCTCTGTTGAACACACTTCCACTTAGGAACTTAAAAACCACCTAAAAACCAATAGCCACAAAATAAGTGGGGAACTTAGTGTTTAAGCATTATTGTTCTGCTATACACAGTACACAGTACTGGGCACTTACATAAATGGTATGATTTAAGCATGACAATAATGAGATAGGAATCATACTATTATTCCATTTTTACAGGTGAAGAAATCAAGGTCTACAAAAGAAATCAAATAATATGTCCAAATTCATACAGGCTTTGATTTTGGAAGTTTTCGATTTTTGCCTTTGTTTAATACCTTTTATTTTGAAAGATTTTGACTCATAAGAATTTACAAAAATAGTAAAAAGAAAGACTGTGTTATTTTCAGCCAACTTTCCCCAATGATTATATCTAACTTTACCTAGTACATTGCCAAAATCATTGTTTCCATACCATTAACTCAGGTTCAGACCCTATTCATATTTCTAAGGATTTTACATGTACTCTTCTTCTATAGGTGTGTGTGAGTATATGTGTGATGTGTGTGTATAGTTCTATGAAGTGTGGATTTATGTAACCATCACCACAATCTAAATGCAGAATTGCTTTATCAACACAAAGAAAGTACAACATGTTTTCACGTTATCTCTCACTAATCACATCTTCCAACCAACACTAACCCTTGGCAGCCACTGATCTGTTCTCCATCACTACAATTATGCTACGTAATTCAGGCATTTTTCAAACCAAAGCTCATGAGGTTGCTAAATAAATAATAATGTTTTATACAATATTATTTTCAGTCTTTATAAATGGCATACTGTAGCACATATTCAAATGTGTTATGCATATATAGGTGAACTACAGCTTGAACATGGATCTAAGTGCACAAACGTAAAAAACATTTTACGCTTTTATCGTAATATCCCTATTTGTAATCTTTTTCCCAAAAAACTAGTAGTAGTGATGTTTGATTTCTTTTACTTAAACTACGAGAATTATAGTCATTACTAATTGAAAGTACGTTTGCCAATACTGCCTGATTCCACTTATATAAGGTATCTAAAATAGTCAAACTCCTAGAAACAGAGTAGAATGCTGGTTGCCAGGGACTGAAAGGAGGGGAAATGGGGGTTACTGTTCAATGGGTATAAAATTCAGTTACAACAAATGAATAAATTCTAGAGATCTGCTGTCAACAGAGCACCTATAGCTAACAAGATTGTATTGTGCAGGTAAAAATCTATTAAGAAGATACGTCTCATGTTAAACGTACTTACTTCATTAACAGAAAAGAAAGAAAAAAATGGAATATTTTACACATACAAATTACATACGTGCCTGAATTTCACATTTTGTTTCACAAGTTGAAATGGTGCTAAAAAGGTATTTTTGTATTGAAAAACATCTAACTGAAGGAAAAGTTACAAATGAGTGATCATTCATAAATAAAATATAATCCTGGGGACTGCTGTTTTTCCATTTTGAATACCTTCCACAGTTAGTCTTAATAATTATGTTGACTCCATGCAAAGTAATGATTTCTCAAGAGGCAATAGAAAGTAGAGAATAAGTCCATTATTGAGAAAATTTGTAATTAGTCAAAGTAAGTTTTTCATCCTCTTTTCTTATTTAAACCTCAAGTGCTCTCTGCCACTCTGTGCTCTTCTTTTCTGGGACAAAATATGCCAGCTATCCACAGAGTCAGGGCATTCTCTAACCATTCCTCCCTAGAGATGTCAACAGATTTTTACTCAGCTAGACTGTCTCAGTGCCTGTCTTCATATCAAATTTGCAAGACCTGTGGACCATTCTCTTAGGCCCTTGCAGGGCAGTGCATAATATATTCCATGCTAATTATCTAATGAAGGTCACTAAATTAATATTTTATTATACCACATACAATATTCTTAGATCTAACAGTACAAAAATTTACAATTATGTCACTCCTTTGAATTACATTCTAAGGCTAATTTAAAGAGGGTGTCACAAAAATAGAAATGATAGGCACAGAAAATAGTCCCAATTTTCACTGCACTGTTCCTAAGACCACCTTGCCACTCATCATTGTAGAATGCCTTTCAGGTAACATAATAAGAGCCATTTTTAAAATGGAACCTTACTATACCTGTGTGTGACAGTCAAGACCTCTATTGTTATTCATAGTTTATAGATGAAGCAGTTAGATTTGCCCCAGGTCACCGGCTTATTAAATGACAGGCTAAGACAGAACCAATTTTTATTTTCAAATAAGACCATAAAGAAGAGAACTGATCCACATGAATTATAAAATTTTCTTACAGCCCCAGTAACTATAATTGATAAGCTAATGATTTTTTAAATAAAAATCTGATATGACAAGTAGAATGTGACAGAATCAACATGATCTGTTAGTCATATTTGGGTAGTAGCTTGTGTTTGTTTTTGTTTTTTACAGCTTTTCTACTTTAAATTGTTTTCACCCCAATAGAAGACATACTGATTCATGTATTTTTTTCTTTATATGCCATTAAATAAGTTACATGCAGCAATTCTTTCTATTTTAGTAAATAAACACTATATAGTTATATTTATTATTATATAAATATTTGTTGGACATTTACTCTTTCCAAAGTGATTTTTAGGCACTAAAAATTTACAAGAGTGAGTAAAATAGAGTTCTTGCTCTCATGGAATTTATATCATAGTGGGAAGAGGCACATAATTTAAGAGAATATCTGTATGATATATTTGTCAGTGACAACCATTAAGAATAAAAATAAAACCAGTTAAGAGGATAATAAGTGATGGGAGATTGCCTGTTTTAGGTAGAGTGGTCAGCAAAGGCCTTTCAGCAGTGGTGACATTTGGGCAAAGATCAGAATGATGGAGTGAACATGTGAATATTTGGAGAAAGATTTTTCAGGCTAAATAAATAGCAAGTAAAAATTCTTCTAAGGTGGGAATTAATTTGATGTATTTGAGGAAGAGTAGGAAGACCAACAAAACAGGAGTAGACTGAGTGACTGACTGGAAGACAGAGAAAATAGGACAAGAAAAATAGCTGTGTCCTTGTGTGTCCTTGCTGTAGCACTGCAGATTTTAGGGCTTTGCTGTAAGTGTGATGAGAATCCATCAGAAGACAGAAGACTTTGGTGCATGCGTGCATGTGTGTGTGTGTGTGTGTGTGTGTGTGTGTCTGTGTTGGGGGCTGGGTTGGGTTATAATGTTATTTAGACGTTTTAAAGAGTCTCCATATCAATATAAGCCTTGAATGGAAATGACCTAAATGCCTCAATTAAAAGGTACAAAGTGGCAGTTAAATTTTTTTTAAAGATCCAGCAGTCTGCTGTTTTAAGAGACCCATATCATGTGTCACAATACACAGAGATCTAAAGTAAAGAGCTGGAGAAAGATCTATCATTGAAATAGAAAACAAGAAAAGATCATGGGAGCCATTCTTACATCGGATAAAGCAGACTTTAAACCAACAAAAGTAAAAAAGAACAAAGAAGAACATTACATAATGACAAAGGATTTAGTTCAACAAGAAGACTTAACTATTTTAAATATATATGCATCCAATATTGGAGCACAAAGATTCATAAAACAATACTTCTAGACCTATGAAAAGACTTATCAATATAGTTATAGTGAGAGACTAACACACCCCATTGACAGCATTAGACACAACATTGAGGCATAAAATTCATGAAGAATTTCTAGATTTAAATTTGGCACTTCACCAGTCAGATCTTAAAGACATCTATAGAATACTCCATCTATCAACCACAGAATAAACCTTCTTCCCATCTGTGCATGAAGCATACTTCAAGATCAACCACATGCTCAGGCTTAAAGCAAGTCTTAACAAATTAAAAAAAAATTGTACCAATCATACTTTCAGACCACAGTTGAATAAAAATAGAAATCAATACCTAGAAGATCCTAAAAATCACAAAATTATGTGGAAATTAAACAAATTGTTATTGAATGATATTTGGGTAAACAACAAAATTAAGGCAGAAATCAAAAAATTATTTGAAATAAATAAAAACAGGAAAACAACATACCAAGTCTTTGAGATTCAACAATAACAATGTTAAGAGAAAAGCTTATAGCACTCAAAGGCTATCTCAATAAGTTATAAAGTTCTCAAATTAACTGTCTAACATCACACCTAGAGGAGCTAGAAAAACAAGAAAAAACTAACCGCAAAGCTGACAGAAGAAAAGAAATAACAAATCAGAGCAGAACTGAACAAAATTGAGATCCAAAAATAGACACAAAGAACAAACCAAAAGTTGATTTTGAAAGTACAAAAAAGATCAATACGCCACTAACTTGATTAACAAAGAAAAAAAGAGAAGATTCAAATAAGCACCATCAGAAACAACAAAGGTGACATTACAACTGTTCCCACAGAAATACAAGATCCTCTGACAGTATTGTGGACACTTCTATGCATACAAACTAGAAAATCTAGTGGGTATAAATAAACTCCTGGAAATAATTTCTCAAGATTAAATCAGGAAGAAATTAGAACCCCAAACAGTCAATATTGAGTTCTAAAATGGAATCAGTAATAAAATCTACCAAAAAAAGCCCTGGACTAGATGGATTCACAGTCGAATTCTACCAGACACACAAAGAAGAGCTGATACTAATCCTACTGTTATATATAAAGTTTCGGTGCCTCAAAAGGAATAGCACTCGAATGTAAAATTTTCTTTTTAATTCTCAGCAAGGCAAGGTACTTCTATATAGAAGGGTGCACCCTTACAGATGGAACAATGGTGAACACACACTTGGACAAGGGAGGGGAAGGTGTTCTTATCCCTGACGCACGTGGCCCCTGCTGCTGTGTCGTTCCTCTATTGGCTAGGGTTAGATCACACAGGCTAAACTAATTCCATTTGGCTAATTTAAAGAGAATGACGGGGTGAGTGCTTTGGCGGGAGTCAGGGCAGAGCAGGTAGCAGGTAATCGGAATGAGTTAGAATGGAGCAGGTGATCAGAATGAGTTAGGGTGGAGCAGGTGATGGGAAAGTGTCAGGGTGGAGTAGATAATCAGAATGAGCCAGGGTGGAGTATGTAATAGAAAAAGATTGCTTTATGAGGAAGTTAAGTTTAAAAGTAGAAGGCAAAGGATTGAACATACTGACATATTAATTCTTTGAAAAGAAATTTAGAACTCATATCTAACACTACTGAAACTAAATTGAGGAGAGAGACTCCTCACTAACTCATTCTATAAAGCCAGCATCACCCAGATGCCAAAACCTGGCAAAACACAACAAAAAAAGAAATCTATAGGCTTCTGATGAACATAGACACAAAGATTCTCAACAAAACACTAGCAAACTGAATCCAACAGCATACCAAATTTCATTCACCATTATCAAGTAGGCTTAATTCCTGGGATGCAAGGTTGGTTCAACATATGCAAATCAATAAAAGTGATCCACCACATAAGCATAATTAAAAATAAAAACCATATGATCATCTCAATAGAAGTCACAAAAGCTTTTGATAAATCCAACAAACTTTCATGATAAAAGCCTCAAGAAACTAATCATTTAAGGTATGTACCTCAAAATAATAAGAAACATCTATGAAAAACCCACAACCAAGATCAAACTGAATGGGCAAAAACTAGAAACTTTCCTCTTGAGAACCACAAGAAGATATGGATGTCCACTCTCACTACTCCTATTTAACATAGCACTGGAAGTGCTAGCTGCAGCAATCAGGCAAGAGAAAGAAATAAAAGGCCCCCAAATAGGAAAAGAAGTGTCAAACTATCCCTCCTTATAAAGGACATGATTCTCTACCTAGAAAACCCTAAGGACTCCACCAAAAGTCTCTAGAATTGTTAAACAACTTCACTAAAGTTTCAATATATAAAATTAGTGTATGAAAATTAGTATCATTTCTATATCCCAATAACATTCAAGCTGAGAGCCAAATCAAACAAAATTCCATTTTGAATTGCCATGCCAAAGGAATAAAAATAAAAAAAACTAGGAATACATCTAAACAAGAAGGTGAAAGATCTCTACAAGGAGAATACAAAACACTGCTGAAAGAAAACATAGATGACACAAATGGAAAAATATTCCATTCCATGCTCATGGATTGGAAAAATCAATATTGTTTAGATGGCCATATAGCCCAAAGCAAGCTACAGATTTAATGCTATTTCTATCAAACTACTAATGTCATTTTTACACCACTAGAATAAAGCATTCTAAAATACATATAGAATCAAAAAAGAGCCTAAATAGCCAAAGCAACCCTAAGCAAAAAGAGCAAAACAAGAGGCGTCACATTACCCATCTTCAAACTATATGTATGGTTATAGTAACCAAAACAGCATGGTACTGGTACAAAAATAGACATATAGACCAATGGAACAAAATAGATGGCCCAGAAATAAAGCCACATACCTACTGCCATCTGATCTTGATAAAGGTAACAAAATAAACAATGGTGAAAAGGCTCCCTGTTCAATAAATACTTCTTGGAAAGCTGTCTCACTGTATGTAGTAGAATAATAAAATTAGACACCTTCTCTCACCATATCTAAAAATTAACTCAAGATGCATTAAAGACTTAAATGTAAAACCTCAAACTATAAAAATTCTAGAAGAAAACCTAGGAAATACCCTTCTCAATAATGGCCTTAGTAAAGAATTTATAGCTAAGTCCTCAAAAGTAATTGCAATATAAACAAAAATCGACAAATGGGACCTAACTAAACTAGAGAGCTGCTGAATAGCAAAGGAAACTATCAACAGAGTAAACAGATGGCCTACAGAATGGGAGAATATAGTTGCAAACTATGCATATCACAACGCTCTAATATCCAGAATCTATATGGGACTCAAACAACTCAACTAGAAAAAAAAAAAAAGACTTTATTAAAAAGTGGGCAAAAGATATGAACAGACATTTCTCCGAAGAAGACATACGAGCTGCCAACAAAAACATGAAAAGATACTCAACATCTCTAATCATAAGATAAATGCAAATCAAAACAACAATGAGATATTACCTCACACCAGTCACAATGCCTATTGCTGAAATATCAAGAAACAACAGATGCTAGCAAGGCTGTGGAGAAAAAGGAACATCTATACCCTATTGGTGGAAATGGAAATTAGCTCAGTAACTATGAAAAGCAGTTTGAAGATTCCTCAAACAACTTAAAACAGAGCTACCATTCAGCCCATCAACTACATTACTGGGTTTATATTTATCCAAAAGAAAATAAGTTGTTCTACCAAAAAGGCACATATACTTGTATGTTCACTGCAGCACTCTGCACAATAACAAAGACATGGAATTGACCTGGGTGCATATCAACAGTGGATTGGATAAAGAAAATGTGGTATATATACACCATGGAATGCTTTGCAGCCATAAAAAAGAGCAAAATCTTGTCCTTTTCAGCAACATGGATGCAGCAGGAAGCCATTACCTAAGTAAATTTACTCGGGAACCGAAAACAAAATACCTTCTATTTTCCCTTATAAGTGGTAGCTAAATGTTGGATACTCATGGACATAAAGATGACAATATTCATGGCGATAAGGGTAACCATTTCACAGTTTCAGAATTTCTATAGAAAGATGAAGAAAATTTCTGAAGTTATTGAAACTGTGTGAAGACGAATTATTTGGTTGAAAAATTACTATCATTCTAAATGGACTTCACTTTCTGCAAAAAAAAAAATAAGGATGAAATATGTATTGGATGAAAATTATATTTTGTTTTTCCATTTTTACATAATAAAAAACAAACAGAAATTTAAAAAGAAAAGATGACAATAATAGACAATGGAGACTACTAAAGGTGGTAGAGGGGGCAGCCGGGGTTGAAAAACTACTGGGTACGAAGCTTCACACCTGCATGATGAGATTAATCATACCCCAAACCTCAGCATCACACGATATGCCCAGGTAACAAACCTGCCTACATACCGCCGGTATCTAAAATACAATTTGCACTTTGAAAAAACTAAAAAATAAATAAAGGATATCACTACTATTTGAGTAGGACATTGTTTTAATTTGTTTGGGCGCCCTGACATATTTCCATAGACTAGATAGCTTAAATAAAAGAAATATACCTTCTCAGAAGTCTAGAGGGTAGAAATGTCCAAGAACAAGGTGCTGTCAAGGTTGGTGTCTTCTCCGGCCTCTCTTGTTGGCTTTTAGAGGGCTATCTTTTCCATGTACCCTCACTTCATCTTCCTTCTGTACCTGTTTGTGTCCAAATTTCCATTTTGGCTTAATTACCTCTTTAAAGACCATGTCTCCAAATACCGTCACTGTATTTTAGGTACTGGGAGTTAGGAGCTCAGAATATTAATTTTGAATGAATACATGAGGCAAGGGTGAAACAGAGCTATCATTTAAAAGACTATTGCATTATCCAAAGGAAAAATTTTGCTAATTGGACTAGAATACAGGTTATGAGAATCAGTAATTATAAAGTTATATAAAGAAAGGAATTGTGCTGCTCATCAATGTTTTTTCATGAAATCCTCCAAACAACATTTGAGATTTGTTACTGTTTTCCCCCATGTTAACTATAATCCATGCATTAGATCACCCAACTGAAAATTCAAAATGTAGAATTCAATGCAGGTATGTCTGATTCCAAAGAACACATTCTATCCTCCATAGCGTGCTTCCTGGAGGTTGACTTTTATCCTCTTAGAGTTATTTAATAGTAAGTGAATAAAAATATGTTAATTAGGAAGTCTTTGATCATAGAGTGATTATATTTGTTTTCCTAAAGATATAATGTATATTTAGTTTGCTTTTATATAGAATACATATCAGTAGTAACTAGGCTTGAATTGAGGCTTTTTGTACAACAGTTCTTTATTTAGTTTGTTGGATTTTATATTAAATACTGTGAGGAGTCAGAAGTGACTATCTTTGCTTTGAAGGAATTTCCCACGATGTTGAGAAGAAAGGTAATATGCACACGCAAATATGGTATTTGTTATGAACCAAATGAGTTAGCTGACAAATAGTGCTAGAGTTCAGAAGAGGAAAATGCAGAATCACTCCAGGCTTAGAAAAAGTAAATATGGATGAAGCTTAACTTCCAAGAATCTACAAATCCAATTAAAAAAAATAATAAGACAAAGCCTAATAATATCAAATTACAAAAGTAGGCTTCTTGTATTCTAGGTAGGCAAGGGTCTTCTTTTTTGAAGTCCTGTGTGAATCTTAGTCTTACAGTTTTAGGCTTCCAAAGATTGCTATTGTATAAAAACAGAGAGCATCCTGTGTTTTTCCTTCCTAGCAGTCTTCATATTTTCATTTTATTTGTTTGTTTGTTTAACACCAGCATCAGTTGGTAATTGGCAAGCATCAGGAAAGCAGGGATGACTTATATTTGTTTTCATTCCATTTTTACTCCTTCAGCACATAGAAAATATTGTGAGAAAGAAGTCAGTAGATTAGGTTCAAAGACATAAAATGTGGCAGGAATAGCAATCAGATTAGACATTTGTGTAAAATGAGATGATTGCAGGGTAGTTTTAAAAGTCATTTCCTTTATGAAAATATGGAATGTTGTGCACACTATTTCATAGACTTTGTGTTTGTTAAAAGGTCTTAACCAAAAATTATAAATGATTTCCCATATTAATAAATATCAATAATATCATTTTAATGGCTCTATAAAGGCCTTATTGTATGATTGTATCATAATTCAACAAGTGCCACTTAGACTCTTTCTGATTATTTCCCTTTACAAAAGAATGCTATATTATACATTTTGTATATATTTTTCAGATATGAGATTGTTAGGGCAAAAGATGGGAATAAATGTATGATAAATACTGTCAGAATTCTCTCCATAGAGGATATGGTAAAGCATCTTTTCATTTGAAGGAACACGAATAACTGCTCCATACTTCTGAGACTTCCAGCACTTTTTTGTTTTTAAGTTTTGATGATGTTTATTTGGTTTCTGGAGGTTTTCTGTTTTGTTTTCTAAGTAGATTTGAGTATTACTTAATATTCAGTCATGGTGGATATTTGAAGAATAATTTCTCTCTTTGGGATTATTCCTCTAACACCTACAAACAAGTATCACTGTGCTCTTTCTCTAAAGGAAAATATAAAGAGTAGACAAATTAAATGCTGCTCAGATTCTAAATCTATGAAAATATAACAATGGAGAAAACAAATAGAAAGTCTGTAGCTACTCAATGACTTTAGCATTGAGTGGATCCTAGCATGCCCATTTTTGCATAGAATGAAAAAGACACAGCAGGTTCCTTTGGAACATCAGACTGAGAAAATTGACTACAGCTTTAACAGCCTTAAAAGAAATTTTTGGCAGAATGAATAAGTATGCATAATTGAGAAAAGTACCCTAATCTGTAGAATAAAATAGATATAAAAAGAGGCTAAACAAGAATGCTGCTGCCTGTTCTTTTAACAACAATCTTCCACCTGTCCCTGACTGCTAAGTTTAGGAAATCAAAGTTTAGAGCTGAAAAAACAGGAGGTTGGAGAGTTTAGGATGAAGGCAGTGTAGGGCTGTGTAAATTGCAGAGAACTTGGAGCCAGAAGACTTGAGTGGCATGCAATTGTGGATGGGCTATGAAATCAGGGAGCCTGGCTTTAAATCCCAACTCAGACATTTACTAATACTATGATCCCAGGCAAATACCATATCCCCTCTTTGGCTCAGTTTCTACATTTTTAAATAGAGATAAAAATAGTGCCTTACTTTCTCAGTGCCTGACTCATATTATTTATTAAATATTAGCCATTCTTTTATTATATAGCTAGATTGGAACTGGGCAAGTCACCTTACCTTGTGTTTCAATTTCTTCGACTATAAAATGAAGTAGTTAGACAATGTGAGCATGTGATATCACAACTAGATGTGAAAGTCTATGGTCCTATCAGAACATCAAAACAAATTCACTGGATATGATTATGCTACCATTACAGTAGGTTTGGAAATGATTTGAAGCCAGCAAAGTGAATATGAAAATAAAGAATTTGAAGCAAAGTAGGGGAGAAAAGGAGAGAGGAGAAATAAGAAAAGTCAGTTTTACAGATTGTTTTTTAATATCTACATTTATCATCTGATACTATAATTATATTAAATATATGATTGATTGCATAGACAATAAAGTTACTATAAAACAGTCATTTGTGCATTGCAAGAAGAGTGGTTTTTTCCAACTTCCTTTTGGAAACCAAAAAGTGAATGAGGCAGATCTCAAGTGATTTAGAGATTTTGCTTTGCAAGGTAGAGGATGTGGCTGGGAAAAAGAAGCACAAGTCACAGTAGGCGGTGTCCTGTGCTTTTTCTAAAGAGGGTTTTGGGAACTTCAATATTTAAAGGAGAGAGAGCAAGCAGGCAGGAAATTAAAACAGGGAAGGAAAAGAAGGAGAGAGGGTAGGCATGGAAGCTAATGGCTACATTCTTGTGAGGCTCTGATTAGTGCTCAATGAATCTATGTTACATGTGGCAAAAGGAGAAAGGAGTCAATTGTGCATTTATCCTCACTCTCAGTAAATCTACATTTTACACAAGATAAAGTAAGCATGTGAAATTATAGCTATCTGTTTGGGGACAAAAGAATGGCAGTTTTTGCATGACTCAGGTCCCAAGCTTAATTTTCCTTTGTCATAGTGAGCTTGGGGTCCTGAGATTTTATTTCCTTTAACACTTTTCTACCAATACAAAGCTTCCTCATAGATGCCTTCTTTTTTCAAACATTAACAACCTTCATTGTTTTTTCTCCTTTTAAGTACAGAAAAACATAATTTTGTACAATAATTTTATCTGTCTTAAATATAAGACTGCTTATGATTCACTTAAAATTGAAAAATGGCTCCACGTTGCCGGCTTTTAGCCAGATTATAATTTCAACCACAAATCAGAGCTTTTTAACATTGAGTTTGAGTTTCAAGGACCCAGTAAAGTGGAAATATAGACTTTTTCTTAGGATAGTGTTATAACAGTCAAAAGAATCATGGCCAAACTGAATTGCCTGTTGCAAACACCATTGCAGTTTTTTACTGAAGTATCAGAGGCTTTTTAGTACCTATCACAGTGTATACTCTAAATAAATATTATGGGGCCAGGCATGGTGGCCCATGCCTATAATCCTAATGCTTCAAAAGGCCAAGGCAGGAGGATCGCCTGAGGCCAAGAGTTTGAGACCTGCCTGGGCAACATAGCAAAACCCCATCTCTAAAAAAATTAAAAAATAAAATTAGCCAAGCATGGTGGCAGGTGCCTGTAGACCTAGCTGCTTGGGAGGCTGAGATGGGAGGATCACTTGAGCCCAGGAGTTTGAGGCTACAGTGAGCTATGATCACACCATTGCACTCCAGCCTGGGTGACAGAGTGAGACCCTGATTCTAAAAATAAAAAAAATTAAAAACACATAAATACATAAATAAGTATTATGGGATCAACAAATAAATAAATTGAATAAACAATTGAGTAAAATTACTTGGTAATGAGGCCTTTCTTGACTATCCTATATAAAAGAAATCCCCAGGTCCCCACATCCCCCTTACTGTTCTTATTTTTCTCCATAGCATTCAGTCATGTTATACTACATATGTATTTGTTTATGGTCCTTCTCTTACTGCTAGAATGTAAGCTCCATGTTAGAAGAGACGTTGTTGGTGTTTTCCTTTGTATTTTTTTTTCACTGCTTAATTCCTAGTGCACACTGTAAGCACATAATAAATATTTACTGTATGGATATTTAAGCAAGTCACTTACCCTGATTTCTTCTTCAAATTACTTATGTCACTTTGAAGTTAAAATCTCTCTTCTATACATCATTTTCCCTTCAATCTCCACTTTTAATATCTGTCACTGGCAAACTTAACAAGTATGCTCTTTGTTCAGGTTGATAATGAGAATGTTTAAGCACTTTATTAAATATGTATTGAGTGTTCCTCTACAATGGACACTCTACTATGTATTTTACATGCATAGTAGTTTACTTCTTAAAACAATCTTATGAAATATGTTTTTATATCCTAACTTTAGAGCTAAGAAAGCTAAAACCAAGTAAATTTACTTGTTCAAAGTTACGCAGTTACTGATAAAGCTGAGATTAAACCCATATCTGTCAGCTATAAAAGACTGGGTTTTAACCATGAGCTTCGTCTGCTCTCTAGTTTTCCTCGCTGCTTACTGTTTGAGGTTCTCATTCTTGAATTCAAGAATCTTCCATTCAGACAATGTAGATTTGACTTGGGCTTTATTCCTAGGTTCTTCTCTTCTCCCTAAATCTCAGTCTGAAGTTTCTCAACAGTCTGCCCAGGGAACATTCCTGGTACAGATTTTCCTATGACATGGCAATGACTTCTTTAGGGATGTATCTCTCTTTGTTACTCCAGGTAAACGTGGGATAAACCCTCTACAAATGGTTACTGTTATTAGTCAACTCAAGCTACCTTAACAAAATGCCATAGACTGGGAGGCTTAAAGACTTGAAATTCATTTTCCCACAGTTCCGGAGCCTGAAAGTCTGAGACTGGGGAGCTAGCGTGGTGAGGGCCCTCTTCCTGTCTTGTAGATGGCCACCTTCTTACTGTGTTCTCATGTGGTGGAAAGAGAGCAAGCTCTCTGGTAGCCTTCTTATAAGGAACTTAATCCCATCCAATCAAGGCCTTACCTTTATGACCTCATTTAACCTTAAAGAACTCCAAAAGGTCCTATCTCCAAATATAGTCACATTAGCAGTTAGGACTGTAACATGAATTTTGAGGGACGTAGTTAGTCCATAGCAGATACTTAAAAGCATGTTTGCTATTTATGATATTTGTATCAGCTTTCATTACACTTTGATTTCCAAGTCAAACTCTCCCATGCAAGTAATACTATTCATTCTTAATGAAAGAAAAATAGAACTGTTCATAATGATAAGAATAGTACTATCTGATATAAAGGATAAACTTCTGTGGTAGTGAATGTTTAAAATCTGAAGTGAGGCTGGGTGTGGTGGCTGTAATCCCAGCACTTCGGGAGGCCAAGGCAGGTGGATCACCTGAGGTCAGGAGTTCAAGACCAGCCTAACCAACATGGTGAAACTCCATCTCTACCAAAAATACAAAATTTAGCCATGCATGGTAGCTTGCGCCTGTAATCCCAGCTACTCGGGAGGGTGAGGCAGGAGGATCCCTTGAACCCGAGAAACGGAGGTTGCAGTCAGTCGAGATTGTGCCACTGCACTCCAGCCTGGGTGACAGAGGGAGACTCCATCTCAAAAACAAACACACACACACACACACACACACACACAGAAAAAAGAAAATCTGAAGTAACTAGCAATAAGCCTTATACTCCGTTATCCACACTCTTAGGTAGCTCTCACATTGCACCATTATTCTTCTGTGTGACCAATAGCACAGTGATGGTATGCTATCTCTGAGATCAGATTATAAAAGACCGTGGCTTCTGTGCCTCCATCTTTAGTGTCTCCCACTCCTTATCTTTTTTAGTTCTTCTCCCCTCTCTCTACTACCAGCTCTGGTGGAAGTCAGCTGCCATATAGGGAGGCTGTTCAGACAGCCTCTGGAGAGGCCCATGTGGCAAGGAACAGAGGCCCCGGCAAACAGCCAATGAGACAGTGAGGCCTGCCAACAACCCTGTGAGCTTAGAAGCAGATTCTCTGGCTCCAGTTGAGCCTTGAAATGACTGCAGCCCCAGCTGACAACTTGATTGCAACTTTACAAGAGATGCAGAGCCAGCACCACTCAGCTAAGTTGCTCCGAGATTCCTGACTCTCAGAAACTGTGTGAGATAATAAATGTTTGTTAAGTTACTAAATTGTGGGGTTGTTATGCAGAAGTAGATAACAAATATAACCACAAACGCTCCAATTCTTAAAATAGCTGTTTATTTTGTTACTTACAAGTGGTCCAACACAAGTGTTCTCAACGAGCAGGTAGTTTTCTCTTCCAAGTACTGATTTCTAATTAGGAAAATTCTGTATTGTGGATCAACCATCTTTGCATGGCTTCTAGGTTGGTTGTTCTCATTCGTATAAAGCAAATGGAAAGGGAAAGACATAGAGGACTGAAAATGGATTTTTTTTTAATTTTTTTTTTTTTTTTTTGGAGACAGAGTCTTGCTCTGTCGCCCAGGCTGGAGAGCAGTGGCGCAATCTTGGCTCACTGTAAGCTCCGCCTTCCGGGTTCACGCCATTCTCCTGCCTCAGCCTCCAGAGCAGCCTGGCCAATTTTTTTGTATTTTTAGTAGAGATGGGGTTTCACCGTGTTAGCCAGGATGCTTTTGATCTCCTGACCTCGTGATCCACCGCCTCGGCCTCCCAAAGTGCTGGGATTACAGGCGTGAGCCACCTGCAAATGGAAAATTTTTAATACACTAGACCTAGAAGTAGTGTGTATCATTATTTTTGAATTCCATTAGTTAGAAGTGAGTCACAAAAACTCACCTAACAGAAGGGAAGCTGAGAAATGTAGTCTCTCTGTATGTTCAATAGGAATAAATAACGCATTTGGGGTCAACTAGAGGTCTGCTCCCAAAATGTGGCTCTAACATCGTTCTCCCTTTTGAATTCCAGACCTGAATATGGAACTGCCTATTGACATCTCCACTTAGAGCATGACTTTTTTTTTTTTTTTTTTTTTTGAGACCAAGTCACACTCTGTTGCCCAGGCTGGAGTGCAGTGGTTTGATCTCAGCTCACTGCAACCTCCACCTCCTGGATTCAAGAGATTCTCATGCCTCAGCCTCTCAAGTAGCTGGGATTACAGGTGTGTGCCACCACATCTGGCTAATTTTTGTATTTTTAGTAGAGATAAACCATGTATTTTGTATTTTTAGTAGAGATAGACCATGTTGGCCAGGCTGGTCTTAAACTCCTGACCTCAGGTGATCCGCCTACCTCAGCCTCCTGAAGTGCTGGGATTACAGGCATGAACCACTGCACCCAGTCTAGAGCATGACTTTTTAACATCAACATTATTGACACTTGGGACCAGATAATCCTTTGTTGAGGGGCTATCCTGTACATATTAATAATTTTAGCATCTTCTCTGGTCCCCACCTACCTGAGGCCACTAGCACTCACCACTCCCAGTTATGACAAACAAAAATGCCTCCAGGCATTGACACACCCTAGAGATAAAAATCAACTACTTGATGTTCCAAAAATTTTGAAAGCTCACCCTGTTCAACAGTATACTCATCATCTATTACAATGAACTGAACTTCTTCTGATTTTCTTAATCCAGAAAATAGCAGAAAATTAAACTTGTGTGTCAACATCAAACAGACTTTTGTGCTTGATTCTGCTCTCCCTCGGCCTAGCTTGAAAGCAATCATGAAATTCTCCTAGTCCTTCTTCTTTAACAAGACTCCATTTTATTTTCTTTAACACTAATGCCAATATATTAGTTCATACTTCCTCTAATTAAAAGACTTTGGATTCATCTTCAGCCTTCATTTTCCTCTTCCTTTATCTCTAATAATCAATTGCCAGAGAGATTTTCTTTGAAATGAAAATCTGGGGTGGTTTTACAATGAATTATCTGAAACTCCAGCAATTATAATTTAATTTTCTTCCTATACTCCCAGCCAAAATCAACAAAATAGAAAAAAATATATTTACTGAAACAACAAATTAAATAAAATGACAAGTCAAAACTAGGAAGAATAACTGCCAAAGATAGTAAAGATTTTAAATTTTAAACTTACACATCTAGAACCTGTACATTCATCTAGACAAAATGTTCAGGGAGAAGATTTTTCTAAAGTAATGAAGCTATTCAATAAGGAATTGCCCAAAATTATTTTACCTGGATGTTGGAATTAATGAGACAAGGTAAACAGGCTAATGATAAAATTCAATTTTTATAAAAAAGATATAAATAAAATATTAGATGTAGAAACAATACCTTTTTATAGGTGGGGTCACAGAAAAGCTAGAGACATCTCTAAATTACTCAGAGTCATACCACAGAATTTCCAGGTATGTTGTCATGTCACCAAGTGGACACTCATTATTGTCTCCCTTCTTCCTACCTTACATAAGTGAAGATCACTGGCTGTCTCCGGTAATCTCCCTGAACCCAGTTTAACACCATGGTATGGCAAAAAGACAGCACTGACTTTGAAAATAAGCAATGATATCCACCTTTCCCAGCGGGGTACCTTTGTGTCAGAAAAGAGAAATATTCTGAGCCACAAGAAGCTTTGCATATGCCAATTTTTTGTCATCTGAAAAGACAGCTACATGAAGAGAGAGACAGGAAAAAAATCTGCAAAGTTTATTCTGAGTCACGGGGACTTTCAACTTACAGGAAGGCAAATCAAGTCAAAAGGGCAAAGAAGTGTTGATGAGAAGTTTCCATAGACCACAGAAGGAAGCTCGAGCTGCTTGTCATAATT